>NC_000003.12:107341937-107644967 GCF_000001405.40 Homo sapiens
TATTTTGTAAATGTATTGATTATTTCAGGTAATCAATAGCAATGATAAGAAGTGATATTGAGGCAGGAAATAAGCTCTGCATACAGGGAACCTAAAGAATTCCTAGAACTAAATTAAACTGAAAAACCCCAACCTTCTAAACCCAAGTGTTAATAAAGAGCTTTGTAACTTCACTTCAGCTACGGTAGCAAACATCCTCTTCATTTGCATAGGACGTACACCAAGTAAATAACTTTGTAACTTCACTTCATCCTCTTCATTTACATAGGGCATACACCAAGTAACCAATGGGAAATCTCTAAAGGGTATTTAAACCCTAGAAAATTCTCTAACCAGTGCTCTTGAGCCGCTTGCTCAAGCCGGCTCCCACCCTGTGGAGTGTGCTTTTGTTTTCAATAAATCTCTGTTTTTGTTACTTCATTCTTTCCTTGCTTTGTTTGTGTGTTTTGTCCAATTCTTTGTTCAAAATGCCAAGAACCAGGACACCTGCCACCGGTAACAATACGACCAGGAATTCCACTCTGAGGTATCCACCCACAAGACCTGGAAGTATGTCCACACAAAGATTTGTACCCAAATGTTCCTAGCAGCATTATTCATAATATTCTGAAATTGTAAACAATCCAACATCCATCAACCTGAGAATGGATAAACTAAATGTGATCCTCATACAATGAAATACTATTGAGCAACAAAAAGGAACAAAATGTTGGTATTTGCTACAAAATGGCTGGACCTCAAATACATTATGAAAACTGAAAGAAACCAAATGCAAAAGAGTACACATTGTATGATTCCATTCATATGAAATGCTCAAGAAAAAGACAAATGTGTAGAGACAGAAAGCAGATCAGAGGTTTTCTGGAAATAAAGGTGGCAGAAAGGATTGATTTCAGATAGCCTGAAGAGAAGTTAAGAGGAGGGGGTGATGGAAATGTTCTAAAACTGTATCGTAGTGATGGTTCAAAAACTAACAACTCTATAAATAAAGTTGCCCCAATGGAGTATCACAATCCCTAGCCAGGTCTTTGACTCAACCATCTACTGAAGGAATGAGCAGGTCCCCATGAGGAAGTAGTCGAGACACAACGGTAGTAATTAACCAGTTCTTCCCTAAAGGAATCTGATTATTTATTCAGGTAAGTGTCCATGGGAGAAGGGGAAAACCCAGATCTTAGGATGGTTGTTGAATACAGAGTCTGAGTCAGCTCTTATACCTGATACCAGCACGGAAATGTATAATTTGTGGATCAATGGTCCTCAAACTTTAACATTCATTGAATCACACAAAAAAGAGCTTGTTAAAACAAATTCCTGAGCTCCTCGCCAACAAAGAGATTCTGATTCAGCACAATTCTGAATTTCTAACAAGCTCCCAGGTGATGAAGACAATGAAGGTCCACAGACCACACTTTGGATGGTGCTTGTCTACATGATATCCATATGGGAACCTCCATTTAACCCACTCATATTCCAAGACAACTTCTCTCTTAGAAAAGTTGCTTAGGCCGGGCACGGTGGGTCATGCCTGTAATCCCAGCACTTTGGGAGGCCGAGGCAGGCGGATCACCTGAGGTCGGGAGTTTGAGACCAGCCTGACCAACGTGGAGAAAACCCATCTCTACTAAAAATACAAAATTAGCCAGGCACGGTGGTGCACGCCTGTAATCCCAGCTACTTGGGAGGCTGAGGCAGGAGAATCGCTTGAACCTGGGAGGTGGAGATTGCAGTGAGCCGAGATCACACCATTGCACTCCAGCCTGGGCAACAAGAGCGAAACTCCATCTCAAAAAAAAAAGAAAAGTTGCTTACAGGACATGCGTATGAATCCTAAAATTACACACAAATAAAAACATAACTCAGTAATGATATTCACATCAATGTACAAAGAAATTACATCACTACCTGCATTTAGTCAAGGATAATAATTCCTTTCACTCCTTAAATTTGTCTCAATTTTTTAGTTCAATCATTGGAACTCATTTTGTCTTGTAATTAAGAAAGATTATCAATTGTTTCCAATGAAATAGATGAATAAACACAATGCATTAATTTTTATTAATAACTATTATGATCCACTAGCAAAAGCATATGTTACATGGAAGACAGCTTGTTTAAATGAAACCGAGTCCCACAAAAAATATCCTACCATCTATAAAATCAGATAATCACAGATCTATTATGATGATGGTTAAGAACAAAAATAAGCAACGTTTTTTAAATACTGAATTAAACTCTAATCTAAGCAAACAACACACTGCAAAACTCTACCTAAAATGGGCAGGAGAATCTCACCACAACTTGACATTGCTTTCAAATATTGTCAAACAAGTATATGTTGCCTTTGTTCCCTGCCTTCATTTTTATTGTATGAAACTTCATATTGATATCATCAATTAAAATCCAACATTTCCTCCCAAGCACTGCCACTCAATAAAATCAGGAATGTGACCGCATGAGGGTAATTGCTGAACTATTGTTTTAAAAATAACATCTGTATGTGTGTACTTTGAGCTGAAATACGTCAGCTCCATTGCCAGAAGTTGATATTATTATAGCATATTTCAGAAATGTAGCAGCTTTCAAAATAATTTTTAAAAGCATTTTACTTTTATTACAGGAACTTCAGAGCATGCACGTGAGCTCGACAAAGCTATGCTTCCCAATGACATATCATTTTTCAACATACTGTTGTTGTTACATTTACACCACTCAGAAGACTGGGGGAAGTACCTGTTTCTCTCGGTCTTCTGTGTCCCTCTCTCTAGTAAACAAGATAATACCTGCCTCCTTGCTGAAATATTATGAAGCTACAGGAGCTAACACTATCATACAATTTCTGCCTAAAATTTTGTTTATAAATGTGCTAATAATAAGGAGAGAAGCTTTGAATACAACATCAGTGCTGCAAATTTCCATGAAAGCTCATTTTGGTACCACTCTAATTGGGCTGAGTGGGTGAGTGAGTCACTCCTCTTCAGTGCATTCCTGGGTAGTCTTAGGATGCTGGTGTAGACCAGAAGAAGCACTGCTGCCTAGAGAGTGTAGCCAACTCAACCAGACTTCCCACCCACTACCAGACTTGGCCTGACATCCAAGAGCCTCTTATAAGAAGTGAAGACCCCTAGAAAGAAGCCATTTCTGAATATTTTCTTATCTCCCAACATTTCCATAAACTAACAAAACAAGGAAGAAACTCTTGAGCATGTTGCTGTTTGTCCACTGCTCACGTAAGATATAAATACACGACTCTCTAAAACAGCGCCTACTGTTAGCAGCCTTTTATACTTATTTTTGTTTTGTTTTTAAATAGGCAACTAATTGTATTATCCAGAAAACATAACTCAAATCCATTTGAGTGTTACTTCAACATTCCTGTCTCAGTAATAGGACAAGTAGACAGAAAATGAGTATGCATGTAGTGGAACTGACCAACACCATCAATCAAGTAGACCTAATAGACATTTTTGGAACATTTCGCCTAAAAAGAGCAGAATACGCTTTCTAGTCAGCTGTACAAAGAACATTCACAGAGATAGGCCACATATAGGGCCATAGATAGGTCTCAATAAAATTAAAAAGATAGAAATCAGACAGACCGTGTTCTTTGACAACAATGCAATTTTACAAGTCAATCACAAAAAATATGTGGAAATCACCAAATATGTGGAAATTAACACAATTCTAAACAATCCATGGGTCAAAACAAAAGTATTGCAGGGAAAATTAGAAAATATTTTGAACTGAATGAAAATTATACATGCTGCCTATCCTTGATGGGATATAGTGTCCAAAGGAAAAAATATTGTTGTAAATGCCTTATATAAGCACATAGATAGAATTAAAAATCCAAAATTAATGGCCTATGCTTTTTATTTTCAGAAAGAGAAAAAAAGGAAAAGCAAAGGGAAAGAAATGTATTTGAGTGAAAGGGTATTTCCTGAAGAACCTGGGTTATGCCCCCAAATTGAAGAAAGAACAACAGGAACGAGGGCCCCTGTGGGGACAGCGCCAGAAACAAGAATTCAAACATTGTCAGCCCTGTCTGCTTTGTCTCTCTCTGTTTGCCCTATTTTATTCATCACCGCATAATGCCACTGCTCTCAGTTTTTTCATGTGGCAGGGAACATCCCACATTTTCACAGCTCCTGAACACATAGAAAAGACACATTTTCTCTCCCAGCTTCTGATTAGAACTCCCTAGAGAAGGATGCTGGCCAACCTGCTCTAGACCCCTGGCTGCCCCTGGCCAGGCCACAGAAACCACTGTGATTGGCTCAGTCTGGCTGGTTATCTACTTCTGTGACCAGGGCATTGGGTGTGTGATTATGGGATTGTCTGCCCCTGGCAAAACCACAGGGCACTTCCCCCAAAGGAGCAGAGTGGCAGGGTACAGCAACAGAACCACAATCATTTTGGCTTCGGAATAGCTCTCTTTGCTATCAGCCCCAGGAAAGTTATTTATCCCATTCATAAATGAGAAAACATAATAAAACACAAATTAAGACACACACACAGTGGAAATAGATGGAGTCAAATCATATTCGTGACATTCAAACAATATCACTTTTGAAGATTTTAATAAATATACCTTCCTTAGCAATCTGCTACTGATATAGTTAGATTTTCAGAAATTTTGTTTTAGGAAAAATTGAGAATTTCAGACCTTAAAATGGATTAATCAAATACTCACTTTTGGAGGGGTCAGGGAAGATAGGAGAAAATTTCCAATACATTGTTCAGCAGTCTGGGGACGTGTTAGTCAATATCTGTAGTGACTCAGAATACAGAAGTGAGGTGGTGTTTTGAGTATGCTTTATCTCTGTGCACAATGGTTCCCCTTCTTACAGGTTCTGTTTCCAGAGAACAGGAAATATTCTGTGCTTTCTAGATTAACTCACACTTCCAGGTAGGACTTGGTATCTGAATTGAATATATCCCAGCTGAGCAGTCTACAGCGAACTCTGATGCTGTCATTGGTTGTGTTTTGTTTTGTTTCCAGTAAAAGAAACTTACTTAGCTGAGTTCGGGTCTCTGACAAATGATCAGTAGCTATTTGGAAGTGCCTAATGGTCTAACATCTAAAACTTTGTATTATGCATAAAATTTTTATTTTTACTTAACTGGGTGGTTCAACGGGACAGATAAAAATTGAGACATCATTATGAGCCAGGAAAAATATTTACTTTTTTTTCTGTGTATTTCTTGCAATCTAAATGAGATCAAGTTATTTATGAGAAAAGAGAAATCCTAATAGGAACCAAAGGCAAAGCTTATTCAAAAACACTCCAGGCTTTAGAAAATTAAGTCAAATTAGATGAATTATTAAACTTCATGCATGCAAAAGTAAAAAAGCAAATATTAAATAAAAGTGTCTTAACTAATTGAGTATAAACCAGGTTGAAACCAAATTTTAGGGAAAGGCTTTGATTTGATGTAATCATAAACAGTCATGTAATCAAAGTATCACCAAAAGCTCACAAATCACCACTATAGAACTTATTCATGTAACCAAACACCACCTGTACCCCAATAACCTATGGAAAAAAAAGCTGAATTCCGTAAATTTACATATACTTGAGTTTTTTAATAAGAATAATGCTACTTGTCTAGCCCAGGGTTAATACAGATATTTTTCTCCCTAACATAAATTAGAATAATTTGATAACATTTGGGTTTTATGAATAATACAGAGATGAAACCACCTCACATAATTTAGTATTAAATCACTTAATCCATAAACATTTGTACCTGATTTCTCATAGGAAGGTAATGATTCAAAATAACCTCTCAGGCAAAGTTAAAACTGTTATTTTGGAAGCATAGGGATATTCTGATGATGAGCCATAGTCAGATAATATACAGGGGTCTGGGATACTAAATTCTGTTCTTGTATTTTAGAAAGGCCAGAACAGGAAGCAGTGTGATGTAAAGGAAATAACACTCAACTAGGAGATAGGACGTTTGGACTTTGATGCCTTCTACAACCAAATAGTCAGATGACCTTGGATGAGCCACTTAAATGCTTTGTGACATAGTTACTTCTGTAAAATAAGAAGGTTTGAGAGATGATCTCAAAGTCCATTCCAGCTCTGTAATTCCACGACTCCTTACATGTAAATGTGATTAGCATGCTGCTTAGACCATGGAAAATAATTTTAAAATGCTACTATATCTTCTTTCTTTCCTTTTCTTTCTTTTTTATCTTAATCCTTTTTATGAATCCAACCACATTCCCAATCCATATTGATTTCTGTATCTCCAATACACATCTAGTACAGAAGCTGGCAAAAACTGTTATCTATTAAAAGGGTAGTATCTGTTGTCAAGGAACTCAGTCTAACAGGGCAAATGTGTAAGTAAATTGCATTACTGTGATTGAAGTCCAAAAACATTAGTAATTTATGTTCCTTACAAAACAGTACATCAAAGAGACTGATGAGCTATTCTTTAAGGTAGGCCAGAGACAATTAAGCAGAGAACATCTCAATATCTGAAATATATTTTTTAAATGATTAGGAGCTAGTCAGGCGATAGAGAAATCAGAATAGTCGTTGGAGGTGTGACGCAGTAGTGTATTCAACTTAGGTGCAAATACAAAAATTGTGGTTAGTTGTCATAAATTCCCTGTCCTTAAAATCAGATTTCCTGGCATATACTATCTCTTCTGAGTGATTTTTTTTAATGACAAATGGTTTATTTAGTTTAGAGCTTCGACTGAAATATCTCTACCACATTTAGTATTCCTTGATTATTATAGATATCATTATGCATATAACATTATATGTTTACATATTTTGGGGCGTTTTCTATTTGGTTCCACCAATGAGTATGCCTATTCTTTCACAAATATGAAGTATATTAACTACTATAACTTCATAATATATCATGATATCTAACATGGCAAGTCCTCCCAAATTTATTTTTTTAAATTTTTCCTCTTTAAGAATGTCTTGCCTATTCTTGAGATTTTGCTGTTTCATACAAAAGTTTAGAATCAGCTTGTCAAGTTTCACTAAAACCACCATTGGAATTTTACTGGAATTTCATTAGTCTAAAGATTAATTTGGGGAAAACATACATCTTTATGATATTTAGTCTTTCTATTCATGAAGTGTTATGTCTGTATTTATATAGGTCTTCTTTAATATATTTTAATAAAGTTTTAAATTGTTTCCATAAAGGTTTGTCTACTTATTGTTAGATTTGTTACTCTGTACCTATTTGCCTATTTTTATTGCTATTATAAATGGTATTTTAAATATTTTTTCAAATTACGTATTTGCTAGAATCTCTAATACAATGTTAAACAGAAATGTTGATGATAAACAACTTTCCTGATTTTAAATAAAATGCTAATACATTTTACCATTTAAAAGGATGCCTTCTGTTCATTTTTGGCAGAGAATTTTCATCAGATTAAAAAAAGACCTTTTTATTCCTATTTTGTTAAGAGTTTTTATAGTGAATGTGCATTGGCATTTCAAATGCCTTGTTTTCACTTATTGAAATAAAATTATGCTTTTTCCCTTTAATCTATTATTGCAGTGAGTTACATTAGTGAAGTTTCTAATATTGAACTCCCTTGCATACCTGGGATAAACCCAATTTGGCATATATATATATATCACTGGATTTGATTTGCCAATAGTTTGTTTAGGATTTTTGCATCTATGTTCATGTCTGATATTGGACTACAAATTTGCTCCCCCATACAGTCTGTTCCAGCTATTTTATTGCTGCATAACAAAGTACTCCCACCCATAGAGGCTTAAAGTAACAACTATTTTATTATGTCTCCTGGTTTTGTGGGTTGGAAATTTGGGCAGGGCTTCTCTGGGAAATTGTTCATTTCTTTATGCCGTTAACTAAGATCACTCAGTGGTAGTCAGCTTGTGACTGAACTGAGCTGAAGTCCAAGACAAATTCAATCAAATGCCTGGTGCATTGGCAGGGAAGCCTGGAATGCTGGGCTCAGCTGGGCCCCTCTCCTTCTCCATATAGTCTCAGGGTCTCACTGCATAGTCTATACAACAGGATAGTTATGCTTCTTCCACAGTAGTTCAGGGCTCCAAGCAACCAAGGTAGTACCCATCAGTCCTCTTAAAAGCTGGGTCCAGAATTATCATAGCACCACTTCTGCCATGCTTTATTAGTTCTAAAAAAAGGCAGTGTAAGCATTAAATACTGTAGAGGAGAGGTAAACCTAACTCTTTATGGAAGTAGTTTCAAAGACTTTGCATCCATGATTTACCTACCACAATAATTGTTTATGATCTTGTTATCAAGACCAAACTAGCCTAATAACATGAGTTTGATTTCCTCCTTGTCTATTTGCAAGAAAACCCTTAGTATGATTTTAATCATCTGCTCCTTAAATGCCTGTTAGAGGTTTCTTCTAAAACCATTTTTGCCTGTTGTTTTTTGTATGAAGATAATAATTTTAAGACTACTCAGGCTTTCATTTTTTTCTGAGTCAGTTTTGATAAATCCTTTTTCTAAGGAATTATTCATTTTTTCTAAGTGTTTAGCATATTGGCACAAAATTGTTCATTGTTTTATCTTTTTATTGTGTACAGATCCATAGCTATGTCAATTTTATTATTAATATTACTATTTTTTTTGAGAAAGCATCTCATTCTGTTGCCCAGGCTGGAGTGCAAGTGGTACAAATATGGTTCATTGCAGCGTCGACCTCCTGGGCTCAAGTGATCCTCTGGCCTCAGCCTCCCAAGTAGCTGGGACCACAGGCATGTGCCACCACACTCAGATAATTTTTTAAATTTTTTGTAGAGATGGAATCTCACTATTTATCCAGGCTGGTCTCAAACCCCTGGGCTCAAACAATCCTCCCACCTGGACTTCCCAAAGTGCCCAAAGTGAGATTATAGGCATGAGCCACTGTGCACAGCCTATGAATATTATTTATGTGTTGTTTGTTTATCAATCTAGCCAAAATTTATTTACTTCACTAATATTTCAAAAACTAACATGGTTGATAATTTCTATTGCTTGATTGTTTCTCCTTATTTTCTGCACTAATTTTTACTATTTTTCTCTCATCATTATTTCTATTACATTTATTGTGATGTTTCATCTTTTTAAATCTCTTATTCTTATCCATGTCTTATCCATTTGTAAAAGTTTTTTATACATTCTGAACATAAGGTTTTTGTTGATTATAAGTGTTATAAGTATGTTCTTCCACTCTATCTTTTTGCTGAACAAGTTTTCTTAATTTTAAAGTATTCTAGTATATCAATATTTTCTTTTATGATTAATGTTGTGTGTGCTGCTCAAGAAATCTATCACAATTTTCAAAGTCATAAAGATATTCCATATTATTTTTAAAAAGATCTAGCATTCATATAGAATCAATATTTGCATTTGATATCAGTAGGGGTCAAATATATGGTTCATTGTCTAGTTATGGTTATCAAGTTGAGCTGGAACCACTTATTGTTACCTAGTTGACCATATGGTTATCTAGTTGACCCAGAACTATTTATTGAAAAGAACTCCCTTTTCCTACTGCTCTATTATTTCTTCTTTAACATAAATCAAATAGACGTATATGCGTGGGTTTGTTACTGAGCACCATTTTGTTACTTTGGTCTATTTATCCATCTTTGTTCCAGCACCACATTATTGCAATTACTATAACTTCGTAATAAGCTTAATATCAATTAGAGTAAGTTCTCTCATCTTGTTCTTCTTCATGAAGGAAGTTGATTATTCATGGCTCTTGGCTCATTGCATTGCTCTGTGAACTTTATAATCAACTTGTCAATTCATACCTTAAGAAGACAGAAATTTCACTAGAACTGCACTAAATCTAGTGGATCAGATTGAGTAGAATTGACATCTTTGAAACATTGACTCTTTAAATCCATAAATGTAGTGTATGTCTCCATTTCTTTAAGTCTTCTAAAAATTTACCTTTAAATTGTTTTTTGAATAGTAGTCATGCACAACCTATGTCAGATTTATTGCTAGGTATTGGTTGTTGTTTTAATGCTACTGTAATTGTTATTTTATTTCATTTTCTAATTCTCTGCCAATACATAAAAATATAAGTTATGTTTTCATATTGGATCTTGCACTCAATAAACTTGCCAAAATCATTTCTTAATCCTAATAATTTATCAGTGATTATTTCAGATTTTTGGAGCATGAAATTATATTGTACATTAATAATGATAAATTTTCTTTCCTTTCAAGTGATTGTATTTTAATTTCATTTTGATTTATTGCACTGGCTAGGACCTATACAAAAATGTTGACTTAAAGTGATGATAGGTAGTGCCCTTATATTATTTTCTATCTCCAACAGAAAGCTTTTAATGTTTACCATTGAATTTGATGTTTGCTGTAGTTTGTTTTATTTGTTTTAGAATATCTTGTATTTGAAATGAGATTAAGGTCTCATTCTTAGTTAGAGAAGAGCTTTTACCATTAATAACATTAAGTTTCATCAAATACTCTTTCTGAATCCATTTGAATACTTACAACATTTTCTCTTTTATGCCGTTAATGTAGACTACAATGACTGATTTTCTAATATTAAACCTACCTCATATTTCTGAAATAAATCAAATAAGGTCAATATTTTATACTTTTATCCGTTGGCTGATTCAAATTTCTAATTGAATTTACAGACTTTCATATCGTCGTCATAAATGAATTGGCCTATAATTTTCATTCTTTAATATTCTTCTAAAATTTTCATTTTGAAAATTATTCTTACCTAATAAAGTAAGCTCGGACATGTTTCTTCTATTTTATTCTCCAGGAAAGGTGACAAAATTAGCACTTTATTTCACAAAGTTTACTAGCAAATATAATACATTTATTTAGAATATTTATAATTTCTATTTCTTCTTGCATCAGTTTTAGTGTTTTATTTTTCTAGGACTTTATTAATTTTACATATTTTTCAAATTTATTGTCATAAAGTTGGGAACATAGGATCTGTAGAAATATAACCTTTTCATTTCCAATATTAGGTATTTCTGCATTCTCTCTTTTTAAACTTTTTCTTCACCAGTCTCAGAAGGAAGGAGTTTGTCAATTTTATTACTCTTTCCAAAGTACCCCATTTTGGTTTTGATGCCTCTATCTCATTTTTTTAATCTATCATGGATTTTTTGCTTGTCTCTTTATGATTTCTGTTCTTCTGTTCTACTGTCTTCAAGACTCAATTTCTTGAGACAGTTCATTAACTTTAATCTTTCTTTTCTAATATATGTATTTAAAACTAAAAATTTCTCATTCAGCATGCCTTTAATTACATACCATGAGTTTTGACAGGTATTGTATTTATCAACATTTTAAAGTATTTTCTAATTTTTGTTGTAATTTATTCTTTAACTCACAGATTACTTAGGAGCATATTATTTATTTTCCAACTATTTGGGGGATTTTCAAGTTTTCTTATTGTTGTTGACTTTTATTTCTACTGTGGTCGGTGAGCACACTCCATTTTATTACAATCCTTTTAACTCTTTTCCTGATTAGAAAAAAAAAAAAAGCTTTCTGCCAGTGCTCATTTAATTTTACAAAAATATGCTCTCTGAGGCTGAATTAAATCTGACTGGTTTTCACTGTGAAAATAAAATATAAAAACTGAGCTGGGCATGGGGCTCATGCCTGTAATCCCAGCACTTTGGGAGGCCGAGGTGGGTGGATCTCCTGAGGTCAGGAGTTCAAGACCAGCCTGGCCAATATGGTGAAACCCCACTTCTACTAAACATACAAAAAAATTAGTCAGGCGTGGTGGCACACGCCTGTAATCCCAGCTACTCGGGAGGCTGAGACAGGAAAATTGCTTGAACCAGGGAGGCAGAGGTTGCAGTGAGTCAAGATCGTGCCACTGCACACCAGCCTGGGCAACAGAGTAAGACTCCATCTGAAATAAATAAATAATAAAATATAAAAACTGTTCTTGGAGTTTTTTCTAAACAGAACTGACATCAGAATTGTCTATTTCAGAAAAACTGGATTTATCAAATGTCAATACCTGTCAGAGAATGATGTTAATATCATGCGTAAGAATGCTACTTTTTCTAGAATTCGACATTTTCAGCATTTGAGAATTACTATATTTTGTAAATGGGAATAACACTACTAAGGACAGAATGCATAAATAAAAAGATGTCTTTTCTTTCCAAAGTCGATATGTGAGAGCAATGTTAAAATAGTAATAAAAGCGAGATATTTTGTTGCAAAGTTAGTTACCTCAGGGTCAAATGCAACAGCCGCCAAGTGTGGTCAGTGAGTATTCTTGGGGCTTCTCGGAGCAAATGGGCCAAGAGTTAAACATGTTGTGACATGCTTTCTGCCCTAGCTAGCATGCATGTACTGAATTTTCATAAATTTTCTCTGCTCACAGAGAACTAAGCTAAAAATGTCACCATTTGGTGTTATTTTTTTCTTCTTTCTTACTTTAAATAATTGACTCTTTTAGTTATATATTCTTTACTTTTTTTGTATTACCCTGAGCGATTAAAACCTGGATTCTTCATTTATCAAAGACTAGGATAATTTAGCCCTTATATTTCTTCCAAGACAGTTCAAGAACCTTCGAACATGTAACCTCAGTTTATCATTCTTTAGATTTAGATGGCATTGTTGTCATATATTTTAACTCTATATGTTTTAAATTTTAAATATGATATTATTATTATTAATTTGAACAGTAAATATTTAGACCCTTTTTGCTGCTCTTTCTCTTGCATCTCCACACTTTTCTGTCTAGTTTTCTCTCTAGTTGTCTGTCTAAAACTATCCATTTACCCTTTCTTACTGAAGAACATGCCTTAGTATTTCTTTCAGTGTAGATTTTCAGGTGATAAATTCTTGCAGTTTTTGGTTGTGTGGAAAATATTTTTATTTCACCTTTATTCATGAAGAATGTTTTTATTGAAAATAGAATTTAGAATATATGTATATATAAAGAAAAAAGAGAAAATACAATTTTAGATTGGCAGTTATTTTCTTTCAGCCTTTATTTTATTGTGCTTGAGTTTCCATTGCTTCTATTAACTCACTGACTTCAATTTTTTTCTTCTAACATATATATTTGAAATGAAACATTCTCTCAACATAGCTTTAGCTACATATTATGAGTTTTGATGGTTAATCCTATTTTAATTCCTGTAGAGTTACAAAGATTTCTTCCTGGTTGCTTTTAAGCATTTTTCTATCTTTGTAGTTCCGCAACTTTACTATGATATACTTATGTGCGATTTTGCTTTTATTTACCCTGTTTGTTTCATAAAGCACCTTGAAGCTATGGCTTTAAATCAAGCGTGTCCAAACCATGGCCCGTGGGCTGCATGCAGCCCAGGACATCTTTGAATGTGGCCTAACACAAACTCATCAACTTTCTTAAAACATTTTGAGATTTTTTTTTGTGATTTTTTTAAAGCTCATCAGCTATCGTTAGTGTACTTTACGTATGGCTCAAGACAATTCTTCTTCCAATGTGGCCCAGGGAAGCCAAAAGATTGGACACCTCTATTTTAAATCTTTCATCCTTTTTGGAAAATTATAAGTCCATTATTATTTTAAATACACTTCTGCCTTATTTTCTTTCTACTCTCCTCCAGGACTCTCATTATCCACGTGTTAGTTGTGACTCACGTATTCCCAAACTTAGGCTATTTTATCTATTTTCTGTCTTAAAAATTATTTTCTCCGAGCTATCTTCTAATTGTTAGTCCAAACTGCACCATTTTTTAAGCTCCCTGCTATTTTGCAGACCTTGGTCAAAGTGAAACATTTCATGGGGGTTTGGGCCATGAGAAACCTCCTGCCTAACCACCTGACCGTGTCGCAAGGCAAACAAAGGCCCAACTAAAGAAACATCCCTATCATATCTTGCTGGACAAAGGTCCAAGGAACACCACGATGACAACCTGCCGGAACAAGGGCCAGAACCGCCTCATCATTGGAACATCTTATCAATATCCTGCCGGGCAGCAAGCCATACTGCCCAGATCCCTCCCGCCCATACCTATAAGTACACCCAGCCTGTAAGCAGTGGTGGGCTCTGGCATTAGGCTGGATTATTCAAACTAGGTTTCAGTTCCTTCAAGGACTTCATTTACAGTTAATCACTTCTAGAGTGAGTTGTTCAGGATCCCAACCCAAAGCATGAGGATTCTACCACTTCTCAACCTTTCTTGATATGCCCTTGTCTCCAATATTTAGGAGGAGGGGAAACTGGGGCCTAAATTGAATATGCTATTACCCAGGGAAAAATTAAATTAAAATTATTTCTTCTAAGACTCAGCTTAGACTTGAGAACACTCTGGCCCATTCTAAGATGCCCAGATTAATGTGGGGGTTTTAGGATCAGCAACTCAACCTTGTTGCATGCCTAAGGCTTAGTCTCCTTGCCTTAGCTCTGGCACTGGCATTACAATCAGGGTAGCGTTGCTTTTCACAAGGGTTTACTCGTTGCTCTGGTTTTACTTCACAGATTATTATTTTGTGTATTCTTTCTGCGTTTGTGTGTTTCGGGCTGCTGAAGATTTTCCTTTCTTCCTGTAAGCCCAGTGATGCAAGAAAAATTTCTTAATGCAGGATTTATGCAAAATCTTCCTTGTTTCCAAGTTATCATTTTGTAAGTTTTTTTGAGAAAGGTAACATTCTCAGAATACTTAACATACTGAAGTCAAGTTTAAGCTTAGTGCTCTTATGGAAAAACTATACAGTGAATAAAAACATGCTTCTACTAATTACAAATGCATCTTTTTTGAAATGCTTTATAAGATAAAAAAATTATTAATCCCTTATTTTCCTCATTATATTATAGTTGCTTTATAGGTGACTAATAAGTCTCAGGTGAGTCAGTGATATAACATTAGATTCTTACATGGGGATCAGTAGATATTCAAGACAACCTGTTATTTAAACCTCAAATTCTGGCTTTACCAGAAAGATCTGCACAATGGCAGTCATCCCAGTTCTCCTATTCATAAGCTTCAGACCTGCCTGTATACCCTGCTAGCTGACTCAACATGAATGGGAGCTTTCAGTAGATGTTGAGCGAATATGAAAGCTGGAGAACTAGATGGAAATCTATGGAATAAATTACCAATTTTTTAAGTTGCAGTGAAACAATTTTTATCTTTTTTTTCGGATTAAACATACTCATAATTTGGAAGGTTGAGGCCTCCCAAATTTGGGAGGATTGCTTGAGCCTAGGAGTTTGAGGCTGCTGTGAGCCATAATTGCACCACTGCACTCCAGCCTGGGAGACAGAGCAAGGCCCTGTCTCAAAACGAAAAATAAAAAACATATCCAGAGAGCTGTAATATGTTAAGAAAAGAGAGAGGTATTCCAATGTCCTAGCAGCACAGTTCCAAATGGCTTACTTCTGCCTAATCATTCAGATGTTAACTACAAAAATAGTACTAGTGTGTGATAAATTATGGATAAAAAGGTGGTGTAGGGCAGGCTCCGATCAGACTGACCTTTATGCTTAAATCTCAGTTCACGTAGTTATAAGCAATTAAATTTTGGGTGAATTTCTTAACTTCCTTAGTCTTCCATTTCCTCAGTAAAATGTTACTACTTGCCTCATATGATGATGAGGTTTTCAGATATGACAAGTTCCTAAAATATAGTAAGGATTCAGGAGATTTTTATCAAGTTATTTCTTTTTTACTAGGTTTTTTTCTTGTCCAGGAAGAGTAATAGTGTTCTGAGGGTCAGTTCTCCAGCCAAGCTCCAAAATAGACCTCATGGCTTATAAGGCAACATGAAAAAATATAAGCCGGTGCTCAATCCATGCTTCGTCTAAACCAAGTAAAGCCTAAATAGCCAATAGAAATAATGAAAAGCAAATAGGATGTTCAAGAGTCTTCGTTATAATCATATATGACATTTTTATTTCAAAATGCATTATTTAGGCCAGGCTCACTCCTGTAATCTCAGCACTTTGGGAGGCTGAGGCAGGGGGATCACTTGAGGTCAGGAGTTCGAGACCAGCCTTATCAACAGAGTAAAACCCCGTCTCTACTAAAAGTACAAAAATTAGCCGGGCATGGTGGTGGTAGGCACCTTTAATCCCAGCTACGTGGGAAGCTGAGTCAGGAGAATCACTTGAACCCAGGAGGCAGAGGTTGCAGCGAGCCGAGACCACACCACTGCACTCCAGCCTGGGCGGGTGACGGAGTGATACTCCATCTCAAATAAATAAAATAAAATAAAATAAAATGCATAATTCTAAACCTAACAGTAATTAAACATAAAAGAATTATTAGTACTGTTGGAGGATATAAATAATAAATTTTAAAAAGAGGTAAATGGCTATTAAACAGAGCAATTAAATGTTTGAGAATTAGGAAACAGAGGCAACTATAAAAGCAGGCTCCAAAAAATTTATATTGAAATGGTTAATATCGAAAATAATGGAACTTTAAGAAAGTATGCATATGTTATAAGAAAATATCCAACTCGGGAATTCAGATATCTAACCACCTAAAATATCTTGTTGTACCGAAAAGAACCAGTTTTCCCTCAATTCATAGTCACATTTAGCAGTTATTTGTACATTTTTAATGTTTAATATATTTTTAATTAAAAATATTAATGTGTTGTTCGATCAGTATTTACTGAGCATTTAACTACCAGCAATTACCGTTCTGGCTCCGTACAAGTACAAAACTGCATGGGTCATGGTTTTTGCCCTCAAGCAAAGACATACATTATAATATGATTTTAACTGACTGTATAAAAAGCTGTGTGATCATAGGGCCATGCAAGACACAGCATATATCAAGAGTGTAAAAACTGAGAAAGAAGAGAAGTCTGGAAAGATCAAGGTAAAAAGACTTGAACCACGTTGCTATTAGAAAGTGTAAAGACCTTTCTGTCGTTTTTCTGATCTACCCTAGCAAAAATAATAGATTACATGTATTGATTTCTGACTAGTACATGGAACAGGCACTGTGTCAAATTCTTTAAATATCTTATTATTGTTTA
Organism: Homo sapiens; assembly: GCF_000001405.40. Lineage (NCBI taxonomy): Eukaryota > Metazoa > Chordata > Mammalia > Primates > Hominidae > Homo > Homo sapiens. The sequence continues at coordinate 107,358,933 of NC_000003.12, forward strand.
CAATAACCCTGCATGGTAGGCATTTTTAAAATCCCATTTTCTAGATAAGGGATTAAGAGATTGACTTGAGCTCATTCAGCTACCAAGTGGCAGAGCTAAGTCCTGAACTTAGGCAGGTTATCCCAAGAAAAAGCACTTCACCATGCACTGTACTGCTTCATAAGCATCCAAGCATACTGCACATTTTGTCCAATGCGAACCTGTCTCAAATAAACTGAAGACGACACTTGCTGTTTGTGTTCTTTGTAGTCTTACTTCATATCCTGCTGCAACATGAGCTCATGGTCTTTATTTACAAGTTGCCCCCAAAGCTTCTAGATTCTTTTATTTCTAGGACTGAGTCTTATGTTTTTATCTGCATCTGTTCTAACACATATTTTAGCATGTGATAAATTTCAATGTAGTTCTTTCTATATGCCGAGCCCTGAGAATGCACTGGTGAATCTGTGAATTTCTGCCATTTCTGCTTATTATTGAACTCAATCTCGTGAGTGAAGTATCTGTAGCCACCAGTCTTATTCTGGTTAACTTAATTAAGACATTTAAAACATATATATTGAACTCAAACTACGTACATTGCATTGATTTAGATTCTGTGATGGATACAAGAAGTTTAAGACACAGTCCCTGTTCTCAACAAGTGTATACTTCAGCTGCATAAAATATAAAACAAATATGTAAAAGGTAAATAATTCAAGAGTTCTATTCCTACACAAGAGAATAAAACCAAGCTCATCACAGGGTGTTACATGATGTTGAATTTGTTAGGATATTACAGAAAAACAAGAGGTTCTGTAGTAAAAAAATAATTTGGAGATTCTAGATTACATATATTCAAGTAGTTTTCTTTAATGCACAATTTCTCATCGCCTTTATTATGGCAATGTACATTGCAATCTTGCAAGAGAGTTTCATTCTTTGTAATATTTTCCACATTTGTTTTGAAAAATGCTATGGTCTGAATGTCTGTGTTCCCCCTAAAATTCATATGTTGAAATTATAACCCCAAAGTGATGGTATTAGGAGGTAGGGCCTTTGGGGAGGTGATTAGGGCTTGAGGCCTCTGATAATGGACTAATGCCCTTACAAAATAGGCCAAGGGAGCTCATTTGCCACTCCCACCATGTGAGGACACAAGACGAAGGGGTTTCTATGAAACCCCTTGCAAGGAGGAGGTAAATGTTGAACTGAGCTTGGAAATATGAACAAGAAATTCCTTCATTAATTCTAAAACTTTAACTTTTTTTTTTTAACCTGGATGAAATTATTTGCTTACTCAGGCTTTCCTCAAGTTAGATATTCAGGAGAAAGGAAGGTTAGGGAACAAAAACGGAAATAGATACACGGCCAAATATAATTAGGTTAGAGAGAATTACTAAATATAGTAATTCATACGTCAAAGAACTTGTAAGAACTACAGAATAAGCACCTTTGGCGTGACCTGAGTTTCTCTAAGCAGGCCTCCCCAGCAGTTGTGTATGGGTAGAATAATATTAATGGTCACATCTCATATTTCCTGCCTCTTTTTCTCACCTCCATAGCAGACATAAATCAGTTTCATGCAAAACAAGCCTCTGCAGCCATGCCCAATTATCTCTAGAGGTCCTGAAAGGGTATCTCAAAGTTTTCACAAACTATCTTATGTTCAGCCTGTGGCCTAATTCGCTATAGTCAAATACTGAGAGAAGTCAAGGAAAGTACTTATGTTCACGCCAATAGTCTTGTTTTTTGCTACTTCTCAAACTGCAAACACTTGAGATGCCTATATGGAATGGCCTCCACTGTAATTCTCTTGGAGCTAAAGTCCCTCTGTGTCACAAGAATAAGTTGCAAGAAGAATGATCCTGATGTGATTTGGCTGTGTCCCCACCCAAATCTCCTCTTGAATTGTAGCTCCCTTAATTCCCACATGTCATGGGAGGGACCCAGTGGGAGGTAATTGAATCAAGGGGGTGAGTCTTTCCCATGCTGTTCTCATGACAGTGAATAAGACACACAAGATCTGATGGTTTTATAAGTGGAGTTCCCCTCCACATGCACTTTGTCTGCTGCCTTGTAAGATGTGACTTTGCTCCTCTTTCACCTTCTGCCATGATTGAGAGGCCTCCTGAGCCATGTGGAACTGTGAGCCAATTAAACCTCTTTCCTTATATATTACCCAGTCTCATGTATGTCTTTGTTAGCAGCATGAGAACAGACTCATACAGTCCCTCTCTCTACTTTGTGTCAACATGGCTGGACATGGTGGCTCATACCTGTAATCCCAACAATTTAGGAAGCCAAGGCAGGAAGATCGCTTCAGGCCAGAAGTTCATGACTAGCCTGGGCAACACAGGGAGACCTGGTATCTACAAAAATTTAAAAACTAGTTGATCATGGTGGTGCACACCTGTATTCCCAGCTACTCAGGAGGCTGAGACAGGAGGATCGCTTGAGACCAGGAGTTCAAGGCTGTAGTGAACTATGATCATACCACTACACTCCAGCCTGGGCAACAGAATGAGACCCTGTCTCTCTTAAAAAAAAAAAAAAAAGACACGATTGTCTCTCTGCTTTTTGCTCCTCACATTCCAAAGTCACCAATGAAAATATTTCCTTCAGTCTCTGTTTGGAGAACCTTGCTGGAAGTCAATTCCCCAGGGGTCTCTCACATTTCTGCACATCTTGTGAGTAGAGGCACTGGCTAACTTTGTTCCAAATTATTGTTTTAGTGATGTCTGTATGGCCAACAGCCCTGGAAAATAGAGTGTCTTTCTGTGGAACAGAGGGAAGATTTGTGCAGGCTTCACCTAGCCCTTTTGCATCTCCCTCTGGGAACTCGAGCAAGTGGAGTCAATTCAAATATGCTGACTACTATGCCATGAATAATAAAGCCCTTTGTCTCTGATGCAGGAGTCTCATGTCTTCTGCCAGCATCCACAGAACAGTGGCGAGCTAACTTGTTAGGATGTTTCACAGTTATTGACACACCTTTCATTACAGGATTCAGACAGAAGTTCATGACAAGAACCACTGTCTACGACAGACACTGTTGACCTTGGCTCCTCTTCCTGGGTATTCCCCAACTAGTCTGAGAAGAGTGGGGGTACTAGGGCCTGGCCATTTCTGCTTATTAGTGAGCTCAATCTCATGGACAATCTTTGCTCCAAAGCTCCCTGTTGGATTTTCTGAGACTTTGTCTAATCTGTAGGCATTTCCTGCCCAATACAATTTCTCTGCCTTTTGTATTTCATAGGTGTTATCTCTAATAAACTGCTTGTACTCCCAACTCTGTCTCAATGTCTGCTTCCCATAGAACCCAACTGACATGCCTAGTCTCCAGCTATAGACTCCAACTGACATGCCTATCTCCAGCTATAGACTCCAAAACAAAACTTTCTTCCTTCTCTGAAAGCACCCCATTTGAATAAAGTCATATACGTTAACACCTCATATGCATACTCAGTTTCTCCCAACATGACCAGACATGTTATTATAAATCCCAGTTTAGGCCCAAGTTGGAAATTCCATTGAATAAAAAATGCACAATGTAGCTTTGTGTACTAAAAATGATTACGTTAGGATACATTAAGTTCATGAAACCCTTAAGTTAAAGGATTAACATGTATAGCGCCTTTATGTAAGATTAGAAAACTCTTAAATTAGATGTTTATAGTATATTAATATGTGCTATATTTTAAGTCTAAGATGTCATTAACTGCAAGCATGCTATTAAGTATTTATTAAAAAAGAAAAGCATCACCAACTAATATATGACATAATACTAAGATGCCACCTATTGTAAGACAAATTTCAATTTCAGGGATATGAAAATGTGCAAAAACATGCATCTTAGAGTTAATGAAATGCAGTATTAGATGACATGGGAGTTTTCCTGGACTCAGATTATTTGCACATTTCTAAAACCTAAGCACACATTATTAAAGAAAGAATCTCCAACTCCTGAATTATTTTGCTTACCATGTGGCAATTCATAATTAAATAGATAATATTTAATTTAAATTAATAACCGAGTGTTGGACAGCAATCAAGTAAATTTGTTAAAAAGCTTCAAGCTTACTAAGCATATAAAAGTAGGCTTACACTGTGAAAATGGGATGTAATTGAATAATATTAATACAACAGCAGGGTTTTTAAAAAAAAAATTCAATAAAAATTAATCAGGCCAGGAGTGTTGACTTATACTGTAATCCCAGCACTTTGGGAGGCTGAGGCAGGAGGATTGCATTTAGGCCAGGAGGTCGAGACCAGCCAGGACAACATAATGAGACCCTTTCTCTATTAAAAAAAAAAAAAAGCCAGGTGTGGGGGCATGCACCTGTAGTCCTAGCTATTCAGAAGACTGATGTGGGAGGATCACTTGAGCCCAGGAGTTCCAGACGGCAGGCGGCAGTGATCCATGATCTCACACTGCACTCCAGCTTGGGTAACCAAGTGAGATGCTATTTCTAAAATAAATATTTTAAAAATAAATAAAAATTAATTAAATCTACCTTCTGACCCATAGATGTGCTTTTTCTAATATTGGAATTAGAATGGAATTAAGATATCATTAAGCCTCATCTCATCATTTTTCTGAAGATCACCATGAAGCACAGGGGGTGGGGTATATTTCCTTCCATGCAGTTAATGACAGAGCAGAACCAGAGCCTTCTGCTGATGAACCCAGGGCTCTCTCTGCTACCTCACCATGCCAAACTCCAGGCCATCATACTGACACTGAACAAGACTTGAAGGCTGCTCAGAGAGAAAGTATCTCCCTCCCTTAGCACAGAGAAGAATGGTTACTTCATTGCCACAAGTCATGTGGAAGCAAACAAATAGTATAGGCCTAGAACTGAGAGAGAGAGAGAGAGAGAGAGAGAGAGAGAGAAAGAGAGAGAGAATGAGTGAGTGAGAGAGAGAGAGAGAGAGAGAGAGAGAGAGAGAGAGAGAGAAAATACCTTACTTTGATTTATTTCTTTTTCTTCTTCTTAAACCATGACCCTGCGAGGAGATTATTGGTATCTGCCAGTTCTGAGAAAGAGGTGGATGGTTAGAGCTGGGGATTTATAGATTGAGTGTAGGAAGCAGGCTTCCTTCTCCCACAGTACATCTCCAGGAAGAACCAACTGTGATGGAGCTATTGTGAAGTTGGAGAGATGATGAAGAGTAAGAACCAACTTCAATCCACATCTTCCACCCCTGACACCTAGGGTTTGTGAGCACCTGGAAACAGAAAATTTGGCTATTCTGTAAGAATAGCAAACAAACTGGCTGGGCATGGTGGCTCACACCTGTAATCCCAGCACTTTGGGAGGCCAAGGCGGGCAGATCACTTGAGGTCAGAACTTCGAGACCAGCCTGGCCAACATTGTGAAACCCCGTCTTTATCAAAAATAGAAAAATTTGCCAGGTGTGGTGATGCATGCCTGTAATCCCAGCTACTCAGGAGGCTGAGGCAGGAGAATCACTTGAACCCAGGAGATGAAATTTGCAGTAAGCCAAGATCACGCCACTGCACTCCAGCCTGGGTGAGGCAACAAAGTGAGACTCTTGTCTTAAAAAAAAAAAAAAAAAAGAACAGAAAAGAAACTAAAAAAGTTTGGTGAAATCTTGTTTTATGTTCAAGACAAATAAAAAAGAAAATTTCAAAGATGAAGACCTCAAAAACACATGAGACAAAACCAAAAATAGACAAATGGGACTTAATTAAACTAAACCACTTCTGACAGTAAAAGAAATAAGAGTGAAGAGACAACCCACAGAATGGGAGAAAATATTTGCAGACTACACATTTGATAAAGGACTAATATATTCGAAATCTATAAGAAACTCAAATAACTCAACAACAATAACAAAATAACCCCATTAAAAAGTAGGCAAAGCACATGAACAGACATTCCCCAAAAGAGGATATACAAATGGCCAAAAAGCATATGAAAAAGTGCTCAACTACATTAATCAACAGAGAAATGCAAATCAAAACCACACTGAGATACCATCTTACACCAGCACTTGTATCCCCTAAATCTATACAAATTAAAATTAAATTAAAAAGTCAAAAATAACAGATGTTGGTAAGAATGTGGAGAAAAGGGAATGCTTATACACTATTGATGGGAATGTAAATCAGCACAACCTCGATGGAAAACAGCACAGAGATTTCTCAAATAATTAAAAATAGAACTCTCATTCAATCCAGCAATCCCCACTACTGGGTATCTACCCAAAGGAAAAGTTCATTATATAAAAAAATACCTATATCCATATGTTTGTCACAGTATTAGATTGGTGCAAAAGTAATTGCGGTTTTTGCCATTGAAAGTAATGGCAAAAACCGCAATTACTTTTGCACCAACTTAATACTATTCACATTAGCAAAGATATGCAATCAATCAACCTAAGTGTCCATCAATGGATGATTGAATAAAGAAAGCGTGGTTTTTATACACAATGAAATATTACTCAGCCATAAAAGAGAGTAAACTTATGTCTTCTGCAGCAACATGGATGGAACTGAAGGCCATCATCTTAAGTGAAGTAACTCAGAAAGTCAAATACTGCATGTTCTCACTTTTAAGTGGGAGCTAAATAATGTGTACACATGGGCATAGAGAGTGGAATAATAGACATTGGGGACAAGGAAGGGTGGGAGGGTGGGAGGGGGATAAGGGACGAGAAATCACTTAATGGGTACAATGTACACTCTTTGGGCAATGGCTACACAATATACTCAGGTAACACAATTGCACTTGTACCCCCTAAATCTAAAAAAAAAATTTTTAAAGAAAAGTTCAAGGTTGTATTTAAACATTTCTTCTTTTCTCTTTCTGTACTCAGTTTTAGACTAGTCTGGCAGCATGAGCCACCTACTGGCCTCTCACTCTCTCCTCTGAACTGGGGTCAGTTGATTCCACAGGACAGTGGGGATGTCACCAAGAGACCCAGCTGGCAGCTGGCTTCTGGCTTTCCCTCCTTCTTCGAGCAATATTAACAATTTTAAAAGGAAATTCCCTCACATAGAAACTATACCTAGATTTTACAGGATCAAAATGACAATGGTTGAATTAAAAATAAAAAGAGATATTTAGAGAATAAACAGAAGCGGAAAAGATGAGGTCACCAATAACACTTGTTTCTTCTTCCCATCTTTTTAATTCCTCTATCTTGGACAGCAAAATGCTTGGTTGCTAAGTTCACTAATTCATAAAGAATGCTCTTGTTCTGACACAGCGCCAAGTACACCATAGACATTGATTAAACATTTATTGAATGATTATTATGGGCCAGTACTGAACTATTTCTCAAATACATTTTCTCATTTAGTTTAATCCCCTCAAAAACTTTATGAAATACTATGATTCCCATATCACAGATAAGAGCATACAAAATTTTAGAAACTGATCGAAATGCCTCTATCTGGTAATTCTCGTAACACCATTTTAAAAAAGCGGCTCAGTATGGTTTTCCCATGTTTGCAGTGAAAAGAAAAAAGAAAAGATGTACAGTCACATCAAAATTATAAACTCTGTACCTAAAATCAAAATTTCAAATTCATAGGCTTCTCACCAAATGTAGTTCACTCTAAATAGAATTTACTCGGGGCTACTCCAAAACCGCAGGCTGAGTAATACCATCCAAATTTGCAATGATTACAAATTAGTCTATTTTGTTGAGTGTATGAAAAGGTGAGTAAATTATGCTATTATTCTGCTCCCAATTTCTACAATAATTGGAATAGTCAGAAGAGTACAGTAGATCAGAGATCAAAATATCACCCTTATGATGGATGTAGCATAGAAGTGTGACAACGATAATCTTCCTAATACCCAATCTCAGAATTGGATTGAATCTCCAGGCTTCTCTCTGTGCCTCCCTAAACCCCACTCCTGATCTTTAGGGGCAGAGTCTGCCCTTATCCAGCTGATGGCATGGAGGACAGAATGAAGAATAAAGAGTGTCCTTGGCAGGCAGGCAAATCCCAAAGACAAAGGAAAGGAGGAAGAAGCTGAGCTATGCACGCCCAGTTCCTCAGTCCAACCTCACAACCAGCAAAGGCATTCCCTTCCTCTGAGGGGGTGGAGACAGGGCAGAAGTGATATGCTAATTCTTATCCCTCCTTGTGGAAACTCCAAGTCCCAAAAAGGAGGTATCACCATCCTACCCATCCACCCGCCGACATATATCCTGTGTGACCAGACTGTGATCTATTCCATCCTTTTCATTTGGGGCATGTTGGGCCTCAAGCACTTCACAACATGATTATTTTATTCCTAACGGTCAGTAGCGAATAAGACGTAAAATGACATAGTTCTGCTGTGGGTAAACTCAAGGTTTTAAAAAGGAAAAACTTCATTGTCACTTGCATTATATATGTAAAGTACACAAATACATGTATAGATATGTAAATTCTATATCTAAAAAGGAAAAAAATGCCCAATGGTGACACAGCATTAAATGATTTAATAGCTAAGGATTTTATTTACATCTCAGAATAAAGAAATGCCAAAAGCTGATTCACTGCACCACAGTGATGACTCAGCAGGTAGGCAGGAAGAGGAAGGAGCAAGCCAAAAAAGGGGTGGGGGAGGTGAAGCAGGTTCTGCGTTTGATAACAACAGCCCCCGTTTTTAAATATTTCTGAAAGAGGAGAGGGAAAAAGTCAAAATTAACAATAACTTTGTTGCCCCACAAAGCCTCTCCTTCTTTCCTACCCACTCTAGGAAATTAGGAAAGTGCACGCTGGAGGAGTCCCATTGAAAATGTCGGCTCTTCCACTGCTGTAGGCAGTTTAGGTCTAGCGGTTAACTTCTGAGATTTGGAACCCTCACTACCAAGTTCCATTTCTAAAGGCCATTAGAATTTCATAATAAAACACTGGATATAACATTTCTGTTATTCCTTAGTTCCTTAGCAATAAAATCAAGACATTTAATTTTGCAAATCTGACCCTTAAACAACTCTTATGAAAACATTTACTCCCAACTGACCGCAAAAGATACCAGCCCAGCCTCCGACATTCATCTCAGTCACTTTGTATCAGGGGCGCACACAGAATTCCCTCCCTGAGTTTATGTCATTTCTCTTGGTTCAAACTCCTCACTAGAAATGAAGCACAAAACACTATATATTTATTGACAGCCTGGTGGCTCATAGCTTGCACCAAGCTGGTTTGTTTAGAAGAACAAACTAAATAGGGTCCTTGACTTCATGGTGTGTACAGCACAGAAGACCTTTTTGACTTTCACCTGTCCAGACCTCAGTTGTTTTCAAGGATTTCATTCCCAAGCCAATACATTCCATGGGGATCTCCCTCCTTTGTTCCTCAGATAATCAACTGCCTGCATTCTCAGCACTTCACGTATTCTAAGTTCTTGAATTAAACCACCTAAAGGCTCTAGCTCCTTCAAATCAAAAACACTCATAAAGGGGGCCTGAATAATGTTTGGTCCTCCTTCTCTTATTGTGAGGATTTTAACCTGGTTTATATCTTACGGTGTCCATAAAGGGCTTTGAGGATTGGGGTGGGAGAGGTCTGTGTGTCTATCCCCTGATGTACTTATGTGCAAATTTGTGTGTGTATGCTAATATTCTGTATTAGTCCATTCTTGCACTGCTATAAAGAAATACCTGAGACTGTGTAATTTAAAAAGAAAAGAGGTTTAGTTGACTCACTGTGCCACAGGCTGTACAGGTAGCATGGCTGGGGAGGCCTCAGGAAACTTTCAATCATGGCTGAGGGCAAAGGGGAAGCGGGCACGTCTTACATAGTGGGAGCAAAGAAAGAAGGAGAGGGGAGAGGAGAGGTGCTACACACCTTTAAACAACCAGATCTTGTGAGAAATCATTATCTCAGGAACAAGGGGTAAATCCAGCTCCATGATCCAATCAGCTCCCAGTTCACACCATGCCCCACCTCCAACATTGAGGATTACAACGCGACATGAGATTTGGGTGGGGACACAAATTCAAACCATATCAGTGCTGTTTTCTGAAAAAGCACGCAAAACTTTCATCGGATTCTCAAAGGAATGTTGGAACCCAGATCTTCTGCTTTACTAAGGTTTAAGCAATTATATCACTTTCTCAATCATTTCAATGAGCCTGGACATTCATTTGACTTCAGCTCTACTTTCTAACAACAAAGAATGTGATTTCCAGCAACATGTTCTTATTTTTAAATGTCATTTAAAAATGTAAATGTAAAGTTCAATGGAAGTTACAACAGAAATTTTTGCCTATCTTAATATGTAAATTGCCCAAGGGCTCAGACCAGTTTCGTTTCATTTTACACTGCATGGTGGAGGAGAAACTTCAGCACTTAAATAGAATGAGCAGTAATTAAGTCTCACAAGTTACAGTGAGAATTGTAGCCATTAGTGCCAAACACTGAAGCTGAAAATTATTGAAATATGTATTTAATAGAACTGTCTTGTCGCTGTACTTTTTTTTTGAGACAAAGTTTTGTTTTGTTGCCCAGGATGGAGTGCAGTGGTACAACTTTGGCTCACTGCACCCTCTGCCTCTCCTGAGTAGCTGGTATTACAGGCACGTGCCACCATGGCCGGCTAATTTTTGGATTTTTAGTAGAGACAGGGTCTCACCATATTGGCTAGGCTGATCATGAACTCCTGACCTTAAGGGATCCACCTGTCTTGGCCTCCCAATCATTCTACTTTTTTGTTATTCAATACTTACATTACTTTTAGACTACAAGAAAGAGACTCAAATTTCCAGAAAGAGAAGTACCCATCTCCCCCAAAAAAATAAAATTCTCAATCTTACAGTTAAACATTCCTAAACACCTTTTGTATTCTAGCTGGCTTTTGGCATAATAGAAACAGCTGCAGCAACAGTACACATTTCTACTGGGGGAGCCTTCAATAAATATTTAAAAAAATGAATAAATATTTTCTCCTCAGATTATCATAGTTATAGTTATAAAAACCTAGGTAGAGAAGGAAGAAAAAAAAATCCACTTCATTTTATGATTGCCTTTTGGACATTTTCCATTTTGTGTGTAATCATAGCGCACAAGCAGAAGGAATACATTTGGGAAGTTAAATAAGATCTTTGTAATCCAAACCCATGCAGGAAAAAGGATGCCTGTAGCTTTAAACAGAGAAAGGAAATGATTCCAAAATCAAACTGCTGAAGAAAAAACACTGCCAAAACCATGCATAATAAGACGTTTACAGTTCTTAAATAAGAGATATAATATAAAATTTAAAATTAGATATAATAAACATTTTCATGTTAATTCTGTGACCCCCTTCAATGTCAACATATGGCTTTACTGCTGTTCTCATTGTATAGATGGAATGAAACGGAAAAATAATACACCCAAGATAGAGAGGACACTAATAACAGAAAGCAAAATACAGTCAAGGGATAAATACACATTCACTTCACAGAGATATGGGTGCAAATTCCATTAGAAACATAAAATGCCATCATAATACATGTCTCTCAAGGTGAGCACTATTAGGAAAAGCCAGTGCAATATTTCACTTTATCACCTTTAAAATGTTGGAATAAGAAAGAAGATAGCTCCTTGGATTTTGTACTCCAAAGTACTACAAAGCATTAGGACAACTAAAAAGCCAAACAGAAAAACAGAGTTTTTCTTAAAATTAAGGCTATACTAACATAGTAACATACCCAGAGACGACACCACTGCAAACTACACAGTATAATAATTAGAAATGGGAATACTAGCATTCTCCAATTTTTTACACTTTATGATTTCTGGATTTGTACACACTTAAATCCCCATTTCCAATGTGATCACTATTTATTCTCTAGCTTTTAATTTTTGGTTTCCTAAATGAAGAACAATACAATTCAGGAACAAGATAGCAAGTTGACACTGTGCTGCACCCGTCACATAATGGTTTCCAAAAAAGATCTGCTAAATGATATAAATTCAGTGAAACAAAGGTGTTTAAATAGACTAACTCACTGAATTTATTCACCAGTTCCATTAAAGGAAAGAGGTGAATGGTTAAGTGAAAACAAATCTCTTTCAGTTTCCCTTCATTTTTCCAGACATTTATTTTTATGGCTGCATCAATTGTGCACATCGAGACTTATAAAGCACTATAAGAAGAGTGTCAATCATAAGCTAAAGGGAGCAGAGGTTTCAAGGTGGTATTTGAGAAGGGAAACCAAGAGGTGAAGTTGAGAATTACAGAAACTAGGCAACCTCATATAATAAATTACCAGGGAGAGCCAAGCGTAACAGAAAGAACTGGAGGAAGATGACAGGGAAGAGAGATCAAATAAAATGCTAATGTGCCCCAAGGGTTATGGAACTACATGGTGAAGGGTATGTTTAGATAAGCTAGAGAGAGTTCATTGTAAATTTGGAGTTCACAGTATAAGATGACAGAAATAAAGAGATAAGTGCCTGAGTATCTAAATTGATGACGAATGCATTCTCGGGCAATCCCACAGAGGTATGGAGAATACACTGATACCCTGTGGTTCTCTAGAGGCCTGAAAGACTTAATATGTTGCACAGGGGGTACATATGCTATGTACTTTGGTCACCTCTAGGACCAGAGCCATCAACACCACCCCTGTCACCATCATTACTGGGCTCTCTCTCTCCATTCCATAGCTGTTTCCAGGTATGTAATTACCTCCATCTCTCTCAAATTACTGCCACTTAACTGCTTCAAGTCTGTGGGGAGCAATTATTAAATCCTATCCCAAAATTGCTAAATGATCCCCCAGGAATTGAGAAAAGTTATTCCCATTCTGAGTAAAACAGTGTATCTCCTTGCTGTCCATAGAAATAGGCTCAGGAGAGACCCAATCAACATCTTGACAATCATCCACAGGTGCATTCATTCATCCTTTCATTCAATGAATAAAGATTTTTTGAGCACTAACTATATGTTAGGCTTTGGGACATTGAGGATATAGAGTTAAAAAGCAAGTCTCTGGTGGTGCACACCTGCAGTCCCAGCTACTGGGGAGGCTGAGGCAGAAGGATGGCTTGAGCCCAGGAATTTGAGTCCAGGCAGGGCAACATGCCGAGACTCGTCTCTAAAAAAAAAAAAAAACAAACCCAAGTCTCTCCTCTCAAGGAACTCGGAATCTAGAGGGGAGATAGGCTCACCAACAATAACAATACAATATGGGAATCATTGCTAGATGGAGACCCAGATCTGTTGGAAGCATTGGGAAGACTATAAGGAGAATCAGAAAAGGCAAGACAAGTGTAGTAGATGAATGAATGACTCCAAAGGATGGGTAGAAATTTGCCCTGGCGATAAACAGATGAAAGATTTTCCAGAAAGACCATACAATTTTAGTTATAGTGAAAAAGTAAAATATCATTGCCAAATATTATTTAAAAGTTATCGTTCCATCATTTCCTCAAAGGTGTTCACCTCATTTTTTGGCTTGTGGTCTCACAGGATTTTAAACTATCATTATGAATATTTATTAGAACCACGTAGTGGATGCGGCCCTTTCCCTTACCCCACGTGTCACTCTCACCAGATGGCCTTATCAATGTCCCTGGGCTCCATCGCTTCCTTCAGCCTGAAACCTTGCCTACATTATAAACACTGTGACTTTCCCCTGTTTCTCTGTCCTGGTCCAGTGCAACAGCTCTGATTTCAAGCCCACTCTCTTCTATTTCTCATGGCTAAAAAGAAAGAAAAGTAGAAGACAGCTTTCCCTTTGGGCCCTTCATAACTACTTAGCATGTGTAACAGGAGATTGAATTCGCACATTCTTATCCCCTTGAGTCAGCCCACCCTGATCAAATTCGAAAGACTTTCCTGGTTCCTGTTTCCTCAATCTTTTATCCCACCGTGCACATGACAGGTGATAGTCACGTGGGAGGGTCCAGATTCTTGTGAACCTGGCCCCTAAATTTTGTGGGGGAAGTTAAAGACTCTTAATAAGTTTTTGTGGTCACGACCCCTAAGGTAACATGAGTAATAGTAGATCACTACAGGTGTAACACAAACGTTATACATAATGCTCAATTGCTAGCAGGATAGCTGTAACTATCCCACTCTCTCCTACACACACAAAAAAACATGTTTAAAAAAAACAGAGTGACTTTTTTGTTGTTGTTGTTTTTGTTTGTTTGTTTGTTTTGAGACGGAGTCTCGCTCTGTCGCCCAGGCTGGAGTGCAGTGGCGCGATCTCGGCTCACCGCAACCTCCGACCCCCGGGTTCTCGCCATTCTCCTGCCTCAGCCTCCCAAGTAGCTGGGACTACAGGCGCCCGTCTCCATGCCCAGCTAATTTTTTGTATTTTTAGTAGAGACGGGGTTTCACCGTGTTAGCCAGGATGGTCTCGATCTCCTAACGTTGTGATCCGCCCGCCTCAGCTTCCCAAAGTGCTGGGATTACAGGCGTAAGCCACCGTGCCCGGCCCAGAGTGACTTTTATATATGTAATTTATATAGATAATCTAAACTCTGCCATAATTAATATATAGTTAGTGTACTCAAAAACACAGCATTTAAAATATTGAATAATATTATGTATTATTAGACCCATCTAACCAGTGGTTATTCTACTCCAGTCTGCCTGAAACCAAAGCTGGTTGGGAAACCCTGTGCTAAGAGATAAAGGGCTGATGTGTCAGCCTTGTTTGCTGCATTTCAGTTGCCTCTAATCGAAATGCTTTCCCTGCATGGTATATTGGGCAGCAAGGACCACACACTTTATGTCTTGGTCATATTGAAAGAGGGAGAAAGGCAGAGTGAGAGATTGAGAGAGCAGGCAGCGCTAAAGCTGAAAACGGTTAACCATCTCCTTTCATCTGGAAGAAGAGAAGTGAGAGACAGGTGGTGGGAAATGAGGAGGAAAGGACTTGTAACTATTCAGCATCTTAATTCTCAAAACCAGTCACTGAACTAGGTGCTGTTATTATCCCATTTTACAGGCTTGTGGGAGGCTAGAAACTTGTGTAAGAGCACTGAGTTAGTCATGGGACAGCCTTGAACCTTTCTGGCTCCAAATACCATTCCTGTGAAAGCCAACCTCCTGGAGAACAGGTAGACTCAGGAAGTCTCCCACTAGGCTTCAGACCACTGTGCTATTTTATTTCTAAATGCCACCATACCCTTGGCAGGAACCCGAAGAGCGGAAGTCAGCTTATTTCCCGTTATTCATTCACTTTCTGACTGCTCTCATAACTTCGCCCAAATCAATAGGCTTACCTCCTCCCGGTGCAACTTTTCACCACCTGGCAAACTCCAGATAAGCCAAGGCTCCCTTTATTGACATTACGAAGGAAGTAGTTAGAAACCCAGACAGGTTTATGTTTGTATCAGCCTATTAGATTTATTTGTTTTATAAAAATAGTAAGCATACACTCATATTTTAAGTTGAAAACTTTAATTTTTTTAATTCCAATTATTGTATTACTATGTCTACCACAGTAAGGAAAGTAAGCCTCCAAATATTCACTTTTACCTACAAATTAGAGCTTGTTCAACTTCTAAAGTCTTCACAAATTTCTGTATCAAATGCTTTTGGTAAATAAAATAACCGATGAAAGCTTAAATTTTCTCATAATGCTAAACAGACAAAATTTTAATAAAATAAGTCTTCTATAAATATACAGTAGGATTTTAAAAAGAAAATGTCCATCTTTTTCTGAGTTGTACTAAATATATATTTTAATCATGATTGTGAGGCAGTAGAGGTAAAACACATGGACTCTGGAGCCAGAATGTAAGCATTTGAAATCTGACTCTGCCCATTTTTAAGCTCTATTACCTTAGGAAAGTTACTTGACTTCTCTGAACATAGTTAAGTAAGCTAATACTTAGAGCAGTGTCTGGTATGCACCCAACAAGTCTTAGCTGTTATTAACCTGGAGGGAGTAATTATGACAAGCAGTCCCTCTCATTTAACTGGGAATTCTTGGAAAGTGAGAATACGTAATACACAAATTGCCTCCAAATGTAATGAAATTTTAATAATACTAAATCTAACAATTAATGAATATGACATAGTACATTTCAGAGACGTTTCATTAAACATTTATTGCTTCAATCTTGCAGCTTTCTTTCAGTATTCTGAGCCACTGTTTTTTTTTTCTTCTGTTCTTAAGTATTTTCATTGGCCCTTAAAAACTGTATGGGCCCTAAGTACTGTGTCTGCAGAACTCGACGGATAAAATGGCCTTAGCCAGAGTAAACGGGACGGCTGTGAACTCTAACCTTTCCAAGCCCCAAATGCCATTCCTGTGATAGTCTGCCTCTTGGAGAATATTTTCCTCAGCAAGTGTTTGGAAAGGTTTCTAGACATTTTCGAAAGGTTACTAAACAGCATTTGAAAGATAGGAGAGTAAGGCAAAATCCCAGATATTATTGATGAGCCAAAATTTTAAAATTACTGCTGGAAAAGCTCACTGTTTGTACCAAATCCTGGGCCAACACTGACCCTCCAATTGGGCACAGATAGAAGAAACAGTGATTTGGTAGAAGGTTGGAATTGGCATGGATCCAAGAGGGAATGTCCTTTTGAGTAGAATGGGACTGCTCCTTGAGAGACATGTGAGTAACACGTCATTTTGATTCCAGAGTGTTCAGTCTAATGTGTTTAGAGAATAAAATTAAGTTTTTACCTCAATATATAAAATGGGCCAAATATTATTTAATATTTCAAAGGGTTTGAATTTCAAATACTGTTATGTAGAAAAACCTATAAGAAGGAACATGAGAAATGGCTGCTGTTATTTTTAAATTCTAAGGCAGTGGCTCTCAAAGTGTGGAATGCTTT
This sequence comes from Homo sapiens, assembly GCF_000001405.40. NCBI lineage: Eukaryota > Metazoa > Chordata > Mammalia > Primates > Hominidae > Homo > Homo sapiens. Next base: position 107,375,678 of record NC_000003.12, read on the forward strand.
GTGTCATGAGACCACTCTGTAAGTGTGACAATGAGGGCAACAATATTTCAAAATAATCCCAGGACACCGTTTGTCTCTTCCACTGTGCTTACATTTGCCTGTTGAAAATTACATTGCAAAAGCAATGGTGGGTAAAACTGTTGATACCTTAGCATGAACTACAGCAGGGGTACCACACTGACTAACAGTGACTCAATCAGAAAAGGAAAAAAATACAAGAAAAACCAGTTTCACTCAAGAATGTCCTCAATGAAGCAGTAAGAATTTTTAATCTTATTAGATCTCAACCCTTCAGTACATCTTTTTTATATTATGTATGATATAATGGGAAGTAAACATAAGTGCTTCTGCAGCTTAACAAAGTATACTGGTTTTCATGAGGAAACGTACATAAGTATTTGAATTACAAATGTGTGCTTTTTTCATGGAACACTATTTTTTCTTGAAAAAAACTGACAACAAACTACAGTGTTCATAGTTGGGCATTTGGCAAGCATTTTTGCAAAAAATGGATGGAGGGAATCTGTCACTTCAAGGAAAACAATAAACCAGCTTGATAAATTTCAAGATTTTCAAGCTAAAATTAGAATTTTGAAAAATCTGCATTTGCTACCATGAGCTTGGCCTCTTCTCAGTACTCAAAGACTTTTCTGGTGAGATTGGTGGAGATATTAATGAAAATGATATTTTGATATTATATAATACAATGAGTTGACATTTGGAAGACCTACATAATTCAGTGAACCATTGTTTGCCAAATGACCAATACATGATATTATGCATCTATTCAAAATAAAAAATAGACCAGCGGCTATTAATATAACAGAGTATGAAACTTCTTTGATTTGGCCTAAAATGACACATTGCAGCTAACTTCTTAAAAAAAATCATTTGTCAAATTTTCATAAAGTAGCAAAGAATGATATCCTCAATTATCTGAAAAAGCTATGAAAATACTCTCCCCTTTCCATTTACGTAACTCCATGAGGCTATTTTTTCTTCATATACTTCAAAATAATATATCACAACAGATATAATGCAGAAGCAGATATGAGAATCTAGTTATCTTCTATTAATTCAGGTATTTAAAACACTTGCAGATATGTAAAACAATGCCACTCTTCTCACTTTTTTTTTAGAAAACCAAATTATTTTTTATGAAAATATATCACTTATGTTAACATGTAATGGGTTTTTAAATTTAAATTAATAACTAATTATCTAAGACTTTCTTAGTTTTAATGTCTACTATAAAATGTAGGTAGATATAACCCAAATAAACAAAATCTGTGTGATCCTCAATAATTTTTCATTTTTATTTTTATTTATTTATTTATTTATTTATTCATTTTGAGACAGAGTCTTGTACTGTCGCCCAGGCTGGAGTGCAGTGGTACCATCATGGCATACTACAGTCTCCACCCCCTGTGCTCAAGTGATCCTCCCACCTCAGCCTCCCAAGTAGCTGAGGCTACAGGCATGCACCACCATGGCTGGCTAATTTTTTTATTTTTTTGTAGCAACAGGTGTTTTTCTGTGTTCCTCAGGCTGCTCAACAATTTCTATGATTCAAAAAGAGCCCTATGACCAAAACTTTTGAGAACTGCTGTAGTTAAATATGTTTGTTCTAAGCCAGCAGTCATTGTGACATCAGCAGCAGGTCAATGATTACCATATGAAAGATTCCATGCAGTTGACTATTATTTCACAGAGCTCTCTGGTTGGGCTGCTCTATAAGAAGCTAATCACCTAACAGTGTCTATTGCTGTGGCTGATGATTTCCAGAGTGTTCTAAGATGTTATCAGGAAAGGCATCCAACAAATAGTAAGAGAAGGACCATTTCATTTGTACATTATTTCTTCCTGTGATTCTGTTTTCCAACACCTTGCCTCTTGTTTCACCATGAAAGATGTACACACTTCACACCAAAAGGGTAAAAGCTGCTGCTAGGCAGATGTGGACTTCAAATCTCTCCAAGGTCAGACAGTCTCTTAAAAATGTTTACCACAAATGTAAGATTCGGCACCAAGATTCAACTGGATATCCCACTGTGACATCTGATGATTGTAATCAAGATGATGATAGTTATGACGGAAAAATGAATCTTCCAGTAGTGCTCCAAGATGTTAAAACTGCTCAAGTTGAACTTTTCAGCCAAATGACTGACATTGTCCATATGATACCAAAAGTCCAGGAAAAGACTGACTTGTATCAAAAACAGATGGAGGTCCTGGAAACCAGAATGAATGTTAATGAAGACAAACAATGCACAACGACTAAAGATATCCTCTCTATGAAAGAAGACATCAAGGCATTAAAGAAGAAGGTGACAGAACTGGAAATTCAGAATTCCTGCTCCACGATACATTGTCTAGAGATTCTGGAGGGAGAAAGGGGTAAAGAAATCACAGAACTGCTTTACAAACTCATACAACCAGCAACTCTGAAGAACACTTTGGCCTCTACAGACATGGAAATCTCTTCAGCAGAACCAGAGAAAGTGCCCAGTTATCCAAAGTCCACTGACCATCTTGAGAAAAAAACAATTTCTCCCCAAATGAAAACTCTGAAGAAACGTAACCATCAAAATGCATCAAGGAGCTTTGAAAAAGCAAAGCCAAATATTTACATTTACCCAGACTTCAGTACATGGATCAAGCTAACTTTTGTTCATGGAGGAAAATGGACATTTTTCCTCAGTGCTACCAAGTTAGAAGAATTCATCCAGTGGCTTCTTTCTAGGCCAACCATTCTTCCTGAGGAACCCCAGGTCATAACCCAGAGATACTGTCCATTCACTGGGCCCATTTTGAGCTTGACCACAATCTGTCTCTCCATCTTCAACAATATTTACGGCTTTATTTGTTCCTTAAAAGAAGAAGTAACTCGACTATAGAGTTATGTTCTGCTTTGCTTGGCACAAAATAAATGTAACCTGGAGGCTCCAAGTATTCACACATTGGTGTGGTGGCTGTGAATTCTTCGGTAGTTTGCTCACTCTGGGCCCACTATCTGCAGAGTTTCTCTATGTCTACAGTAAGTTAAGGCACATGATCTAATTGAACTGTTGTAATTCGTTTTCTCTCAATGTTCTTGTTTTCTCAAAGGCAATTCATGAGGACTCATCCTGGGTCCATTTTCATAGATAATTGGAAACAAAGAATGAAGGAGTCCAGGGCAATGTGTAGTATGTTTGGTGGCCTCCATGTCAGTTTTCTATACACTTTGTCCTCGTGGCCTTTGTGGATACGGTTTGTGATACCAGAAACATACACTACTGACAAGACTTCATTTTATTTGTTATTTATTTTTGAAATGGAGTCTCACTCTGTCACCCAGCTGGAGTGTAGTGGTGCAATCTCGGGTCACTGCAACCTCCACCTCCCGGGTTCAAGTGATTCTCCTACCTCGGCCTCCTGAGTAGCTGGAATTACAGGCGCACGCTACCACACCCAGCTAATTTTTGTATTTTTAGTAGAGACAGAGTTTCACCATGTTGACCAGGCTGGTCTCAAACACCTGGCCTCAAGCGAGCCACCCACCTCGACCTGCCAAAGAGCTGGGATTACAGGCATGAACCACCACGCCCGGTCAGACTTTAGGTAGTATAGAGTGAAAAGGATACCCATTGTCAAGGCTACTAAAGTTAGCAGTATAAAAATGAAAGGGATTGAAAGGCTAAGTTATTGCAAGGAACATATTCAAAATATTGGCTTTTTCTTTCAACTTCAGCTTCTTTTCTATGAAACAATTAGATAAGAGGAGAAAGACAATATGATACTGGGTAATTTTTACATTTTCATGAAAGGAGAAAAATACCATGTCCTATAGGTTTGATGCAGGGGAAAAGGGAAGATCTAAGAAGGGGTTTGTGAACTAAGTTAAATCTTACCACTATAATACCATAAACTCTTATATGATAGGTTTTTCTTTGTTTGTTTGTTTAAAGCATATAGCCAAGAAGAGCTTCATTTTTAGATATAACAGGTGGTTGTCATTGTAATTTCTGAATATCATGCAGAATAACTGAAAAACAATGTTTCCTTCACCACTTAACTCAGTGAATGAACGCTACCTTCCTTTGTGGTCATATATTAAACCACAAATATTCCTGGCAAATGTACTACACTTAATTATTTGCAGTCAATACTTTGAAAGGGGGGTTTTGGTAGCTAGCTGAGAACAAATGAAAGAGGACAAAGGACCTAAAGGTGGGCACAGCAAAAATTAAGACACAGCTTCGTCTGACGCCAATCTGGGAGTAATTATATAACACATTATTTTTTCATTGACAAATATATTCTATTTGATCCTTCTTTACAAATTTATAGATATGTACATAATAACTTTTAGAATATGTCAAAATGCAGGGAATCAACCTAAATGCCCATCAATTACAGATTAGATAAAGAAAATATGGTACATATACACCATGGAATACTATAGACAGCCACAAAAATAGATGAGATCATGTCTTTTCCAGGAATGTGGCTGGAGCTGAAGGCCATTATCCTTAGCAAACTAATGCAGGAACAGAAAACCAACTACCACATGTTCTCACAAGTGGAAGCTAAAAGATGGGAGCTCATGGACACAAAGAAGGGAACAACTGATACTGGTGCCTACTTGAAAGTGAAGGTTGGGAGGAGGGAGAGAAGCAGAAAAAAATAACTATTGAGTATTAGGCTTAGTACCTGGGTACTAACGACTTGAGTTTACCTATAAAACAAACCTGCGCATGTACCCCAAAACTAAAATAAAAGTTAAAAAATAAAATATGTCAATATGCAACATACCTAATAAAAGCAAAGGTATTTATTAAATGAGTTTGTTTAAAAATGAGATAACTGTGCTTACAATGTATTGTTCTGTTAAAGGCACTAGCAATCTCTATGTATTTACTTACCACCAGAGATGTCCGTAAGGAACAGCCAGAACTCTACTTCAGTACCTTAGGTGTGATGCTCACATTAGGACAATATCTAGGGAAGGCAGGCCATGACACAGGCAAATGACATCACAAATAACTTCTGGAAGAGAAAAAAGTGACCCAGCTGGTATAAGCCTGGGTCGTCTGAGCCTCTGTATATCAGCACTGACTTTCATTTTTCCCCCTCACATGTCCCTTACACAGCCCTTAATGTTTCTAGAGAGGCACGCAGTTTACAGGCACACGCTTGAGGATCAAAAGACCAAGGTTCTCAACCTAAGTCCTAAATTTTACTCTTACAAATTATATTATTTAATTTCAATGAGGTTTTTCTGTCAGCTGTAAAAATATAATCATTATATGAACTTAGTAAATATTTTTTCAGTGTTCACTAATAATAAGGGATCATGGAGGATACAAGAAAAGGTAGACATTCCATGTCCTGTAAATATAGAACATTAAATGGCATAAATAAAAAATGTACACAAAGAACTCTGAGACATGATAAATGGGGATGGGCAGCAAATAGCAATACTGCAAGTATTGCTGGTGTCAGAGAAGAAACAAGCTTGATGAGCCTTGTGCTAAGGAAGTAAAGTGAGGAGGAGGTGGAGAGGACAATGCAGCTGACAGAGGGAAAAACAGGAGCAGAGGGCGGGGGGATAGTAAGGAACGTGGGATGTGAAAGCCACCGGGCATTATACAACATAAAGTACAGACAGGCTATTATTTCAACCCTTTTATGGATCTAATTTTTCTCTTCAGAGATTCCCACCATGCTCATTTCAACCTGTTTTCTTTACCTACATAAGAATGTTAGAGGGGGAGAAAGTGACTCTACGTGATTTTCGCAAGGTCTCGCACTTTCCCTAGAGAGGATTCTGTTTGTCCTGTTAATGAATTGAGTTCCCTGTGAGCAAAGGGAGGATTTTACTTCTGAGTCAATTATTTATTGTCACCTAGACAAGATCTCACATGACTTGTTAAAATTATAAATCATCTTATAACTCAGCATGTGAGCAAATAACTTTTCCCCAGTCCTGGTTTGCAAGTTCACCTGCCTCTCACCAGCCCACCTCCATCCCTCCTGGCTTGGAGAAGTGGCGTTTCTCTAACCCACATTCCTCCACCAGTGCCTTGCAGAGTCTTCATCAATTACTCCCCCTTTCCCCTCCATCTTAATCACCACCTCTCAGTTCTTTGTACTCCGCTTACAAAAATACTCACCTGGTTCCCTTGTCCTTGTGTTCCCCTCGTCTCCTGCCAATTTCCCATCATCTTTTTTAATGAGAGGCCCACCCTCCCTGTCCTCACCTTCCCTCTCCTCTTCTCTCCATGGTTCATGGGAGCATGTCTTCCAGAATGGTGCTTTCTCATCTAGTTTTCTTCCCATCACTCTGGCAGAGTCTTCTCAGTTTTCTTAGATGATTCCTCTGCCACTAATCATTCTGTTAAAATATGGATACTTCATTTTCGTGATCCCAAATCAAAGAATTCCTAATCTAGCCTCTCCTGGGACGTCCTGAGTTTTGGTTCCAAATTACTATTTATCTTCTCCACTTGTGTGTCTACAAAAAAATGTATATAAATATAATTAGACGAATGTCTATAATGTATATCAGTCAAACATGAAAGTCATTGTGCATTCACCAAAACATCTCAAATCATTGTTTTTGCTATTAAACACATCTATTGGGGAGGAAACACTCGGTGGTAAAAAGAGCAAAGACATTCAAAGAAGAACAGATTTTAGAATGACTATTTACTAAACATTTATATTATGTATCAGGCACTATGCTAGTTGGGTGTACAATCATGACCCTCATAACTATGTGATTTTGGCAGTCCTTAAAACTTGAATTCAGTTTTCTCAACTCCGAACTGAGAACAATTTATGTCATGAGACTCTTGTGTTAATTAAATGAAATCATGTGTATAATCTGCCAAGAATAATGCCTGATTTCGTAGGTGCTTAGCATATGGTGGTCATTTCCTTCCCTCCATAGGCTAAATGTCAATGGAAGGCATGAAGATGAACAGGACATGGGCCCTGCCTCAAGCAGCTCACATTCAGGATTCTGCCTCCTTTCATCAGCCATAAAGGACTCCAGACAAATAGGGAACAAAGTGACAGGCTAAATACAAATGCTTCAAACAAAATCTTGACTCCCTCATCCAAAGACAGTGTGATAAGAATAAGACGGGGTGTGAAGCTCTCCTCCTGGTCTGGGCACTCAACCAATATTCCATCATCTACAACAGTCGTTTGCCAACCTTTAATTGCACGCTGTATAAATAAGCAACAAAGAAAAGGATCTGGAGGGAAGGGAGGCTGAGTTAGGATAAATAATTTAGTTCAGTGTGTAATACTTGCTTGCGTAGACACAGACACTAACAGCATTCTGTTCATTCAAAAACAATATTCACCAACATTTATTGAAATTTGACTCTATACCAGGAAATAGCTGAGCTAGGTGTGAACAAACAGAGATGCAAAGACATCAGTCCTGTCCTGAAAGAACATACTTTCAAATGGTGTTATTTCCAGTTGCCAATTATTTTGGTCTGTTGCTTAGATTTGGATTGGAAAACCACACTCTTCATTTAAAACTTAATTTAGCTTTTTTGTGGGACACAAATCAAGTCCCATTTAGAAAAAGACATTGCTTTCCTAAAAGTAATGTTTCAAGGTTAATTCATCAAGACAGAAAAATATAGTTTTTTCTAAATGCTTCTACACACCTTCAAAATGTAGACTGTCACTAACATATCAGTGGATTATGCTCTGAAACTTTATTTGTAAATCCTTTAAAACTCAGAATGCGTACTACAAAGAAATAGTATTAGAGTTGGATTTTTGACCAACCTGTAAAAGCTGACTGAACTACAATGTAGCTGAGATAATGGCATTAATAAAACTCTAAAGCCAAGTTTTCGTATATTCCCATGCTAAAGTGTATTCAGGAAAATAACTGCAATAGTGGTAATCCTGACAGCTGGACCAGTGCCCCCACGCTCCTTATTCTCTCTTCTATCTGATAGTGGAGTGAAAATTTCATAGATTGACGGCCCTAGTGGAGGACACCATGGAGAACAGGGAACAAAGAACAGCAACTAAGTGGGGGCCAAGACAGGTGCTCCAGGGATGGGAAGCCAAGGTGGAAATTCTTGGGTGAGGAAAGAGACAAAGGCTCCATGTGGCTGCTGAGAATCTAGTCCAGGGAATAAGGACTGAAGTGGGGCCAACATCATTTTTTACGGTGATGAGGGACTGAAGGCTGCATACAAGGGAGATAATTGAAGCATGTAAAGCATAATTTTTGGCACATAGTCAGGCTCAATAAATGGTGATAATGATACTGGAGATGATGGAATAGAGGCAAAAACTGTGGGTTTTGCTTCTTCATTTGTTTTTTGGAATACAACCTATTTGGAGGCTAATTTTATTTGTCAGGAACATGAAACTCCAATGTCAGTGGCAGATGGAGTTACTGGAGCAGGGCGATGGTTGTGCAGATGGGACATGTAGGTAAAGGAACGTTGCACTAGTGGGGCTCTTGGGACCAAGATAGGATATGTGAGCTTGTCCTCTCATCTTTCTCCTTTCCCATGCCATTCTTTTCACCTAAAGCTTGAGATGCAAGGATGTGGGGTTTGGGGAGACACATCCTAGACAGAGGCAGAGGTGGGGTGGGGGAAGAACAAGAAGAAGAAAAACGCTTCAATAGGATTAAGAAACAACTGATGTTCTAGTGCAGCCCACTCCTCCCATGCAGAGCAAAGGTACTACACCATGCGTTCCGAAAATGCTAAAAAAGGCAAAAGAAGGCAGTGCTTCCTTAGGTAATTTAATGATATGATCATCCTTTTTCTACCCTTAGTTACATGTTAGCCCTAAGCAATCTGCACAAGCTTCCAGGAATGACTCTCAACAGGACTCTTCCAATCTTTGTTTTTGTCAAAGATTCCACCAATTTTTTTCCCACCTATTTTTAGATCCTACCTTTCTCTCCCACTCTCATCTGCTGTCATAGGAAAAGAATGCATGAAAATGTGGCCAGGTGATCATCTGATTCTGAAGATTTATTCCTAACGTCAGTTGTTTCAGAAGGGGTGTTCTCATCGGCCAATCTCCTGATGAAAGGTGTGACATGTCTTTCAGATTATCAGAAAATCTAAATTTGGATAGTGCTGTCATTTATAGTGACACTTAGTCAACTTACATTTACCAAATATAAAGATAATAATTGCTTGATGTACAGGCTGTAATTCGATCACAGCCATCAGTGACATGACTATTTGTTGTTATAGCAATATAAATGAAATTATGCCTATGGCAGCCTAATTAGAAAAGCACCATCACGACCCAGCTGGCATTTTCAATATGTTATCTAAGAGGTATGATAAGAAGACAAATCAGAGCTGACTTAATGAAGTTTCTGATCAGAGGCTGCTCTGAAGACAATGAGCTATTGAAGGAGACAAAGAGGAACTCATGACTTGCAAATTTATGCAGGCTGTTACAGAACAACAAAACACAACAGAGTTTGCAAGATTCGATCTTGTTGAGAGTGGTAGCAATAGAAATTTTCTTCCTTCTCAACAGCAGGATCCCAATTCATAAAAATTTAACTATGAAAATAAGCTTAAAGATTACTTAGTTCAGTGATATTCAAGTGGGGGTACCCCCAAGGGTCTTTTAAAAATCTCCCAGCAGACATTTGCAAAGTAATCCCTCCCAATACCATGATACACCTATGGGTTGGGGGACATGACGTTGTCTGTACCCCATTTAAGAATCATGACAATAGGACCAGCATAATGTAGGGACTAAGAAGAAGCACCTAGATATTGGATAGGCCAGAATTCATGAGGGCTGTTACTCACTAGATGTGTGACCTTGCTGAATTTCTTAAATCCTCTGAGTTGATTTTCTTATCTCTGAATTAGAGATAATAGAATATAAAGTAAAATTATGTGCTTCAGAAAAACAAATGAGGAAAAACACTTAGCTCATCATCTGGCACATAGTAGGTACTCAATTAATGTTCCATATAACTCTACCACTACTACTACTATTACTACTACTACTGAACAGGCTGGGCAGCTGCTGTCCAGTATGTTGAGGCAGAAAAAAGACTGAGGTCAGAAAACTGGTCCAACCTACTGAGGAGGAACCTGAGATCCAGAGGCAGAAGTGACTTGCCTAAAGTTACCCAGCTTATAGGAGTGTGAACCAGATTCCAGGGCTACAGATGGTGGGTGTTGTGATTTTTAGAACATACTGAATCCTTGGATTCTGACAACTTAAGTAATAATCAGTGAAAATAACCAGGGAAATGCAGTGGCCTAGCAGTCAAAGACAAATTTAGCTGTGCTTCTCTCCCTCTGTGCAGTCTCCCTGATGTTTCATAAAGTATCAAAGTGCATTGATTGAGGATAAGAAATCTGCTATTACTGCAATTCAACCAAACCCCTTTCCCCAGATCATACAGTGCATGTTCCATTACCTTTGAGACTTTGACTTTTCTCACCCCATAATTTGTCAGGCTGGTCTTCTATTATTGATCATTTGATCAGGGATGAGGTGTGAATATTATATGGCAATGTATGTATGTACACACTTATGTAGATTTAGCTATATGCATACATATATGTATATGTGGTATCAAATGTGTGTGTATTATACACACACATCCCAGAGATTTATAATCTTTGATCAATTTTTTTAACCTATTGTCAGTGCTATTGTTCTAGTTACTATAGCTACAGATGAAAAAAAACAATAGTGATAATAAGCACCCACACACACATACTTGTAATAGAAGACTCAGATGGTCCCTGTAAATGTTAATGTACTTTTAGAAAGTTGAAGAGCTGTGAATTATATAGTTTATAAGAGTCTTAAAGGACAAGGATAACTTACTGTGAAGCCTGTCATTCAAGGGAAGAGCAGAGTTTGACAGGAAACATGTATTAATACACTTAATGTAAAACCTAAAACCTAGAGAAGCACTCTAAGCCTGTCTTCTCTTCCTTCTTGCCATCTTCTTTAAAAGAAACAGGATTATTTCTCTTTTCCTATCTCTTTTCCTGGGTTTTTGATAAAGTGTTACTATTTCCACCAGTGGACTTCTCCCTCTTTCTCTCTCTGTCTCTGTTTCTCCCTTCTTCCTCCTTCCACCTCAGTTTTTCTCAGGATGGTGCAGCAGCCCATGGGTTCACACATATAGTCACTTGCCAGCCAAGGTCACTTTCCCCCACTCAGTTTCAGTGTTTACCTTTCCTATTCTTCCTGATTCTACTTCCTGTTATCCCTGCTTCCTGCTCCAACTTCCTCTCGTGGTTTCTTACAGCTACATCCATTTCCCAAATCCCCCTCCCTAGGTCCTGATTTCTGTGTCCAACTCAGGCCGGCAATCATGCTTCGCCTTCTGACTGTCCTCTTGGTATGGCTGCTTCAATGTACCCATCTGATCCTAGACTGTATCTCCATTCTGACTCATTCTTACTTTTTTTCCGTAGAACCGATGGTAATACAGAATAAAATTTTATTGTAGAACTTATTTTGTGTAATAAAGACAATGGAATGTTCCTTGGTCTGAATTTCAAAAGCAAGTGAATAGAACAAGTTATAATTTAGCTAGGGAAGTAACTTTAGCTATAGCTGCTTTTACTTATTATTTTTCCTGTAGCTTCTCAATTGCAAAAAAAAAAAAAAAAATCTCCATCCTGAGAAAATACATGCAAAAGGATTTTAATCCAATTTTCTTATCTTTATTTGCTCTTATATTCTGGTCCCTTTGTAGTTTCAAGCAAATTAATTTGTTTTAATTTGTAATAAGAGATAGGGGATATTTTTGGTTGTTTTTCAGTTCACTGAAAATGGGTTTTAGAATAAGCATGTTTTGAAGGAACACTGAGTCTGTCACCTGCAACAATGAAATGTAAGAAAGTCAAGAATAGCATAAACAAATCATTAGACAAAAATTTCAGATTTTTGGAAATTACTGGATCTGAGATGAGACTGCTTCCCTAGCTCCCCTTATCTCTTGGTTTAAAACAAAAACTTCCTAGGTTTTGAACTTCCACAATTACGAAATCAATTTTACGTATTTATAACTTTGAGAATACTACATGACTACACAGTCTAAAGAAGACTGAAAAAATTGTAAAGATTCAATTCACTCTGACTCATCTAAATGAGGCGAAGAACTAGGTAGTCTCAAATTCATTTCTCTTTCACTTTATTAAAACAAACTCATCTTACAGACAAATGGTATTTTTAATCAGGAGTGAAATTTCCCCAGCCAAGCATTCTGGTCCCTTATTAACTGCAAGTGCAGAATATTTTGAAGGACAGGAAAGACATGCAGGGACATGATGAGCAGGGCTGCTCCAGATCCCCCTGCCTCAGCTTGTTCTGAAGTCCCTGCAGTGGGTGGGGGTCCCAGTTGGCAAAGCCCTGAAACACATCTCCTTCCCAAACTCCTCAATTCTATGTGTTTCTTTTAAACAGGCTTATTTCCAGGACATATATTGGGAAATAACATGAAGAGGATACGTCCTCCTTCCCGTCTGAAAATTAACCATTTTAATCTGCCAAATCAGCCCCAACTCCATGAAATAAATCCCAAATTAAGCAAGGAAGCAATAGTTTCCCACTACTATCATCTTGGATTTATCTCCCCATGTTCTTTGTTAAAAATTAATATTATTTTGGCCAGGCACAGTGGCTCACGGCTGTAACCCCAGCACTTTGGGAGGCCGAGGCAGGTGGATGACTTGAATTCAGGAATTCGAGACCAGCTTGGCCAACACGGTGAAACCCCATCTCTATTAAAAATACAAAAAATTAGCCAGGCATGGTGGCACACACCTGTAATCCCAGCTACTCAGGAGGCTGAGGCAGGAGAATTGCTTGATCCTGGGAGGTGGAGGTTGCAGTGAGCCCAGATTGCTCCATTGCATTCCAGCCTGGGCAACAGAGTGAGGCTCCATCTCAAAATAAATAAATAAATAAATAAATAAATAAATAAAATTATTTTAATGGACAAATCATAATTATATACACATGGGGTACAATATGGTGTTTTGATATATGTAGATGTGTCAGGGTTCTCCAGAGGGACAGAACCAATAGAACATATGCATATATAAAAGGGAGTTAATTAGAATTTGCTCACACGGTTACAAAGTGAAGTCCCTTGACAGGCCGTGTGCAAGCTGGGGAAAGAGAGAAAAACTGGTAGTGGCTCAGTCCAAGTCTAAAAGCCTCAAAACTGGGGAAGCCGAGAGTGCAGGCTGCAGTCTGCAGCCCAAGGCCTGTGAGCCCCAAGGAAACCACTGGTGCAAGTCCCAGAGTCCAAAGGCTGAAGAACCTGGAGTCTGAGGTCCAAGGGTGGGAGGAGCAGAAGCAAGCATCCAGCACAGGAAGAAGAAAGAGAGCCAGAAGACTCAGCAAACAAACTTATCCCACCTTCTCCTGCCTACTTTGTGGGTGCCCACCCACACTGAATATTGGTCTTCATCTCCTTGTTCACCAACTCAAATGTCAGTCTCCTCTGGCAACACCCTCACAGACACACTCAGAAACAATACTTTACCAGACATCCAGGCATCCCTCAATTCAATCAAGTCGACACCTAACATTAGCCATCACAGTATACAACGTAGAATATTAAATTAAGCTAATTGACATATCCACCACCTCGCCTGCTTATCATTTTTTTGTGGTGAGACATTTGAAATTTACTCTAAATTATTTTGAATCACATGTTCTCATGGTAGTTTTGTTTTTTATTTTTTGAAGAACTTACATGCTATTTTCCATAATGCCTGCCCTAATTTATCTTCCCACCCATAAGCTTCTCTTTTCTCCCCATCCTTGCCAACAATTATCTTTTGTCTTTTTGACGATAGCCATTTTAACAGATATAAGGTGATATCTCATTTAATTTTGCATTTCCCAGGTGGTTAGCAATGTTGAACAGTTTTTCATACACCTGTTTGCTATCTGCATGTCTTCTTTTGTGAAATGCCTATTCAGGTCCTTTGCCAATTTTTTTTTTATTCAGGTTATCTGTTTTCTTGCTATTGAGTTGAGTTCCTCACATATTTTGGAAATTACCCTTTGTCAGATGTTCGGTTTGCAAGTATTTTCTCTCTTCCATAGGAATGGGAGACATCTTCACCCATTGATTGTTTCCATTCTCACCATTTTCTTAGATGATTCATTTATTCATTAATTAATGTAACAATAATTGAGAATCTACTATATACCAGGCACCACGCTAAGTTCTTGGTAATAGGTTGGTAAGTAACATAGATATGATTAACTATCCCGAGCTTCCTAGAGAATGGGGTAGAAGCCCGCAGAGCTTTTGTCTCCCTGCGAATTCTTCTTTTTGCTTTTGCAGATGCCACCTGATGTCTTCAACCTCTTTAGAGCTATTTTTATGGGGTGACTCTTGCCTCCTCTGCCTGGGCCCTGGTCATGGCTTGCCATCACCACTACCAAGTGGTTCAATGCTTTTCTCTCCTTGAGAACTACTGTCTCCCCCTGGGTATCCTGTGGCTCCCTATTGTTAAATGACACTGTTGCTTGGGCTACTCAAAGCTATTTCCAACCCTCCTCTATCATGATGCCTCCAACCACAGGGGCTATAGAGTCAGATATATACTCTCTTAGCTTCCTTTTACCCCCCAGCCCAGATGTAAGCAGAGATTCACTGGAGGGAATTCAGGGGAAGCTTGCCTCTTTGATAAAAAGGGACACCTGCAACTGGTAAGCACTTCCAAGTTTCTTCTTCCTGCCTCAAAAGCAAAAGTAAGAGCTACAATTTCAGCACTTACATTGTGAGCATGAGGAGACAAGAGAAGCACAAAGATGCTCACCTTGACATCATTGAGCCACTGAAACAACATCAGCAACCTGTACTTCAGGACTTACTACGATGTGAGAAAAAAACCTCTGTTATTTAACTCCTATCATAAAACCCAATGTAGTTGGGTTTTTTGTTTCTTGCAGCCAAAAGCAAGTCTTACCAACATATTGCCATTGCCATGATCAGAGCCAAAACTGCCTCTGCATCTTAGGGCTTTAGTGAATCATTCTATTTTTGTGCTGCCCAGAACATGGGTGAGAAACTGACCTCACAGTCTTATTTAGTCCTGTTGAAGTCTACAAGCACTTCAGGATTCTTATGGTTATTTGGTGCCTATCAACTTTTATTTTGGTTGTTTGCTTTGAGTCCTAAGCCAAATTGCCTTGTGAAACTGGGTGTGAAAAGTGAGTGCAGCAGTGTGAGAGCAGCAGTGTGTGTAAATACTACACCAGTACTACATACATGGCCACTTTGGCTCTCCCAATCCCCAGGCCAATGCCGTAACATATATGCCAACCCACTTCAAATAGGATTATGGCAACTTATCTACTGAATACTTGGTTAGTATTTGTGGAAGGCATCCACAAATACCCGCCTACATTTTAACTCCCAAGAATATGGACATTAGTTTCAAGCTCTGGAAGCACGTGTGCAAACAATCTCAGATCACTAAGATCATTCATTCTAGAGGAGAATCACATTTATATGAATATATATTCATATATATAATATATTCATTATATATATGAATATATATCATATATATAATATATTCATTATATATGAATATATATAAAATATATTCATAATATGTATAAATATATTCATAAATACATATATATAAATATATTTTTTGAGATGGAGTCTCTATCCCCTAAGCTGGAGTGCAGTGGTGCAATCTCAGCTCACTGCCACCTCCACCTCCTGGGTTCAAGTGATTCTCCTGCCTCAGCCTCCTGAGTAGCTGGGATTACAGGCATGTACCACCACACCCAGCTAAATTTTGTATTTTTAGTAGAGACAGGGTTTCACCATGTTGACCAGGCTGGTCTCAAACTCCTGAGCTCGAGTGATCGACCCACCTCGGTCTCCCAAAGTGCTGGAATTACAGGCATGAGCCACCACCAGGCCTTAAATGAATATTCTAAACTTCACAGTTATTAACTCTTTATTTCCTTCTGTTACCAAATAAAAGTGTTTTCTATCATAGGAGAATCTCTTGATATGTGCTATTAATCCCATCTCCTCCCACTTTCTCAGAAACTTTCTCCTCTAGACAATACCCATTTTCCCCTACATAACTTCAACCTCTCTTTCTCTACTAGACACTTTTCATTATCATCTATACATACTATTGTCTCTCCTGTCTTAAAACATGTATACACAAATTTTACCGAACTACAGATCTCCAACTAAAATTTTATCTGCTCTCCCAGTTACAAAATACATAGCTATAGCTTCAATTTCTACTTCCTTCTACTACTGACTTCTCAGCCCACTCCAAACTGGCTTCTGTTCTTTCCTCTCAGATTCTAGCATTAAGTCGCCAATGATGTGCATGTTGCTAAGTCAATGAAAATATTCATGTCTTTCCTATTTAACCTCTCAGCATCATTTGTAACAGATTTCCACTCCTTCCTTCTAGAATATTCTCTTTCCTTGCTTTCTATCTTTCCACGTCTGTTTACTTCTGTTGTTTTCCCTCTGATTTATTGTTAGTCCTCTTCAGAGACTTCTCCTCGACCCCAACTTTTCACGTAGACCTTTTATCATGACTCAGCCTCGGACCTTCTTCTCTCTCATATTTTCAAACATCACCTCTCATATCTTATGAGATAAGGTGATCTTATCTACTCTCATATCTTCAAATGTCATCTAAAGTCAGTGGTTTTCAAAATTATATCTCCAGCCTAGACTACTCTTCTGAGTGAGAGACTTATAGGTCCAAATGTTTATAGTATTTCCATTTTGGATACTTGGATGTGTTAGAAGAATTTCAAATACAGCATGCCCCAAAATAAATGTATTATATTTAACCATCTTGCCCTAAAACTGCTTCTCCTCTAGAGCTCCCTAACATAATAAGTGGTACCCACATCCTCCCAGATGCTCCAGCCAGAAGCCTGTGATCCAACCATAACCGATATCTCCCTTCATTATCTACCCCCAAAAAATCAGCCACCAAACCTAGTTTACCCCACCTTCTAAATCTATCTGTTTTCCAGTTAACGTCACCATCTTGTCTCAACCAGACTACTCCAGTTACTTTCTGGCTAGTTATCTCTAACCCACTTTTCCTTGCCTCAATCCCATTTTTCACATGGCAGTGAGAGTAATTGTTTAAAATGTAAATCTAATCAAATCACGCCTCTGCTAAAACCATGTAGTGGCTCCTCAGTACTGAGTATTAAATCCAAAATCCTTTGTATTTCCTGAGAAAAACAAGCTCTTTCTTGCCTCCAGCCATTACATGTGCCTCTGCCAGGAATGCTGTTTGCTCCACACTGTGCACAGCTAACTCTTACTCATCTTTCAGGTATGAGTTTAATTACTACTTTCTTTAAAAAAAAATTTCTCCTGATTAGATTAAAAATATGTTAGGTTCCCTATTTATTTTCATGCCACCTTGTGATTTTTCAATTATAGAACTTGTCACCTTAGTAATTAAATACTACTTGTGTGATTCTCCAGTAGGAAGACTCTAACTAAATAATGTAAGCTCCATGAGGGTAGAGACTGGGAATAATTTTCTCACTAAGGTATTCTCAATGGTTATCAGAGAGGAACAGTGAAGCTCAATAAGATTTGTTGGATGTGTAAACTGAATTTTACACACTTCCATCTTTAAGATTTATATTGACTTTCTGTTCTGTTCACAAACATACTTGATTTAACTATGACTACTTAAGTTTTAATTGTGATCATTATTCGATTATGACATATTTATACTTTAGAAGTATTTGATTATGAAAAGGAATAAATTTCTAAAATCTAAAAGAAGTTCTGGATTTTTCTAAGAAGTCCATTTTAGGAACAGAATTTCATTTTTCTTGAAGACTACTAGCCAGTCAATTGTCATGTATTTAAAAAAAGAAAAAAAAAGATAAAATATAAAAAGTCAAAAATCAACTAATTCAGTACAATTGGTGCCTATCAAGGTTTAAAATATAGAACAACATCTCTCACTTTCTTGAGGCATTTTCTAAATTGAACGAAATGTTACTACTAAATCTAGAGCTGTGAGATTAAGTAAGAAAAGAAGTTGAAGAGTGACACTCCAAAAATTTTCTCTAGTAATGTTTTAATACAAGGACCTAAAGGCCACTCTGTGTCCCTGAGGTCCATTATGAATATATGTGGGAATAGAATGATTAACATATAATCAGAGACTATGGGAGAAAAACCCTCCAAAGAGAAAAAAGACTAATGAAGACTTGAATTCTGAGAAAGCCCAAATTCTCAAGGGTTCTGATCTATTGGCATAAGAATATTATGGCAGACAAAAGTAAGAGGAAGTAGTAATTAGAGCAGATTTCTTAACTGCAGCACTCCTGACATTTTGTGCTGGATAATTTTTTGTTACAGGAGGCAATCCTGTGCAATGTAGGATATTTAACAGCATCCCAAGTCTCTGCCCAGTAGGTGCCAACAGTAAACCCACCCGCCAATCCCCAAATAGTAACACTCAAAAGTGCCTCCCATACATTGCCAAATGTACCAGGGTGGGGGTGGGAGGGCAGGTGGGCAAAATTGCCCCTGGTCGAGAGCCATTGAATTGGAAAAAGTCAAATGAATTTGTCAATTCAAAAGTGCAAAAGGACACAGGTTTTCAACCATTTACTGATTTCTTGACTCATATATTTATTCATTCATTCATTTGACCAGACACAGTACTAGGCACGATGTTTCAAATACGAGTACAGCACAGTTTGTGTTAGGAGCTGAAAGTCTATAAAGAGACAAAAAGCCCACTGTCTTAGAATGTATTGTGGATTTGCAGTTATGTGAGGTGTAGGTTTTAATGAGGAATCAAAATTAACCAATAAAGGTCCTAACCTTGCCCGAAATTCATAGTACACCTGGTTATGGTAGATATAGTAAATTGTTATTCAGCATCCAATTCATCTTCCTAGAGTGCCTTCCTGACCTGCACCAGTTGGACTGGTAAAACTACCTTGCCCAGAATCCCTTGCTGCCAGGTTTCTGTTGCATAAGGTTGAATCTACAAGTGAGGAAGAGTCTATCTTCCTGCTGCTTGCTGCTCAGAGGCACAGTCCTGGAAACTCTGGGTTTTCTCCAATTGTGTCCCAATGTCTGGTCTTCAGCTCTGTGGGCATCCAGAGGTAGGTACAGTGGGGATAGTAGTGGTTTCCTGATCCCTGAATGACAGCTATGACACTGTGCTTTTGAACTCAAAACCAAACAGGTCAGTAGTGAACTCTTAAGTCTGCCTCCCTGCTTTGACAGAGGCAGCAGCACTGCTATCTCTGGAACTTATCCTGACACATTCAGCCTTAAACTTCTAGCAGTCTGATGAATATATATAGGCCTGATTCTTTGTATTATAATCCGTCCTACTTAAAATAGATAGAATGAGTTCTGTTTTTTTCTTTTTTTTTTTTCCAAACTGAGCCTTGCAACTGTATACAACAAACTGTAATAGCTCAGCAAATCAACCACACACAGTGCGATCACACACCCCCAGTATGGAAATGGATCACAGTTTCTTCAGTTAAGCACCAGATGAAGAATTTGGCTTTCATTTAGGGGCCATGCTGCATGAAAAATATGTTTGCTTTTGTTTGTGTGTTGTTAAATTGATGCAAGTGAAAATATAAGATTGCACTATAAGTGCAGTGCCAGAGATAAGCACAGGATGCAATATGGAGGTGGTGCACAGTCAAGGAGGATTTTTTAAAGAAGTGATGTCTGAGCTGAGTCTTGAAGTGTGAGTAGGAGTGAGCCAGGAAAATTGCATTTGAGGATGAGAAAAAGGAAAAAGCAGTCTAAGCAGAAGATGTGTATTAGGTACAAAAAGTTGAGAAGGCATAGTATATTTACAAAGGTAAAAATTGTTCAGTGTAGCTGGATTATATGATGAGAGGTAGGGAGTGTGGAGAGGTCATTTGGAAAGCAGAAACAAGATGTAACTTCCACATTTTCTGGAGTCTAAGAGGTCATTGGTTATAAGACACACCACCCATTTTATAAGAGCTTTCAAGGGAAAAATAGAAGCACTACCCTAAATGCCACATTTATTTTAAAACTAATTAAAAATATCATTCATTTATCCATCTAAACTCTTTCTTTTCAATACCTAAATCAGAATTTGCATCCAAACCTTCTTGATAAATAGAAAGAGTATAGAGATCCTTCTAAATCACTTTCAGTCATTTGGCAGTTATATTTAGCTTCTCACCAGTGCCTGTGGTCTTGACTTCTTTTAAGATTGACAGTACATTTCAAACCTTATCAAATTATATTAGAATTTCTTCCTCTGCATTTCCTATTTGGTTAAACTCAGAGGTTTTTTGTTTGTTTGTTTTTTTGCATGATTACCTATTACTATAGGTCAAAGAGCTTCTCTTAAAAGTTAGCTGGATGGCCAGGCATGGTGGCTCACACCTGTAATCCCAGCACTTTGGGAGGCCGAGGCAGGCAGATCACATGAGGTCAGGAGTTCCAGACCAGCCTGGCCAACATGGTGAAACCCCGTCTCTACTAAAAATACAAAAATTAGTGGGTGTGGTAGCGCATGCCTGTAATCCCAGCTACTCAGGATGCTGAGACATGATAATTGCTTGAGCCTGGGAGGAGAAATTGCAATGAGCCAAGATCATGCCACTGCACTCCAGCCTGGGCAAGAGTGAGACTCTGTCTCAAACAAACAAACAAACAAACAAACAAAACACAAGTTAGCTGGCAACTTTAACATTTTGATATTCCGTAACTGAATAAAGGGCCTATATGAATGCAAATTAACCACACTAACTTCTTCCTGCTTTGAAAAGTCTGTGATCTGACGTAAAAGACTTGGCAAGTTCAACACCCTTAAATGCCATTACCTGGTATATGACAGGCAATCATCTATGTATAGATAGAATTTATTTCCATTTCAGTGCTACATCATAAAGATATCTTTTTGCAAAAATTCTAAGCAAAAAATTGGGGATCCAAATTAAATTTAAATTCAACAACTTGTTATCAATGCACAAAGCTCAACTAGAAGTGATAATAGAATGAAGAGATACTCTGATACACAGCTTAGTTCACATATACTCAACAAATAACAACTACCACAACTCCACAACACTCTCCTCTCCTTGGAAACTCTGACTGTAAGAGTTTTCCTGTCTTCAGAAATGGTAAAACGCAAAGAGGGGGGAAAAAAACCACCTCAGGCAAATTGGGGTCTGGAACAAAGTCCAACGTGGGCCCCTTGCATACAACAAAAAAAAAACTTCCCCTCTTTCCCTTCAGACCAGGAGATACCACAAGACTGAGCAGGAAGATTATTTTGGATGAGAGATGGGAGTGGAAAACAAGAAAAAGAAAGCAGAAGTCTTTTGTTTTGATATAAGGGGTGAGTTTATTGAAGCAAACAAGCAAACTTACTACCATACCCAAGGGATACTCAGATATGCAAATAATATGTGGTTTCTTTAATCCCTAAAACATGCCTAATCTTTCTCTGGAACTACCATCCTGCTAAGTAATGGCAGCAATTTAAACTTGTAATTTTATAATATTTTGATTTTCTGGTTAAATTATCTTCACTCATTTTAAACATTCAATCTTCCAACATTTTGTTTCCCTATCCAACTGGCTTAAAAATCTCCTTCAGATGACTCAGTTTTATGTCTTTCAGATTTCTGTTGTACCCCTTTCTTGTCCCTAAAATGACATTTTGAATATAGAGTATGGGGAGGTATGTGGCTCATGTAATCTCCAGACAGCAGGGGCTGAAATTTCCTCTAATCCTTATTGGGTCCTCTGCTTCTCCTTAGGAGGAGATATTCAGCCCCATCTCTGCCCTCTCTAGTGTAATATTTCACACACCCACGTGTAGGCACACACAGGGCTGGCTCTAAACCTTATAGGGGCACAGCTTAAGTTGTCAACCCTGCAGCCCTTGTCTCAAGCTACTTTACCCCCTCCTCCACAGCAACACCCCCACTACACACTGGCAAGCCCTCCAGCCAGCCTCTCGGGGAATTCTAGGTTCCCCATCAAGGATATGAGAAAATACCTACGTCCTAGCCATAACTGAGGAATAGACAGTGGCTTGGGAAATTTCAGTTGTGGAATTTCTTCAGCCAACCTTGCAGAGCTTTTGAATATGTTTTGATGCAGTCACTCCCAATTTGGTGTGGAGTGGCCTGTGAGGCATCTTCTTCCTGAGTTCCACATTCTAGAGAAAGGCAAAAAGCCCCAAGTAGAGGGTGCTTCCTCCATTTCTCTGACACCCTACATCTCTATTGTCCAAGCCAAAGCATGGAAAGGGATGATTAGTCTCACTCTTCAAGACACAAGAGGAGTAAGTTGGGAGTGGAGAAATATGATGAGTTCAACTGTAGGTATTCTTCTGAGTGTGAAATGTCTGTGGTACATCAAAGAGGAGATGTTCATTGGGCACTTTGATATGTGGGTCTGGAGTTTAGACAGGGATTGAGGCTAGTAAAACAGATTTGAGAATCTTTGCAATATTAATGATAGTCAAAGTCATGAGAGTGGATGAGCTCACTCCCCCCAAAAAGTGTCTAAATTAAAAAGAGAAGAGGAATGAAAAGGAGACCTGGTTACATCAACATTTAAAGAATGCACAGAGAAAAAGGAGCAAAGATTGAAAATAAATGTCCATGGAAGTGAAGAGATAGAGAAAAAAAGGAGAATCAATGTCATAGAATTATAAAGTAAGGCATCTACTTTTTATTTATTATTTATTTTATTACTTGATTTTTTTTTAATTTTAAAAAGCTAACATAAGTATATGCTTTATATTATTCCCCCTTGTGGGGTGTTGGGGACCAAGGACCTGGAGCCAGTTTCATTCAGACTTTTCATCTGCTAACCTGATCTAAGTTTTCAAGATCCACTCTTCTGTGGGTGGTGAAAACTGGGGGAAGGAGGGACTTCTTCACACAGTGAGTTGGACAGAAGCTGGGTTTCAGCAAAGGCTTGCACAGGGATGCGCAATAACACTCCTGCTGGACAGTCACCAGGCAAAGTCGTAGCATGGCCAAGGGAAGTCCTCACTGGGCTCCAATGGGAAAGGCAACTAGCAGAGTCCCTGGGTGCGAGGACACTGACCTCACTCTCCAGAAGCCCTTGGACGCTTGACAATGCCTCTCACAGTGGTCCTCCTCTGAGACAGTCCTCATTGCTGGCTGGATTGGCCCTTTCTGGTCCAGCCATTTTCTTCTCATCCCTGTAACTTCTCTGCCCATTTCTTCAGTCTCTCTGCCTCTCCAATATAGATTTAGGAAGATGTTTTTCCTTTGAGCAGTCACGGGAAGAAAGCACTGCTCTCACCTGTGATGTTTCCCCAAGGAACCGTAGGGTTTTTTAGACCAAAACCAGGAAGATATTTTTGGTTTCTCTTTCCACCTTGTCATGTCCTTCCCCTGAGGCAATGAGCCCAAAGAACCTAGTTGCTTGAATTAGGAAGTGGGAGGGGATGTCAAAGGAGATGAAAGGGAAGAAAAATGTTCTATCAGTAGAAAAACATAATTTACTATATAAAATATTACACTGACACGAAAAAAAGCTGGATAGTGTTAAAAAGATGACTTGGATATAGTGCAATAAGAATACTATTTGCCTAATGGGATAAAGTGACAAAGGCCAATAGACAGTGGTGTAGACTAGGACCTTACTTTCCTTCTGAAGGAGAAGTTAAGAGAAATAGATAGGGGTAGTAAGTATTAAATTCTTACTGAGGTAGATTTTTCCAGGGCCTAAGTCACCCCTCTACACCCAAAATAAATTTGTTATTTTGGACTGGACATTGACTCTTTCTGAGCTTCATGGTACCATTTAGAATTCAGATTTGTATTATGATAATCAAGAGTCAGGTCATAGATGGAAATGTTTTATCAGCCAGTATTGACCAGTTTCATATCGTTGGTTCAAACAAATGTGGCTGTTGATTAGTCCATTGAACCTTTTTCCCATCCTCAGGTTCAGGTGGAATAACTGACCAGGCCATAGGCCCACCATTGAAAAGGGTAAAAGTGGCACCTAACAATGATATGTCCAACTCTGACCTCATCCTTCACCACACCCCAAGGTTCTAGACTCCTTATAAAGAGAGATTAGGGAATGATTCAAGTTCTTCTTACATATCACCATCTATGTATTTTTGAAACCTTGCTTTCCTACTTTAATCATAGGTTTTTGGTCAGTGATACTTTTTTACATAGCATTGCTTTGTATTTCAAAACAAATATTAGAAATAATCATCTATATCCCAGAGAAAATATTCTAAAATACAGAAATGGGAGGCAAATATAATCTTCTGAGTATAGTCCTCTTAATTAGAAGCAAATGTGGTGTAACGGTAGGAACATTGACTCTGGAGCCAGGTCTCATGGACTAACATCACAACGTCACTAGCTAGATAACTTTGGGCCTAAGATATATCCTCTCTGTGCCTCAATTTTCTCATCTGAAAATTTCAAAAATAATCTTGGCATTATGCACTAAAGCTTTTAGGACACTGCCTGCCACATACTAAACACTCAATAAATGTTAAATATTGACTACTATTTTACACTTTTCAAAAGTTTCAGTTTGCTACTTAACTTTTTGCCTTATCATTTTCCTTAAGGCCCATCTTTAATGCCAAAGATAATAATTAAGTCATTGATAATGATGATAATGCAAGTGATGACAATGAGTTCACCATAAGTCTAAAGAGAGGTTTTTGGTCTAGAGTATCTTGGAAACCTTGGAAAGATATTATTACAGAATCTGTCCTCTACTCTGACAGAGACAAAACTTCAACTCTCAATAGCCAATTTGATTCACATTGTAATTTGCTCAAACAATCTTACTACATAATATAGTTTACTCTCAAAATGTTCATTTCAGTGGCTGTAGGAATATATAATTTGTCATAAGACCTATTATTTTCATGTATTTTCATAACAAGATAGGGAATCAATTCATCCAACTAATTCAGTAAAAAATTCATTACAGTTAAAAAATGGGAATTAGTATTAGTGTGGCATCATCAAACCTTTTTTTTAAAAAAATAGGTTTTCTGACAATGTCAGAGGGGAGTAAAAATGGACGAGATCATTGAGTCCAAGGTTAGAGATTATGGTCAGGGTGCTACTTTAATGAAATTTCTTATTATAAATGAAAACAGAATATAGGATTTTTTAACACAGAGGAATAACCACTCTGACACTTTAGCCCAAAAGGCTAAAGAGAAATATCTTTAATATTAACCTAATATTGTGACCTCATTATACCTTAGTCAGTGTAATCCTTAGCCATTAGCTGAGATATAGATTTTTGTACATGAAGGTGTTGTTCTCTCTGTGAAAAAAAAAATGACTGTAGAAACATTTCAAACATTTCAAATAATTTATTATAAAAGCTTTCTGGTGAAACTGTGGGGTAGTGGTAAGAATGTGGAGGTAGGGAGAATGCTATTTTTAAGACTCTAAAATGACTTTCTGATGCTGAGTATAAAGTAGCCTGATTTGAACTTCGAATTTCCAGAAGGATTTCTTGTTGAAACAGGACGAACTTCTCTCTTAAGGAATTCTATATTTAAATTAAAAGATAAAGGTCATTGCTGGGTGAAGTAAAGTATGGAGGAAAACATCAAATAGCTATATTTGTGCAGTATAAGGAAATATGCAATATATGTATATTGATGCTTGTATATATTATGTATGTATATGTATGTGTGAAGTATGTATGAATATGTATAATTATGTCTGCAGTATGCATGAATGTGCATATGTATATGTATGGCTGTGTATATTATGTATGCATATGTATGTGTGGCAGTATGTACGTCCTGTGGGGAGCCATCCAGATCCACCCTTTATGACCCAGGCATACATTTTGCCAGCTTCAAAGGAGACTGGTTGCAGACTAGTCACAGCTCAGGTCTCTCTGCCAATTGCCACCAGGGAAAGGGAGATGACTTGGTCAAGTTTTTACACCTTGCTGGGAGAAGCCCCTATCCAATGACTAATCAATGCGTAGGTATAAAAACCAGACCCCTTTGCCTCAGTTTGGAACAACTCTAAAGGACTATCCCGGCTCCATAGCCCCTGTGATATGAGCTGTCTTTGTTGCATGAACATTGCTTTCCTCACTACCTCATAGGGGTTGTTCAGGAAAGCACGCCACCATAAACTTCCCAAATATAAATCTCCATCTCAGAGTCTGTTTTCCAGGGAACCCAAACTAAGACACTAGTATTATTTAGTATTACTTATAACAAAATGTTCGTTAACTAATTCATAAATGTTGAAGAGAGATAAATGTGGGATGGAGCCCTGAATTTAGCGAAAGTATTCATTGAGACATACAGGTAAAGAACTAAGATGGTGCTTTATGATTTTGTTAGCCTGATAGCTTTTGTGTCTTCTCTCAGGGCGGATTCCCAGACAACTATCTAAATCATTTTTTTAAAGGCTTTCAATCCAGTTATGTTCATCACACCTTCTAACCACCTAGACTACTACCACCATTGCCTTTCAAAGACAGTAGTTTTGGGGTTGGATGACCCTTTGAGAGTAGAAGAATTTAAATGAAGACCAGGCAGATAACAATGCAAGGAAGGATATTTAAGATGATAAAACAGCATGCCTTTCCAATATACTGATGAATAATGAGTGGTACTTTAGATGAGCTATAGGTGTCAGAGAAATCCAGCAAGCTGTCATCAGGACATGTCAACCATTGAATCTAAGTTGAGAGCAGGCGTCACTTAGAGATCACAGCGGGTAAGCAATTGACATCAAAGACATCCAGAAGCAACACAGTTGTGGAACTGAGGTTCAGAGCTAGGTTCCAACATGGTGCACACGGGAAAGTTCTGGGCTGAAGTTTGGTAGGAATATAAGTGTGTAAAAAAGAGCTACCATTTTACTCTCCCCTAAGTTCCTCAATATTTTGGTTTCCCACTATTTCCTCCATGTATTTCCATCTTAGCAATAATCACCTTTTAAAAAATGTTGACAATTTATAAGTTTTTGAGAATATTCTTATGAGGAGAAACCAGCTTCCACTGCTGCAGATCCAGCTTCTCAGAGACTAGAACATGGGCATAGGCCAGCAGCTTGGTCTCAAACAAGGCAGAGTCTGGTTGCCAAAACTCAGACACAAAGACAGCAAGATTGAATAGATCCTTAATCAAGTTCTAAGAAGCGGATTGATTGGTTGATTTCAGAGCCTAGGGTGGTGCTGAACCTACAGTTAAGGATCAGGAAATCTCAGTTATGAAGAAAGGAAGCACACGATGATAGTGAGCCAGGAATAGCACTGCAGTAGGACGGGGGCAAGACCAGGGATAGTAAGTAACTGTCAAGTAGTAGGGGGAGCCATGGTCTGAATGTTTGCGTTTCTGCACAGATTCACGTGTTGAAAACTAAGCACAAATGTGATGCTATTAGGAGCCTTTGGCAGTGATTAGGAATGGGATTACTGCCCTTATAAAACAGGCCCAGAGAACTGTCTTTCCTGCTTCCACCATGTGAAAACACAGTGAAAAGACACTGTCTATGAGCCAGAGTGGGCCCTCACCACACAATGGATATGCTGGTGCCTTGATCTTGAACTTCCCAACCTCCTGAACTGTGAGCAATAAGCTTCCTTATTTATAAACCATCCAGTCTATGGCAGTTCATTGTATCAGCCCAAACAGACTAAGAAAAGGGGAGAGTGGTATTTCATAAAAGAGAAAATCATTATTGCAAAACAAAAAAAGAAAGAAAGAAACTACAGGTACAGAGGGAAATGAGAATGCATACATTCCACGTAATGCTTGTGAAAAATAACTTTACCCACAAGCATGCAAAGTAGGCCTATTCCTTTACATGTAAACCTCTGAAGGCTTTCATTAAAGATTTAGAATATGTTCTGTACATTTATTCATCAACCTGTGCAGATTTAGCCCCATTAGCTTTTTTCCCTGTGGTTCTGATAAACCCAAAAATCATATCAAACCTAATCTACATTGGTCTAAATGTATCTTAAGAGATCAACTCAGATAATGATGATGTGTTTTATACCTGATAAAACTTGATTGTACATTATCTCACTTGAAGAATGTTATGTACTATTATCATTATTTTATAGATGTGAAAATGGAAGCTATAAGTGATATTATAAGAGGCATCTTGCCAGGAAGTATCAAAGCCAGGACAGAAATAGGTCTCTAGACCTCTAGATTAATTCTCATCACACCATTCTGTAGAAGCTCTTAAACCTAGAACACCAAGACAGAGTCAGATATCCTGTTCATAATGTTCATAAATGTTCATTAAAGGAACATTTTATGACTACCATTATTTACCTGTGACATGACGTTTTCTTCCACTTAGTGGTTTGCTAGACCTAAGCATATGAGGTTACCTTTGGGGGCTCAGGTTCCAACTATAAAAAAGGAGATTTGAATAGACATTTTTATAAGATTCTTTCAGGGTATAAGATCTAACAGGTTTCTTCTCCAGTAAATGATGCACAAACCTTCACCATCTGGTAGCCTGTAGCAGTGTAGATTGTGTGTGTGTGTGTGTGTGTGTGCACCCGCGCGTGTGTGTGTATCTGTTGGCACAAAAGATTTTTCTCTACTGATTACATACAAAAGGTTGCTTTTTAGAAGCAGTTTTCATATTTCTACCAGTTTTCATATGAGCTCTGAGAGGTTCAACTATGTTTATATTAAGTTAATACAACAGGAATTCTCTGCTATTTATTAAGGGATATTTGGTGGTTCAAAACTTGCCTACATTTCTTATCTCCACAGATATTTTTCTTCCTATACATTTTCTCATGTATATTTAGGGGTATACCTAGTTAACTGATGATTTTCTAGTACTAGTTAATTAAGGTTTAACTTTTATGACTGCTAATAATCAGTTACCTGTAATATTGATGCAAACTGTGACATAGAGTTCAAGGAAACTTATTGAGATCTATGCAGGTTTGCATTTACAAATCCAATTGTGTTATAAATGTAATTACTCTTAATTACAATGATATATGTTTACACATATAAACCTATGAAATGTAGAACACTTAGTACATATGGGTTTACAGTTTACAGCTTTCTTTCACATACACCCACAGAACATTTTGTGCAATATTTATGTGACCTTTGAATCATCCTCACTTATTTCTTTGCCTAGGCTATTGAGTGGCTCTGACTGTCATACATTCTTTCCTCTGGTATGTTACAAACACAGCCCACAAACTTTAGAAATATGCCTACCACCCAAAAGATCCAGTCTGATGTTTAACAAAAATCTAAAAATGGAGACTAAGTGACCTCAGTTATGTGAAGTATCTGAAATTTCAAAGTAATTCAACTCTATATGCAGACTAGATCATTTGTCTTTTTTAAAAAGCAGATGTACAAAGAAATCATTTCATTGAATCTCCTTATCTGTTAAGTATCCTTTTCGACAATCATGAAATTTTAGCTTTCTGAAGCTAAAACTGCTGAAAATATGGATTAGGAAAAACTAGGTTGTTTCTGCTTGTTACTCTTTGTTTCTTTTGATGAAAGTGTGTTCCTCCCAGCAAATCACTTAATACAGAGAAGAATGCAAACTCTTAATGTTAAGCGGATGGTCCTAACTGTATGGGGGACTGAGTTCCTGCTCAGCCAGGGATGGAGATTGACTTTCAGTCTACTAATTACTGAGTATGAGAGATTGTACTGCTCAAGCTGACATCATTTTATTTTCATGTGCTCTATTATTCCTGGTGTACATACGTTTGTTTTCAATCCATTTTTTTCCTCTTTTGACCTGTTCTTTTCCAGCCACCACCTACCATTATTTTATATTGTTATTTTCACAGATTCTTTGATCTAATATTCTTATTTCTGAAGACTTGGATATTTATGAAGGAAGTTTTTACTAATAATAATACATTAATCCATGTTTGAGCTTTTTTTTATAAGATGTATTTGTTTAACTATTTACTTAGACAGCCTGCTAATGAATTACTGAAGTTCTACTTTAGTTTATCCTAAATATTGTTTCACAATCTAATTTTTATTTTGTTTCTACTTCACTTTCTTTGATTCTTCTATTAACTTTTCAAATCAATATACAATACTTTAAATTTAGAACAGAATAAAACTGAGTGACAGCAAGATCAGTACCATATACGTATACTGTGCTCTAAAAAGTCAAATAACCACATAGCTTCATTTCATAGAATAATTACACTATAAAGTAATATTCTGTCAACAGAAGGGATAAAAATAGTCCATTTATAAGTCCAAATGATCATCTGCCTAGGGCCCATTTTGTAAGGTCTTAAAATATAAAAACAAATCTTTTAATATCTTTCTGAAAACCAAAACTAGTATATAAGTTAATTACTCATTTACATAGGCATTTGAACACATCTAAAAGCTCAAAACATAATAAGACAGAAATAAATGGCTTTTATCGTGTCATAAAGATAGAATTATTTTACTGCTTTACTTAGTCGCTACTAAAATGAATTTCTCTATTATGTCATAAACTGGGCCAAGACACCATTATGGTGTATATGTATACATATATATATATATGTATACATATATATATGTATACATATATATATATGTATACATATATATATATATGTATACATATATATGTATATATATATACATATATATATGAATGAGCTGCCATTTTAAATTAATTCTCCTACAGAGAATGCCTCAGAAATTTGTGGGAAATCCTTGAAGAATCAAACCATTTTAAAAATAAAAAATAATGAATAGGGACTTAATCCTTTAAGCAAAATTGAAGTTATAGAAATTGCAGGGATTTTTTTCTGACTAAATTTTTTTCTTTTCTTTTCTTTTTTTTTTTGAGACCGAGTTTCACTCTTGTTGCCCAGGCTGGAGTGCAATGGCTCTATTTCGGCTCACTGCAACCTCCGCCTCCCGGGTTCAAGCGATTCTCCTGCCTCAGCCTCCCAAGTAGCTGGGATTACAGGCATGGACCACCATGTCCAGCCAATTTTGTATTTTTAGTAGAGACGAGGTTTCTCCATGTTGCCCAGGCTAGTCTCAAACTCCCAACCTCAGGTGATCCGCCCGCCTCAGCCTCCCAAAGTGCTGGGATTACAGGCGTGAGCCACAGCGCCCGGCCTGACCAAAATATTTTAAGAGACTTTTTGATTTGAGAAATTATATTATTAGGAATTGCTGCATTTATTTTAAAATAGTAAATAAAATTGAGATATTTATTTAGAAGAAAATATCCTTTCTATATATTTCTGAAAAATGAACTGACAGATGCTGCTGGGCATATGAACTTAGGGTTTACATGAATCTAAAAGGCAAATACCTCCAACTGTTCTAAAAACATGGTTCTGAAAACATTTTACCATAAATTGTATTTGTCTGTCAAAGTCCAGCAAACAGAACAAGACATAACTTAAGCCAAATTAAGCCTTTAAATAAGATCCCATGGACATCCGAACACAGGATATTGCTGAAGTAAAGGATTCAGTGTAACATCCCATCTCCCCATTTGCTCCTTCTCAACCCTCATGGAATTTAATCTGGTTAGTTGGCAATTCCCCATATATATGTAAACATAATCTAATTTCAGACCTCCAAGGCCTAATCCCTGATAATCAGAGAAGACAGACTTAAATTTTACTTCCTAAAATGACTCTGGACAGAATCATAGGTTTATAAGCAGCTGTGGCCTATGCATAGAATAGAGATATAATTTATCACCAAACCAAGCTATTTTTGAGAGTGTAAAGGGGCTCAGTATAGTTACTGTATTAGTTACCTATTATTTCTGTACACAAATTTAGTGACTTAAAACACCACAAATGTATTATCTTACAGTTCTAGAGGTCAGAAGTCCAAAACGAGTTTCACTAGGCCAAAGTTAAGGTGCCTGGAAGACTAGCTTCTTCTGAAGCCTGTAAAGGGAGAAACTGTTCTCTTGCCTTTTTCAGCTTCTAGAAGCTATCTGCTTATCTAGGCTCATGGCTTCTTCTCATATCACTCCAACCTCATGCGTCTACTATCACATTCCATTATCACATCTCCCTCTACTAACTCTGATCTGCCTGCCCCTTTTCATAAGTACTCTTGTGATTACATTGGGCCCACCTAGTTAATCCTGGATAATCTCCCCATCTCAAGACCCTAAATTAATCACATCTGTACTTTCCCTTATACTATGTAAGGTACAAATTTATAGGTTCCAGGGATTAAGATGTGGACATCTTTGAAGGACATTACTCAGCCGATCACAGTTAACATAGGCAAGAGGTATAAACTAGGATTATAAACTGGGACTATCCCAACATGACTGAAACATTAGGTCACCCCTTCAAATGAGAGATCAGAAGAGATATCAGCAAGATGGTAAAGATTTTAGCCTTTGCACCCCTACAAAAAAAAAAAAAAAAACAACCATTAGACAGCTATTCATGAAGAAAAATAGCTCTGGGGATGCTCAGGAGCCCAGTTAAGAAGCTGCAGCAACACAGTGGAGTAAAATACCTGAGAAAAAAGGCACAAAATGGGTAGGAAAAACAGTTTCACTTTGCCTGTATCATCCCATCTCTGTGGATGATACACTGAGAGGAAACTCCCAGGCCACGAGTCCTCCTCCCAGGGAAAGGGAGAGTAAGGGGAACAACCAGTTTCCCTAGACTTTTGGGGAACTGCCTGCAGGACCCACTGTGTTTCACCTCACCCAGCCTTCACCACTGAGGACCTCAGTAGCCCTCACAACTGTTGCAGAGTCCCTACAGCTTTCACCACTGAGGATCCACAATATTTGTTGTAATGAATCTCAGTGGCCTGCTTCACAGAAGATCCTGGCAGCTTTTGCCACCAAGGGCTTACAGTTGTTTGTCTTTGCAGACTCCAGCTGCCTGAGCTGCCACACCACTCACCCTGCCAGAGCTGCCCCCACTTCTGCATGTGTGCCCACCGCCAACCCCTGCAGCTGCATGTGTGCATGATGCCAGCCCCAGCCTCCAAAGCTTCGCATGCACATGCATCTGGCCCGCACAGCCACGCATGCACTGCACTTGGACCAACCCTTGCCACTGGCAGCAGCCCTCACCATCATGTATTTGCCTGCAGCCAGCCCCTGCCACCAGTGCATGTGCCTTTAGCTGGCCCCAACAGTTGGTCCCTGTAGCCAAGTGGATGCATATCATTGTCCGCAGTCCCCACCACTGCTTTCCCTGGTCCCTTGCTGCTGTGCCTAGAGGCGCTGTTGACTCCAACAGCCTTCACAGCCACTGTGAACCAGCCCCCTCATAGCTCTTGCCACCAAGAAGCATGCAAGTGCCAATGTCAGAGGGGCAGCTGCTTGCACCATCCAGACACCATGCCCCCAAAAGCCAGAGCCACTGTATGCCCCCACATTTGGTGCTATGTGTCTCTAGATCCAGTGCCACTAAACCTAGTGCCAAAGCATATTTCAGTGTTCCCTTACCCCAATAGGCAAAGGTCTGTCCTTACCAAATCCAGTCCATAAAGCCTGGAAGAGGTAGTTGCCTCTTCAAATATGCAGACACCTAAAAAAAAAGCTACAAGAATCATAAAGAATCAAGGACACATGACACCACCAAAATAATACGATACACTTCCAATAACCAACCCCAAAATATGGAGGTCCAGGAAGTGCCTGACAAATAATTCAAAATAATTGTTCTAAAGAAGCTCAATGAGATACAAGAGAACACAGATAAATGATTTAACAATATCAAGAAAACAATACAAGAACAAAATTAGATATAAAGAAATATAAAACACAAGAAAGAACCAAACAAATTTTGGAACTGAAGAATACAATGACTGAACTAAAAATGCAATAGAGAGCTTCAACAGCAGGCTCAATCGAGCAGAAGAAAGAATCAGCAAACTCAAAGACAGGACACTTAAAATTACTCAGAGGGAAAAAAAGAAAAAAGAATGAAAAGTAATGAAGTAACCTTATGGGATTTACGTGACACCATCAAGGGAGCTAACATACACATAATGGGAGTTCCAAACAAAAAGAAAGGAGGAAGGGACAAAAAGCTTATTTAAAGAAAATAATGGCTGAAAACTTCCCAAATCTGAGGAGAGATATAGACATCCAGGAACATGAAGCTGAAAGCATCCCAAACAGATTCAACCCATGAAGGCTTCAGTGAGACACATTATAATCAAACTGTCAAAAATAAAATATAAATAACTTTGAAAACAAGAGAAAACAGATTTGTTCCATATGAGGGAACTCCTATAAGACCATCCAGGAATTTCTCAGCAAAAACCTTGAAAGTCAGGAGAGTGGGATAATATATACAAAGTGCAGAAAGAAAAAACCTGACAACCAAGAACACTCTACCCACAAATCTGCCCTTCAGAAATGAGGGAGAGATAAACACTTTCCCAGACAAACAAAAGCTGAAGGAGTTCATTGCCACTAGATTTGCCTTACAAGAAATGCTAAAAGGAGTTCCACAAGCTAAAACAAAAGAATTTTAATAATATAGGAAACATGTGAAAACATAAAACTCATCAGTAAAGGTAAATATATAGTCAAATTCCAATTACTCTAATATTGTAATGAGGGTGTGTAAATCACTTATAACTCAAGTACAAAGGTTAAAAGACAAAATATTAAAAAGAGCTGTAACTACAATAATTTGTTAATGAATATACAATATAAAATTATGTAAATTGTGACATCAAAAACAAAATGTGGGTGAGTAAATGTGCAGAGCTCTTGCATGTAATTGAAGTTAAGTTGTTATCTCAAAATAGAATAATATAATTATAAGGTGTTTTATGTAAGCCTTATGATAACCACAAAACAAAAACCTATAGTAGATACACAAAAGACAAAGAGAAAGGAATCAAAGCTTACCGGTATAGAAAAGTATCAAATCACAAAGGAAGATAGAAGAGATGAAGAAGGGAAAAAGAATACACAAAACATGCAGAAAAACAACAAAATGTCAGTAGTAAGTCCTTACCTATCAATAATGACTTTAAATGTAATGAGAGTTCAGAGACAGAATAGACAGGACGCAATAACTATTGCCAGCTTTTCCCCACATTCTTGCTCAATGCCATTTCCAAGTCCTGGAATGCTCTCCCTCTTCCAATCCATAATACCATCTCTGCTATTTGAAATACTTCCTATTGTTCAAGACCCATTCCTAAAGGCACCTCCACCATGAAAAATACCCAGCTCAGAGTAATTCCTCCATTCTCTGCTTTCTTTTCAGCATGGATTTATATAATCTCCTACTATACTTACCACAAACTGCTCAATTTAATGTAAATATATTTGTGAATTTGTCTTTTCTCCCCTACCAGAAATAAGTTCTTATTATTAAGGCAGATCTAGTGGCATTACTTTTAATGGTGAAAACTGCAATTACTTTTGAACTAACCTAATAATAGGAACATACTCTAGGCCAAAAGATAGCTGCAAGCATTTAATACCTGCAATGAAAACATGTCTGCAACCATTTTTAGGCCAATATCTGTTAGTGCAGCCTCTCCAAGCCAAATTCCTATCAGCTTATCATGCCAGCCAGCCAAATGCAGGAGTCACTTGACACACTGGACAACTGAAGAGAACTTTCTACATCCTAAAAAGAACAATATTTCACTAGAAACTTCCTTCAGACTGGGTTAAATCCAACATTTTGATGCACCTATGTCTATTAACCAAGATGATTTTTATCAATAGGATGCTGCCACCCACATCTGCTTATCCTGGTTATTCATTACAGAAACAAAAAATCACTTTGGATAGTGTTTAACTGTAAACTAAGCACGTTTAGATGTTCATCAACAATTAAAACTCAGCAGCATTGTTTCTGTATTTTTTTAATTAATAGCAGAAGATGATAACACTGAAGTATTTTTTATCAAGGGAAAAATACACACTGCTAGAATCCCATTTAGTCTGTTATTTCTCTAGAAATTGTATGTAATAGTGGGGTGATATTGAAATCCACAAGAAGTTATGTTTATTTAGTGGACCCTAACCAAGAAAGTTTATATACTGAAACAATGGCCCTCAGTGCATTTGCTTCACCAGAAGCCCCCATAGCACAGACTCCCAGTACTTTTCAGCATGATTTTAGTGTAGCAGAAACTGAGAGAGAGAGAATAGTAGACATTGTAGAATTCCTTGTTAGGCAAAAACCTTGGAAGTCATTCTGACCACTTTTTTTTTCTTTCATTATTAGTCCTACGTTCATTCACAACCCAGGGAAGGAAAGGCCAAAAATAGCCTCCAAACCATTGTGAAGCAGCTGTCTTTGGTGCGTGAAGGCAAGCAGACATTTGGAAGTCCAAGTTTAGATAGTAAACAGAGGCTATATTGAAACAGTAATCATGCTAATTAATCATCATTTTGTTAGCAAATGTGCTGCACTTTGTATTTTCAAAGCATTGTATCATCATTAATTAATCAGCTGTAATCACTATTGCAGTGGCAAATCAAATTATGTACAAGACTTGAAAAGAAATTGTTTCATATGGAGTGCACTTAAAAAGTGCAAGTCTTTTTCTTTCTGTTTTTGTTTTTTATTTATTTGTTTGTTTCTCCATCGAACAGGCTGTGCCATATTCTCTTTCACTTTTCTGCCCTAGCTTATGCTGTTCCTTCTACCTAGATCACAGATAACTCCTGTTCCTTTGTTAGATATCATCATAAGCAACACTTTTTTCTAGAGACAGTTCTCCAGGCCTGCTAAGCTATTTTAGAGACTCCTATAGTCCTTTTTCGTAGAAACTTTTACCCTCTGTTAAATTGCCTGTCTAGTTGTTTGTTACTCATGCTAGGCTGCAGGTTCTGTGAGGAAGAGGCCACAGATGACTTGTTCATCATTGCATCCCTGGCGTGGTGCCTGACACTTGGTAGTCACCCAAAACGTGTGTTTTTTAAATGGAAAAAAAAAAGAATCCTCCATGAGAGAGAGCTAATAAAAGGCAGTTATTGTTAACATGAGCTCTCAGTACAAATCAATCTACTCAGCACTCCAGATGCTCTATCTCATTTAATGCTCACTGTGTTCCTTTGAGGTAGGTACCATATAGGTAATTGAAGTGACAGAGAGTAAATCATTTGCCCATGATCACACTGAAAGTAAATAACGAAATTGAAGTTGCATCATAGATTTCTCTGATTTCAACCCTACATGTCTATGAAAGTGATGAACAAGAAAATAGCAGGCCCTAAATCCAGAAACTAATCTGACACAACCAGGTCTCAGTGTTATCACAAACTGGACCAATGCTAGTGGGTAGGCCATATTGTTGCTCTGTTGAACATTAGCAATCTCACAAAACAGCAGCATGAGACAAAGCCACTCTGAGACCATGATAAAGTGAAACAAAATATTAATAAGTCCACTTCATTATTTTATCTAAGCACACATCAAAATAAGGCCACTGTAGAAACCCCACAAAATACCAAACATCTCTTTCTCCTAGCTAATATGAGTCCCTGTTGCTTCTTTACTAATTATAGCTTTACCCTTGCTCTAATCTGCGATATGGTTTGGATCTTTGTTCTCACCCAAATTTCATGTTGAATTGTAATCCCTCGCCATGCTAGAGGTGGGGCCTAGTGGGAGGTGTGTAGATCATAGGGGTGGAGGCTTCATGGCTAGGTGCTGTTTTCCTGATAGCGAGTTCTCGTGAGATCTGGTCATTTAAAATTGTGTGAAACCTCCCAGACACAACTCTCTCTCACTTGCTCCTGCTTTCACCATGTGACATGCCTGCCCCCCTGTTGCCTTCCGCCATAATTACAAGCTTACTAAGGCCTCCCTAGAAGCCCAGCGGATGCCAGCACCATGCTTCTGGTAAAGCCTGCAGAACCGTGAGCCAATTAAACCTCTTTTCTTTATAAATTACCAAGTCTCAGATACTTCTCTTTTTTTGAGACAGAGTCTTGCTCTGTTGCCCAGGCTAGAGTGCAGTGGCACAACATGGGCTCACTGCAGCCTCTGCCTCCAGGGCTCAAGTGATTCTCCTGCCTCAGCCTCTCGAGTAGCTGGGACTACAGGCATGCGCCACCACACCGGGCTAATTTTTTTTGTATTTTTAGTAGAGACTGGGTTTCACCATATTGGCCAGGATGGTCTCAAACTCCTGACCTCAAGTGATCCGCCCACCTCGGCCTCCCAAAGTGCTGGGATTACAGGTGTGAGACACCACGCCCAGCCTTCAGATATTTCTTTACAGTAATGCAAGAATGGTCTAATACACCTGCCTTCTTTATAAATAAGGTTTATTGAGATACCCAATCATAGAATTTCCTTCACTTCCTGACAGCAGTTATGCAGAATAAATTGTTTCCCTAGACTCTTTTCAAAATCACCCATTCAAAGCCCCAGTTCTTTAATACACCTTTCTTAACATCCTCTTACTGAAACAGTTCCCTTGGCATGATTTTTGTCTTGCTGCAGTGAGAAATAAACTCAACTTTTTCAGCTACAGGTGGGTTTCTGGCTAGAGGGTATTGACATTGGGTTAATACAAAAGCACCTATTAGGCTGGAGAAAGAAAACGTGAGAACTTTTAATTATAAATTTTTGTTTTGAAAAATCAGAAAAATAATCTTAACCAATATTTAATACAGTATATACACATGGTTCCCTTTCTTCATCCTTCCCTCTGTGAGATGGCCACATGACAAATTAGGTACACAACATAACTAGAGGGTCACAGAAGGACAAATACTGTACAATTCCACTTACATGCAATATCTAGCAGACAAAATCATAGAAACAGAAAGTTGAATGGTGGTTTCCTGTGACTGAGGGGAGGGAAAAATAAGCAGTTGTTTGATGGGTATAGAGTTTCAGTTTTACAAGATCAAAATGTCCTACAGAACTGTTATACAACAAATGAATATATAGTTCATACCACTGAACTGTGCACTTTGAATGATTAAGAGAATATATTTTATATTATGTGTTTTCTGTCATGATTTAAAAAAAAAAAACTAGAGGGAAGAGTGAGTGTTCTACTGGAGGATTTGACATGGCAGCCATAGTCTTTAGTTCA
The DNA here is from genome assembly GCF_000001405.40 of Homo sapiens. Lineage (NCBI taxonomy): Eukaryota > Metazoa > Chordata > Mammalia > Primates > Hominidae > Homo > Homo sapiens. The sequence continues at coordinate 107,414,761 of NC_000003.12, forward strand.
CTTCCTGGACACTGCAACATACTGCAGGTGACATTGTCCCCAGCAACAAAGTTTGTATCTTATGTAATTAGTCACTGATAATATACCTTAGTAACTAAAACTTGAACCATGTTATGAGGGTACTGGTACTATTTATTAAACCATGGTAACTGAAATTCATTTGACAGACTTTGTCTCTCATTTATGTTTTTCTCGAAGAATATAATGGTATATGCCATGTTAAAAAAATAGATGAGAAGGACAAAATCCCTCACTTCAACAAGTTTATAGTTTAATGGGTGTCAATAAAATACATAAATTCTGTAATCTGATAAACATAATGATCAAAAATAATGTACAAGTTTATAGGTGAGTGAAATTACCCTTAGTCAAAGGATCAAAAAGATAATGAAGCTAATGGCATGGAAGACAAACATTTTCAAAGTTATTCCTGTGGTTTCATGGCTTTCTATTGACAGGATCACATTTTTACTTGGTTTTTCCTATTTCCCAGATGTTAGTTGTTTTGCTGTTTTAAATAGTGTTATGATGAATAACTTTGTAATTGCAATAACTTTGAAGTGGAATACCTAGACAAATGGGCATGGAGATTTTTAAAGCTGTTGGTGCATACTACTGGTCTTAAAATGTTTAATGCCATTAGCTTTTATGATCTTTGTCTTCATTCCTCAATCAAAACTAATTTTACTCACCTATGAGTTTTCATAGCATCTTTGATCCTTATGTCCATTGAGTTATATTATTCTATGCATAAAAGTGTGGAAACAATACTTATAAGGTATTAGGGACCTATTTTTCTGGGGAGCCAAAATTGGGAAAATAGCATGCATTGCTTACTGAATGCCAACAATCAGAGCTGTCTCAGAGAACAAGAGTCTCTCCAAAAAATATTTTCTGAGCTTTCAGGAATTATAATCCATGTGGAAAAGTTAACCATATTGGTGAAATATTTAATAGTTTAGGAACATTTTGTACTTTGATAGCTTCAGAACAAAACCTCTTTGTGACTATTCAAACAAAGAAAATTTTTTTTAAAATGTAGTCAACTTGTGCTTGTCTTCCTTCTACCACCAAACTGGGTTCAGTGCCACTAACAGTAAGGGCTCTAGAGAAGAGTCAGGGGATAAATGAGGTAGGAGTGAATTTTGTTCATGTTTGGTATTATGTCTACATAAACATTTCATAATGCCTTTGAAACCATACACAAATAGTGAGTGATTTAAAAATTAGAATTTTGCTTATCTCAGGTTTTACATACCAACATGAAGCTAGAATTACTCTGTACTTCTTTCATGCTTATTCTGCTCTATTTCAGGAGAATGTAAAAATTATATTTCATTAATATTTTTATCCAAAAGGTTTCCAAAGCATTAGGTACAAAAATCAGATGAATATATGGACATTGCCTCAATTTTTCTGCATAGCAGGCTCACATCTGTGATTAAAAAGTAAAGAACTGGAGACTTTCCGTTTCTAGTCTGGCCTGTGAAGAACTTAGAAGTTGTCACACTTCCTAACAAGAGGCAAAAAGCTGAACAACCTGAAAAATCAACAGCACTTAGCGCTGTCAGAGAAGTGAGGTCACAGGGCAAACCACTGCCCCAAACTTGAAGAGAGCAACAAGCAAATACAGAGAATTGGAATTTACCACAGCAGAAACCCCAGGGGCAGGTTAGAAAACTTCAGCCTAAACTAGTAGCAGAGCGGGAAAACTTGAACTTCTAGAGGCTGAGTGAGAACCAGCCTGAGACCTTACAATTTTAGGAGGACCCAGGCATAGGGGATCCCTCATGCTTTGTGAATTTTACCTCTGGGAACTCTACCATGTCCATGTCCTGATAGTGAATAATGGAGAAAAATCTCCCTATGCTTCTGGCGAGGGAATGAAAAAAGAATCTATCTGTTCTTTTTAACAAGTCCTGTCCTCAGGACCAGAAGCTAACCTGCTAGAGTTTTATCAGAGCCCAACCTGCGCAGGGGAAGGGAAATATCCAATGCCAGCCCTCTGTAGCCATCCTGTCCAGCCTAATAGGGGAAATAGCATTGAGAAGCACTGGCGAAGTACAGGCCTACAGAAACACTGAGACCTAATCATAGGATACAGAATGCTTTTCTTCCTTCATACCTTAAACTACACCACTAAAGGCCTAGTTATTAGAGCTTCTTTTACATATATACCATGTATGATTTCAACAAAAAATTATAAGGCATACAATACAGAATATAAAAATTAAAAGGCAAACAACACAGTTTAGAGAGACAGAGCAAGCATTAGAACCAGAGTCAGCTATGACAGGTATGTTGCAATTATCCAACCAGGAATGCAAAACAACTATGATTAATATGCTAAGGGCTCTACTGGAAGAAGTACACAACATGCAAGAACAGATAGTGCAGAGAGATGGAAATTCTAAGAAAGAATCAAAAGAAAGCCTAGAGGTCAAAAACACTTACAAATGAAGAATGCCTTTGATGGACTCATTAGTAGATTGGACACAACTGAGGAAAGAACCTCTGAGCTTAAAGATATGAATAGACATTTCCAAAACTTAAAAGTGAAGAGAAAAATAAAATTGAAAAAAAAAGAGAACAAAATATCCAAGAACTCTGGGACAACTAAAAAAGATATACCATGAACGTAATAGGAATGCCAGAAGAAAAAGACATAAAGAAAGGGGAAGAAGCAATATTTAAAGCAATAACGACTGGGAATTTCCTCCAAATTAATGTCAGACAGCAAACCACAGATACAGAAAACTCAAAAGATCAGCGAGCAGGATAAATGCAAAAAAGCAAAACAGAAAAACAAAATGAAAACCCCTACACCGAGGCATACCATATTCAAACTTCAGAAACAAAAAAAAAATTTTTTGGAAAGAAGGCAGAAGAAAATAAAAAGCACCTTACTTACAAAGGAACAAAGATAAGAATTACATCCAACTTCTTCCCAGAAGCCAGGCAAGCAAGAAGAGAGTGGCGTGAAATACTTAAAGTGTTGAGAGAAAAAAAGAACACCAACCTAGAATTTTGTACGCCATGAAATTATCCTCTAAAAGTGGAAGAGAAATAAAGACTTTCTCAGACAAACAAAAATTGAGGGCCTTTGTTGCCAGTAGACTGAGAAATGTTAAAATAAGTTGTTCAGAAAGAAGGAAAATGATATAGACTAGAAACTCAGATCTACGTAAAGAAAAGAAGAGCGTCAGAGACTGAATGAAGGTGAAATAAAAACTTATTTTTCTTATTCTTACTTGGTCTAACAGATAATACTTTCTTCAAAATAATAGCAACAATGCATTTGATTATATATGCTTATGTATAAATGAAATGAATAACAGCAATGATACAAAAGGAAGGGAGGAAATAATTATACATTTTTAAAAGCCCATAGAATGTACAACACCAAGAGTGAACTCTAATATAAACTATGAGCTTTGTGCATGTGTGGGGACAGGAGGTAAACGGGAACTCTACACTTTCCTCTCAATTTTGCTATGAACCTAAAACTGCTTTTAAAAATAAAGTTGGCCTGGCGCGGTGGCTCACACCTGAAATCACAGCACTTTGGGAGGCCGAGGCAGGCGGATCACCTGAGGTCGGGAGTTTGAGATCAGCCTGATCAACATGGAGAAACCCCGTCTCTCCTAAAAATACAAAATTAGCTAGGTGTGGTGGCAAGTGCCTGTAATCTCAGCTACTCGGCAGGCTGAGGCAGGAGAATTGCTTGAACCCAGGAGGTGGAGGTTGCGGTGAGCCGAGATCGCACCATTGCACTCCAGCCTGGGCAACTAGAGCGAAACTCTGTCTCAAAAAAAAAGAAAAAAAAAAATTTAAAAAAAATTTTAAATAAATAAATAAATATAAAGTTTAATAATTTTTTAAAGCCCAGCACACTGAGATGTACTGTACACCTACACAATGAATAAAAGCAGAAAGTGACATCACCAAGTGTTGGTGGGATGCAGAGCAACAAGAACTCTCAAATTTTACTGACAGATAAATGGTATCCCTTGCAATAATGCTAAGCAGTTTTTTACAGTTAAACATACATCTACTTGAAATAGCAACTCAACTCCTGTATCTTATCATAGAGAAATGAAAACATATTACTGTAATAAAAGAGTTGCACAAGAATGTTCATAACAAATTTATTCACAATAGCCAAAGAATGGAAACAATCTAAATGTCCATCAACAGGAGAATGAATAAACAAATTACAGTATATAAATACAAAAGAATACTACGTAGCAATAAGAATGAACTACTGATACATAGAACAACATAGATGAGTCTTATAGGCAAAATTCTGAGCAAAAGTAGCAAAATGCTAAGAAAAATAATTTTCTGATACATATTAATTTCCCTAATCATATGTTATCAGGAAATTGCATATTAAAACAAGATGCGACTACATACCTATTAGGATGACGAAAATCCAAAACACTAACAACAAATGCAGGCAAGGATGTTAAAGCAACAAGAATTCTCATTCATTGCTGGTGGAATGCAAAATGGCACAGTCACTTCGGAAGACAGTTTGGCAGTTTCTTACAAAACTAAACATACACTTACCATAAAATTCAGCATTTGCACTTCATTGTATTTACCCAAATGAACTAGAAACTTATGTCCACCCTAAAAGCTTCACACAGATGTTTTTAGCAGCTTTATTCATAATTATCAAAACTTGGAAGCAGCCAAGATCTCCTTCAGTAGTAAAGAAACTGTGGTGTATTCATACAATGGAGTATTAGTCAGCACTAAAAAGAAATAAGTTATCAGGGCATGAAGACATGGAAGAAACAAATGCATATTACTAAGTGAAAGAAGCCAATCTGAAAAGGGTTCATACTCCAACTACATGACATTCTTGAAAAGGCAAAACTATAGAGACAGTAAAAAAAAAAAAAATAGTGGCTGCCAGAAGTTAGAGGGCAAAGAGGGAAGGAAAGACAGAGCCCAGAAGTTATTTAGGGCAGCAAAACTATTCCATATGATACTACAATGGTGAACACATGTCATTAAACATTTGTCAAAACCCATAAAGTGTACAGCACCAAGAGTAAACCATACTGTAAACTAGTGACTTTGGGTAATAATGTGTCAATGCAGGCTCATTGATTGGAACAAATGTACCACCTTGGTGCCAGATGTTGACAGCAGGGGAGGTTGTGGATGTTTGGGGACAGGAGGTATATGGGAATTCCCTGTACTTTTTGCTCAATTTTGCTGTGAATCTAAAACTTCTCTGTATTAAAAAAAAAAAAGTAAAGAATTGAATGTTTTTTTTTTTGAAAAGAGTAGCTGTGAATCTAGTAGACATTGACAGTATAATGTAAAAAAGAAGAGAAAAGATAGAGTTCAGTGAATACCTATGATGCAAGAATAGAGAGTTTTAGTTCACTAGCTAGTGGGATGTATAAGAAAATATCCCTAAGGTGTCTATAAATGTAGAGATTGACATTTTGAAAAACCAGCAAAAACTTTGTGGGACTTCACTCATAAATGGAATGTCAACATAAATTGGCACAATTTATATAGCTAGCACAGAAAGGAGAATTTTGTCACTGAATTTATGAAAAACCTGAAGGATAAATATTTTATTTTCAAGATAATTTTTAAGGATATTATAAACTGAATAAAATATCATGTTGCTACTACTATAAGAACAAGTTTATCTCCATTATCGGTGACAACTTTCAGAGGACTACAAATCCAGTGTCGCTTGGGGCTCTGTAGTTTCTAGTTCCTTTGGAAGAACTATAATACAGATATTTTCAGCAAACAGACAGTACCACAAATCAGCCAGCCTATTTTAATATGTCCTTGTCCAATCAAAGTAAATGATGAATTAACCAGAAACATCAACACTGTTAATGTTTATTGGTTATTTAAAATATCATAATAAACTAAGTAACACAACCAGTTTGAAACTCACTTTTTAGATAAGTTTTGTTCATCTGTATTTACTTTTGTTTATGTTTCTTTATTTCCCCATGTTAGTTAATTAACACATATATACATAGACGTCTACACATTCTCCTCCCAGAATTTGCAGCTTAACACGTATAAAAGTCATTTTCTTTTGATTGTTAATATGGTATTTGTTCCAAAATCTGTTAATGCTCTCATTTCTTCTGGCAATGTGTTAATTGCTAACAAAAATAAGGTTTTGTTTCCATAGTCATTACATCTACAAACACTTAGAAAATTTTGTTTGTCTCTTAAGAAAAGTAACAGTACAAATGAAATGGTCACTCACCAATTAAAGATGGTAGCTGACAACCATAAAACACATTATTCTGTTTCTTGCCTCTGTATATGCTACTTTACATTAAATTCTAAATTTAATAAAATATTTCATTTATCTCTCTCTCCAATGTCACCAAAATTTTCCCCCCATATCTGAGAGACTAAAATGCAACCTTACTTGCCTGAGTCCTTATCCTAAGTAGTCACTGTCCAGTAAGCAGGTAGCATGTGTCCCTACAGGCACACGATTCAAACCAAGAAATAGAAAAGTCTTGAAAAAACTTTCACATTCAAAAGCGGCACCTTTGTTGATCTCCGAGAGCTCTGGTACAGTTCCTCAGCTTGTTGTCAGTTTTTGTCACTAAAATACTGCCACCTTCAGGAAGAAATGTAGGAATCTGCAATTGCATTAGTGAGGGAATCTGACTGAGAACCCTTAAATCCAAATTCCACACGGCCCTTTATTAAAGCATAGCTATAATGTATCCTAAGTTATTTTTTCTATAAAACTAAATATTAGTAATCTATTTTAGTAGATTTTTTCCTTAATAGCTTTTTTTTTCCTGAATAGCTAGACATTACAGTGAAAAGCTGCCCAGAAATAACAAATGAAGATAATTCACTATTATAGATAAAAGTAAAACTTCTTCAGTAAGACCAGGGATTCTCAGGTATTAAATTACAAAACATGAAGAACAAGTTACAAAATATTTTCTATACTCAAATAATGAAATATATATATAGAAAATATTGGTACAGTGTTTTAAGAAATAATTCCATGACCCATTTATACATTTTACAAGAAATATATCTCTTTAAATCCTCTTTGACGATGCTAAAATAGGATTTTTTCCCCTTTACCTTCTAGGTCCTCTTTCATTTATCAGTTAACATAAAAATTAAAAGTAACTTTGTGCCAGCTTTCTAGTGTTTGAATTGAATATTTCAGTTTACATCAAGAATGTTCTCGTTCTCTCTCTTTCTTTCTCCTGCTTTAAAAAAAATTTCTAGAAGTTCAGCTCTCTATTTCATAATCTGCTCTTGGTCTAATGTTATTTCATTTCCTTTCACTTATTCTTTCCCTTATCTTCTTTTCTATCTTCTCCTCTTCATTGGTTTATTTTTACTTAATTTAGAAAGTCCATTGTAATTAGCCAATTTCTTTTATGTCCTATAAGCAATATATACAGAGCCCTCTTTCTGTTTTCCCTTTATTTAAAATCCATTCCCTATTCAGACAATGCCAACAAGTACTTTTCATAAACAGTTTTTTTTAAAAAATATATGATTATTGTGAAATGTCACAAATATTTTACAAAACACTAATCATAGAGTCTGACTGGAAAGGACACATACACAAAGCCTTCTCTTATTTTAATCCTCAAAGCAGTTTGTCAGATCGCCCCAGGTTAATTTCAAAATTGAACAAATTAAAATTTCAATGTGATAACTTTGGGAAGAAGGAGGAACTTTACAAAATAATTTTGATATTCCCCTAAAGGAATTGAGTGAAGACAATAACCACTACAAATCAAGTTTCTGGAAAAAGAAGATTATTAAAAGAGGAGGTATACTATCAGAGATTAATAATAATTAAAACTATGTGGAATCAGTGTCTGAAAACAAGAACATATGAACGGAGTGCAAAAGGACCCTAGTATAGCTAAGAATTTAGCAAGCATTAAAGTGAGGGCAGATTGCTTATTTTTAAAATGATGTTAGAACAATTGGTCAACTATTTGAAAAAAAATTATAACTTCTACTTCATAAATACACCAAAATGAAATAAATCCAGAAAAAGTAGAGTGAGCCATTTGAAAATTAAGGTCTATTTTAAAACACAAATGAATACTTATTTGATTACAACATAGATAAGGAAGAATCAATAAAAAGATTGATAAGTGGATTAACCTAAAAATTAAAAGCATCTCTGTTTAAAACACCATAAATATAATTAAAAGGCAAATGGTAACTTGGAAAAAATATTTTGGACATTAATGGCAGCTAAACGTTTAATATCTTTACATTAGAAGACATCTTACAAATAATAAGATAAATACCTATACAGCAGAAAATGAGCAATAACCATGAGCAGACCACTCAAAAGAAACATTTTTGTCTCATTAACATATTTTTTAATGTTCAATCTCAATCAAAAATGCAAATTAAAACAGCAAGTTTTGCTTTTAAAATTGATGAATATTTTTTAAATTTTAATACCTGGTTTCACCAAGGGTATTGCAAAAATAGTGTTGCCATACAAACTTTTGGGATGACAACTGACAATGTATATCCATAGTCAATCCCCTTACCCTTCACCCAGCAGTTTCTTAGGACACAGTCCTGTATGTTTAAGGAAAATAGTCAAGATGTAAAAAGAAATCTGTATATGAGAATAATCACAGTGGAGATTGGTAAAATGAATAATGGCACATATATATAATGGAATACTATTATTTATTCAGTTTAAAAAATAATTACATGGGAAAATATTCATATATTTACTAAGTGATTAAACAACTATTAAACTATATTATGTAATGATCATAATATGTGCTTAAATACACAGAAGAAACTGAAAAATTGTTAAAATAACAAACAAATTTTTTATTTTTCCTGAGCGGTAAGACCATGGTTAATTTCTTTACTTTATTTGAATGTTTTTTTTTTTTTGGTTTTTTCAAATGTTCTACAACAATATGGCGTTTTAAACAAAAAAAGGCTTGTTTTAAACCAGTGAAGACCCTCATTGCAATTCCATTTATTATGAAATATACATTTCAGGCCATGTATATTAATAGAAAAACAGAAATGTCATATGTAACATACATTTTTTAAAAAATGATTCCTTTGTCCACACCCATAGAATGTACAACACCAGGAATGCACCCTAATATAAATTATGGGACTTTGGGTGATACAATGTGTCAATGTAGATTTATAGATTGGAACAAATGTACCAGTTTGGTGTGGGATGATGATAGTGAGGGAGACTGTGCCTGTGGGAACAGGGAACTCTCTGTACTTTCTGCTAAATTTTTCTGAGAATGTAAAACTGCTCTAAAAAATACAGTAAAAAAAACATGATTCCCAGAATGCAAACTGGATGCAAAGTAAATCTGCCACTGCTTAGCACAGAAACATAAAATCAATGCTGATTTAGTGAGGAAGGCTTTGAGGTATGCTGAAAAGGTGTCTAATAAAATTTTTTGTCTAATAAATTTTTAGATATCAATTGCTTTATGCAAATCTATATCTCACATAATGAGAATAAAATTAATATATAATATTTTCCATTTGCCTTCTTATCCACATAGGTAGAAGGAGGTGTCCTATACCAGCTCTGTCCAATATAAAATATGAATCACATATATAATTTTATTTTACTATTTTTATTTTATTTTATTTTTGAGACAGGGTCTCACTCCATCCCCAGACTGGAGTGCAGTGGCATGATCATGGCTTACTGCAGCCTCTACCTCCCAAACTCAAGTGATCCGCTCACCTCAGCCTCCCAAAGTGCTGGGCCAGGCACCACACCCAGCCTCTCACACATAATTTTAAATTATCTGGTAGCCACCATTTTAAAAAAGTAAAAGGAAATGTGCAAAATTAATTTTAATAACATATTTTATTTAACCCAATATATCCAATTACCATTTCAAAATATAATCAGTATAAAGATTATTGAGACATTTTATCCATTTTATCATATTAAGTCATTGAAATCTGATGTGAATTTAACATGTGCAGCACATCTCAATTTGGTTGCTAAATTTGCACTGGAAGTACTGGATCAGTATTTAGATTTCATAAAATTTACTGTTGAAAAAGTAGATTAACATACCCAAGTTTTTCCAAACATAATTGTTTTAATGACTAATTGAGAATCTGTTTTAAAATTTAAATTATAATTCAAATTCAAGTTTCTCAGTTGCACTAGCACATGTATCTAGATGCTAATTTGTTAGACATATCTCCTCTTGGAAGGGGTTAATAGTGAAATATTGTCACCGGACATGCTACTTTAGGGTAATAGGCCTGAATACACCTAGTACTCAGCAAGTTCAAATCTAAATTTTAATCATGTTAAAAGAATGTAAATTGTGTATCCTTACCTACTTTCTTGGCCTTCTTTAATATCACTGAGTCACATATCTGTTAAGTTATTCTTAGCAAATTCATCTGCAAAAAGGGAAGTCATTTCCTACACTGAAAATGAGGTATTGCTCCCAGTAATCAATTGGCTGCATAATTTCACTTCCCCTTGCTGGATTAAGGGATGATTCTGCCACTATACAATTTCTAATAGTAAAGACTAAGAGTGTGAAAAGTGAAAAAAATACAGGCATATTGCTATTTATAGTAGATTGATTTGTGACCTCACAGGCAACAGAACTTCCTCACACATTTAAGAAGTCTTGCATGACCCCAAGGAGTGAAACTAATGAACTGTCCAAATTTCAGCTGTGTTTTGCAGCTTGCCGTACAAATTGGACAAGCCCTTTACTATTAGAAGCCATTCCTCTGGTGGCATTCATGACTGTCATATTTTAAATTCATCACAAACTGGACTCAAATTCTCATCCACTGGTATGGAAAGTTGTTTCCTGTACTAGCAATGGAATAGCTAAAATAGAACACAAACAAACATGGCTTCCAATGATGATATCTGTTTGGAAAAATAATAACGTATCATGACGAATGTCCCTTTCCTTCCTCAGAATAAATATATTCCCCCAAATGTATTTCTTCACTTGGTAACATAAGTAAAAAAGCAAAACCAGCTAGGATGTGATCTGCGATAAACTAAGAGTGCACATGAACCACTAATTCCAATGTGTCAGTCAATCAGTCATCAAAAAACTGTAGTTGTACTGCCTGCCATGCACTTCAACCATCCTCAGGATACATACATAAATAATACGGTTCCTAATTAGGGAGGTTAGATTTGTGGGCAGCAGAAGACAAGTAACAACATAAGGTAGCATGTAGTCAAGTAGCAAGTGAGTGACCCAGATAACAACTGTTGTAGGACTAGAGCACTGGTTCTCAAAGCGTCTGTGGAGGTCCTCGAGACTCAGGGGTTCTGTGAGGCTAGAACTATTTTAAAGTACTAAGGTGATATTTGCCTTTTTCACTTTGCCAGTGTTTTCACTGATGCTGGGTGAAACTGTGGTGGTCTTGGCACAAAGCAAGGAAGTGGAATCAAATTGTAGCAAAAAAAAAAAAAAAGTCAGTTTCACTCAAGAATGTACTGGATAAAGCAGTAAAAAAAAAAGGTATTTGACTAAATTTATTAAATCCTGACCCTCTAGGGTATGTCTTTTTAATATTTTGTGGGACAAAATAGAAATGATACGTAAAGTGCTTCTATTACACACAGATGTACGAGGGCTGTCTAGGAGAAGCACTAGTGCAATTGAGTTTCAAGTTGAACTAGTCACTTTTTTTATAGAATAGCATTTTTATTTGAAAGAACAACTGACTGACAAGACAAATTGTGGTTATTCAGACTCGAATATTTGGCAGATTTTTTTTCTCAGAAATAAACAAAGTGAGCCTGTCACTTCTAGGAAAACAATTGACAAGATTTTTTTTAACCAATGATAAAATTATTTGAACTTACAAGTAAAAATTAAAATATTGGAAAATTCATATCCTAATATGTAAAATATTTCCTGATGAAATACAACTAATGAATATGATATTTTTGATATTGTACAATGAAATAGACATTTGGAAGAGCTGCATAATTCAGTGAAGGAATAATTTCCCAGTGACCATTACATGCTGTTACAAATCACTCACTGTATTATGATTTGCGTAAAACATCCAAGCAATAGACCAGTGGGTTTTAATGTAACAGAATATGAAAAGTTTATTGATATGCACTTAAATTCCCCATTGCAATTAACTTTTTTGAAATTATCATTTGAAGGATTTTGTAGTAGTATTAAAGACTATCCACAATTATCTGAAAACACTCCTTTCTTCAATGATGCTTCTCTTTGGGGACAGATTTTCTTATGTACTTAACCTACACAACATGTCACAGTAGATGAAAATGCAGAAGCTAATATGAGAATCCAGCTGCCAGATATTAAAGAGACTTCCAAAATATAAAATAACATTTTTCTCAAATTTTTGTTTGGGAAAACACTTATTATTTTATTAAAATGTGTTACTTACGTTAATACGTAATGGCCTTGTCATTATTATAAATTAAGTAACTCAAGTAACATATTTTAAACATTTCTCCAATTTTAATTTCTAATACAGTAGTATCAATAGATGCAATCCTCATAAACTTACATAAACAAAAGCTTTGTGGGGCTTTAAGACGAAAATATTTGAGAATCACTGGACTAGAGAAAGAGCAGCCATCAGGAGAAGTTAGAGAAACTGTTCTCTGGGACCTGCTATTTCATAATCTCCAAACACACCCTTCCTCCTCCAGCGCTTTATGACCCAGACTGAATGGTGTTGATTATTTAGAGTTGGCCAATTTACACTAGTGTTCTTCAGGTAACATTTATATTTGTGGAAATGCAATATAAAATCCTTAAATGCAGCACAACTCCTTCATAATCACAGACCTACTATTAAGTGGCAGAACTAATAACACATAGAATAAATATACGAGATTTTGCCAAGTATCAGTGGTTCTTTTCCATGTCCAAAGCCTCCCTTTTAACATTTATTATTATCATTTTCCAACCCTTCCATGGACCTAATATAATTAAAGATATTGTCTAGCAAACAAACTACATTTATTAACAGTAAATTTATTTTCCTACTTTGGATTGACTTTATGCAATGCCAGGCAAAGCAAAAACAATAGAATTTTCTGCAGTAATCACGCAATATCTGTTTAGATTTTTGAAAATTTAAACTAGGTTGTAGATTCCTCCCCACCCCATCATTACTTCCAAAAAGCACTTGGGATATAGAAACTCGAGGTTGAGATCCTCTGTGGCCTGTAGGTTTTGGTTTTGTTTGAATTTAGCTTTTGGTTTTTGGTCACTCAAATCATGACAGAAATAAGTTTTCCCATTTTTGCTCAGTGATCAGATATCTGAGAATCCAAGGTTTGAATCCCTTATACGGATACATGCAGTTTTAGGGTTTGCAGTGAGACAATGAAAAAGCCTGGGCTCTAAAATCAGAAAATGGCCTTCCAGTTAATAGCTGTGTAAATGTAGGCACGTCGATCAAGTTCACTGAACCTTAGTTTCCTTATATGTAAAATAGAGCTAATCATATCTACCTTGCTTAGCTGGTATGTGGCACAGGAAATGATAGACATTATTATTCAGCAAATAAACCAAGTTGTGCTATAAATCCATAGACTGCTTTCAATATTGAAATTATTTCATATTTTTGCCAATTTGTGGCAAAAAAATGTAAAAGACACTTTTGTGATTGGTCCTTGGTATAGTTTTGCTCCTTTAAACATGGACTAAAACTTGCCCATGCTCAGTGTGCAGGTCCTTCAACACATTTGAAGGTGAACAGTGCTGGTCCCTGACAAACTTAAAAATTGTTCAGGTTTATCTTTAGGCACAAAGAATAATCTGTGTTCTCAAATGCCATAGTGACCTCTGTCCCACGGTTCAACAGCTGTAGGGCTATCCATAGAAGCAGCTGGGCCTCTGGTTTCTCTTAGTATCATGAACCCAATATGGAAATCCTCCCCCTCAGATTTACTCACATTACTTCCCTGACCTTTCCTTCCTCTAATTCCTCCTCTCCCCTCTCAGATACAGATTTTATACTTTCCTACAAATGTTCTGACTTTAATTAGTATTCATCATTAATTTGAAGAGAGTCTATATTCTGACATCATGATATGAACTTTCCATGTTAATGAAATTTCTGACAATTTAGTGTGCTATTGAAATTCTTCCCTTCTCTAGTGGTTATGGTTGCATTTCTAAAATCTGTTATGATGTTGGAAGAATTACATTAAAAGTAGATATCATCAATGTTTTGTTCATTATTGTAATAAAATGAAAACATCTTAGTGTTGTGTTATAAATCCTATAATTAGTCTGTAATCCTTCCCTCCCTTCCAAAGGTATTTCAGGGATTAGAGTTTTTAATTGTGCGTGAGATTCATAAAGTAGGGGCACAGCCTTGTTACTACTATTACACATTTTTTTTCATTTGGATAATTTAGCCGTTATCACTTCAAAAATCTATTTAGAGATGACTATAATAGCTAGTCTCTACATTTTTACATTGGATTTTTCTTTCTTCCAAAAAAATTACTGCTCCACAAACCCCAAATATATTTTTAATTTAGGGAAAAAGTGCTTATATCTGAGAAAATGTGGATTTGGAGAATATATAGAACCTTTCCTCGGGAATTCCGAAAACTCAAGCGCTCTGGCTTACCAAGTGAAGTAGGTTTTCAGGAAATCCCAGCCCCTCAGGACTCTCGATCTGAACCAATCCCAGCTGCCATAGCTCCGCGCTCCCGGGATGGGGCTGTGTTGCCCACGCCTCGCGGCGCGGGCGGACACACACCCTGCTAGGACTAGCTCAGTCCTCCCAGTTTCCCTTCCGAGATGCCTCGGAATCTTTACCACGGTTATCAAACGATTCTGTGGATCAGTAGTTCCCAACTTCTAGGGACAGACGCCCTTTTAAAATTCAACGTAACAGACCACCACCCTCCAAACAGACTGTGATAGCCGTATTTTTAAATTCTCTACTGATTGAGAAAACTCAAAAACAATTAAAAACTCCAATAGAGCCTACAGTACTTTCAAATGACTGTATATTTTAATTATAGCATTTGCATACAACTGAGTTTATTTATCTATGCTGTACGCTAAGTTTAGGGGCAGGCTTGGTGCACAGATGGTTTCGCCCACCCTTTGCACAGGGCAAGCCCCCCCCAGGCGCCCAGGCTGGGAGGCCCAAGTCCCGGCAGCTGCTGCGGTGGACTTAGAGGCAGCAGCTCCTGCTTCTGCCCCAAACGTTCAGTGTAGTCGGATTCCCGGGGACAGCAGGGCAGTCTGCGCGCACATCCCCGGGGCATCGCAGGACACCTGCTGCCCCCTATCGGTGGTGAGAACAATAACCCGAACCCGGTTGGAATCAACTGGAAGAGGCCTTTTGAAAAAAAGAATATTCCAGGACTACGCAGTAGCCAGACGACTCTCTAAGAACATGGGTTTCCGCAGTCAGCTCCGACTGCCTCGTTTTAATGCAGTTTTTCGCCATTGTAGGAGAGCATGCTGGATCGAAGAGGACTCTGACACTGCTTCGGTGAAGGCGGGGAGTGGGGAAGGGGGGGTGTTGAAGGGGTTCAAGATACACCCAAGGGTCTATTTGTTTTCCACCTCCCTATTCAGCAACCCATCTGGTCCTTATGCAAAGCACTTGCCTTCTCCCGGGATGGGGACACACATCAGAGCACAGCGTGGTGTTTTCCCAAGCCCCCGAGGCACCTGTTCCCTCACATTACACCTTGAGGAGAGTCCAGTGACCTCTGCTGCAGAGGCGACAAAGGCTCCCTGGGAAGCCGGCCTCAGTGGTGTCCAGGAATGGCTTTCAAACAGCGTGTACTCCTGTGGTCCCTTTAATAAACATAGGACTATGCTTCAGAAAAGCAAAAATAAATGCCGAGAAGTAAAAGGAAGCTATCGGTTACCCCGTTACCTCTGAAGCCTGTATATGTGAAATTTTCTTCTGAGACCGAGCATTAAAATTTGCTTCCACTTGGACATAGCCAAGATTGCTAACAGGCTGGGAACGTGTGTGTGTGCGTGTGTGTGTGTGTGTGTGTGTTGCTACATACTCTGGGATTTCTAATTTTATTTTCATCACTTTCTCCCCGCTTATTACTACCCCCCCACCCCAATACACACACACTTGGCAGTATCCTAACTTCTTCACTCTTGTCCACATTTGTCTTGGCGCTCTGGGGAAGAAGGTAAGAATAGATAGACGAACGAAGGTGCGTGCAAGAAAGGAGGGAGGGGAGGAGGTACGGTCGGCTTGCACACCAGACTGTGCTTGTTTGAGCAGGAATAGTGGCGGGGTGTCTTCGAGAGGATAACGGAAATGCCCCACCACACGCCCACAGCGCAAGTGCCGGCGTCCCCAATCGGCCAGTGGCAGCAGCAGAACCGGGGTCCACTTGGCACCTCAGGGGCTCTCGCCCGTCCGCTCTGGGCGTCGGGCTGTCCAGTTTCCCTGGGAATCTGGGAGAGGAAGGAGGCTTAGCTAGCTCTGTTCTCCCTGCCAGTACGCTGTGGCGGCGGCCCCTGGCCAGGGCCCGGCCAACTCCCCGCTCTTGGGTGGCTGCAGGTGCCCAGTGGCCCATCCCCAGCGGGGGCGAAACGCCGAGCTGGCCGAACCTTCCACACGTCCAGCTCGGAGTGCGTCTCAGTCGCGCGGCAGAGGCCCCTGGGCCCGGGCGCTCTGGGTTCCCGCGGCCTGTGGGCGCGGTGCACAAGGGCGCGGGCGGGCGGCGGCAGCTCCCAGGCGGAAGGCGCGGCGGGGCCACGGTCACCGCCGCCGCCGCCGGGGCTCGGGCGGAAGCGCGGGCTCCGGGGGGAGGGGCTGCCGCGCCCCCGCAAGGCCCAGGGATCCCGGCCCCGAGCGGCTCCCATCCGAGCAGCAGCGGATCCCGGGCCGCCCTTACCCTCGCCGGGCAGGGATGAGCCCTGGTCAGGTTCAGCCGCAACCCCGCGCGCGGCGGGGCGAGGCCGAAGCCCACGCAGGTCCGCCCGGTGTGCGTCTTTCACTCGCACACACTGAGCCCCTTGCCAGGCGCGCAGGCCCGGGCTACGAGGCCGGCTGCTCCGCCGTCTGCCACCTCCAGGACCCAGAGCCGCCAGCCCTGGGCTCCCGGCAAGCTGTGACTTCCCGGATGGGGCCATGCTTTTCTTCCAGGACAATCGGGGCTCCTCCCCTCCCGGCGATCTTTCTAGGAGGCCACCTCCAGAGATTGCGAGGCGATTTCCTCCCTGCCGGTACCAAACTGTAACTCCTCTCGCTACAGACGCGGAGAACCAAACGCTGACTATTTGGCGAGGGACCACCACCACCCAGAAAAACACACGGTTCAGTGTGCGTTGATTGTTTGCATCAGCGAGTTCATGGCGAATAGAAGTTCTCTATTTTTGATAGCCCTGATTTTCAAGCGTTTTAAAAGTTACGTTCTGTTTTCTGCTTGGTCAACAACACGGAAAATGGAATATTGCTTTTTTTGTGATTCAAAATCAATTGTAGTTACAATGACTTTGAGAATTTCACGGCATCTTGTGAGATAAAATGGAGATGCGCACCTAGGTGAGAGTCACTGGAGTGGATTACGCAGTGGCCGGCTGGATCCGGCTAACAGTCTCTGAGGCTCATTCCTTTTCGTAATCAGCTCGCCCACTCTAGTAGGACTTTCATCTTTAAATTATTTTTTAATTATCATGAGGCTCTCAGTCTAAGATAGCAAAGATTGAGCGCCACATTTAAGCAGTTCTCTCAAACTAGCTTTACCTTTTTAGGGAAGTAATTCCTGGGCTAATCATTTCAGATCTGAGAACAAAAGAAGTTGCTAAAAAAAAAAAAACAACTTTTATTTACGCAGCAGATACTTATGGATCGTCTACCTTGCACCAAACGCGCGCGCGCACACACACACACACACACACAGTGAATACTGTGGGCTATACAAATAATATATAACATCTGTTGAATGATTAATATGTGACAGGCAATATACTTGCTACTTAAAAAGGATTCTATCATTTTACCCTCCCGGGGACATATGAAGTAGAGATATTATCATCCCTGCTTTACCTATGAGAAATATACGAGTCATGAAGTAACTTACTCTAGGTCACCCAGTTAATAAGTGGCAGGACAGGACATTACACTTTACGCCCAGTCTGATACAGAGACCTCAGCCCAACCTCTACAATGTGTCCTTCAGTCAGATCTGGGAATCTGTATATTTTGGAACCACCTTAGGTGAATGTGATAGAATTAGAACTTGAGAAGCCTTGATGTAATCAAACTTCCTCATTTTCCTGATCAGAAAACAAACTCAAAGAAGCAATTTTTCTGGAAACACACAATTGCAGAAAGAGATTCAGAGAGGCTGTTCCTGGTTTCTTGGCTAAGGTCCTTTCTACTATCCAGACTACATTGGCTCAGTCCAGGAGGAGTCAAAGAAGGTAAATAATTCAACAGTTACAAAAAGTGTACAGTCAAATCTTGATTATCCTTAGTTTCCCCTTCAAATTGCTTGCCTTCTGGATTTTTGACTGTTAATCTAGTTTCTCTCCCAGAGGGAGAGAGAAACCGTGTGAAACTCGATTATTTCATTTCTGCTCATGTTACCTGGTAAGAACGCTAATATTATAAAGGAAAATGGGGGCCAGGCATGGTGGCTCATGCTTGTAATCCCAGCACTTTGGGAGGCCAAGGCAGGAGGATAGTAGAAGTTCAAGACCAGCCTGAGCAACACAGACAATCCATCACTCCCCCCCCCGCAACCCCCAGCCCCACCCCCACCCTATCTCTGCAAAAAGAAAAAAAAATGGGCATGGTGGTGCATCCTGTAGTCCTAGCTACTCAGGAGGCTGAGGTGGGAGGATCATTTGAACCCATAAATTCATGGCTGCAGTGAGCCATGGTCATGCCACTGCACTCCGGCCTAGGTGTGGTGGTGTGCACCTGTAGTGCAGCTATTCAGGAGGCTGAGATGGGAGTGTTGCTTGAGCCCAGGAGGTCAAGGCTGCAGTGAGCCATAGTGCACCACTGTGTACCAGCCTGGGCAACAGAGAGACCCTCTCTCAAAAGAAAGAAAGAAAGAGAGAACCATGCAGACTACTGCCTTTTCTCAACAACTCTGAGCAAATTATTTCCTTTACCTAAAATCATTTGCTGATCTCCCATCCATTCTACAGGATAAAATTAAAATTAGACTTATGAAGAAGGCAGATAAAATATTACATGATATTACTACTTTTCATCACCCACAATTCTGCCTCTCATCAAACTTTAAGCAATACTAAACACGCTGTAGTCCTCTGCACATATAGTGCTGTCCCCTGCTTTGTGTTCTTGCATTATTCCCATCCTCTGCCTGGCCTTCCTTCCACACCTGTCTCTTGGAAAATGCCATTCATTTCCCAAAACTCTGCTCAGACAGCACCACACATGTGAATTTTCCTGACCCTCTGCTACCTCCCACAGAGCAATAACCTCGTGCTTGTGCAGCAGACCTCTTCTGTTCCTTACATAGTCTCTTTTATGGCTCTTAATCTGTATAATGAGTTGTTTCCATATCCTTAATCTGTATAAGGAGTTTTTCCATATCCTTCTCTTCTCACTAGAGCTCCTGAGGAATCTGTCTATGTAAACTTTGTTTAGTGTATCTGAAAACTTAGGAAAGAGGCTAAACTTACTTTAAATAGAATGTTACATTTTCAAATAATACCTTCAGTATGTTTAAAGCAATATGTCCATTTGTCATATACTACGGAATGTCAAAAAAATCTGAAAACAGAGGAAAACATAGTGTATTTATTATACTTTTTCACATTACCCCATTACTTTAAATTTAGAGGTATTTAAACTTCTGGAAACTTTTCTGGAGAATGAGGAAAAACATACTAAGCAGATTTGAAAATGTAACTAAAATAATGTTTAAATATAAGTACACACTGTTTCCTGACTTTCAGACACCTTGTAATCCGGGGACCTAACACTATGTCCCAGTTCCCAACACATAGAATCTGTTGAATTGTTCTAAACTGAACTGAGCAAATAGTTTAAATATCCATGGATCCAGGACCTTCCAGTTCTAGCTTATCACAGTTCAACCTTCTGTCTCTCCTTTTGGTGAGCTCGTATCAGCTTTAGTCACTTTGTCAATCAACCCCTGTATTTGCTCTTTCCATTTGTATTAATGCTTTTAGCTAAATTATAATTGTATGTATGCTGTTTACATTTATTAGGGAAGGAGGTCCCTACATTCTTCCCCATTGGTGACAGTACAAGTTGTTGAGGGTTAGAGACAATTAATGGAGCAATAGAGTAGATAAGGCCTTCAAAACAGCTACTGGATCATTCATTCATTTATTCAACAAATATTTTTTCAGCATCCATTATGTGTCAGACTCTGAGCCAAGGAATGGCCTCCCAGACATGTAGAGGAGTCCTGTTTTATCCAACCTCCCCACTTGTACTTATTGCACAATTTCATACTGCTAGAAGCTTATGAGTGGGCAAATGTTTTCTGTACCATCCGGGACCATGAGGGTGTCCCAAGACTAGCCACTTAAAGATTTTGCTTGAATAAATTTTCCATGTCAGGTCAACTCTTTAGTGAATAAAGCACATTGTGTATATTTATGCAAAATTCAAAAGGTAATTGATAAATATTTACAGAACCTCTGGAGCACAAATAGGTATACCCATGGACCACTTCCTTGACAAATGGTCTCAAATTAACAAACTGATCTCATATGATAAGGAATCTGCATCTCTAGAAGGGTTTATTTCGCATTTAATATAATAATACCATGACTATCTTATATGTCTGTTTATTTAGATATATTAGTAATGTTTATATGCTCACCACAAGGTAATTAGAAAGAATGCTTGTGAGATAATAGGTATAGTTTAATATACTTTTTAATATCATTAAAGTAGACTTTGTATATCACCAGGGAGGAGAATCTAGAACTCTAGATTCTTTCATTCTAAGGAAAGCAATGGGAAATATAGCAAGCTATGGAGAATTAATGAAGTCTGTAGTTCAGAGAAGAGATTATATTCTCCAACAAAAACACTTTCGGAACTTTTGGCTCAAAAAGCATTTCTTAGAGTACAGATTTGAGAAATAAGGGATATAAACATATCATTTTTTGGAAACGCAGTTTTATTTATTTATTTTTCTTTTAATCCTCATTGACACTCGGGTTGTGTCTCAATTTGCAAAGCAACCAAAAATATCCAGTCGATTATTTGAGTAATTTAGACCCCTAGATAAATTGCTTGAATTACCTCAGTAGTTATCACCATTATAATTGTATTAACTTAAATGAGGAGAGGTAACACAATATATTGGAAATATTTGGAGCCAGATGATTTGGATTCAAATCCTGACTCTTCAGTTTGCCAGCTCTATGACCTTGCATCACTTCTGTCCTTTTGTGGCTAAATCCTTTGTGAAACAGGTATATCTCTACTGCCCTGTCTACCAACAGGGGGATACTGTGAGAATCAAATGAGGTAATGGATGAGAAACTGCACTGTGAAATGCACAGCAGTGCAAATGTGTTTCTGATGTAGGTCACACAATTTTCAATTAAGAGAAATATTCCTTGAAATTTAATAAAAGGAATATCCAAATTGATTCTTGGAATCACTCACAGAATAGAATTCTCTGAATTAGATAACAAGAAACCACTTTCTCAAATATTAGTCCATTTTGTTTTGCTTTGTATTTGATCAGGAAAATGAGTTCTGATACTGCTAGAGCTGCCAAACAATTTCTACTCTGATTCCTAAACTGGTGAGGAAAGCACCAATGCAATGACAAAAAGTATCATTGACTTCTCCTGTCCTTTTACAGAATTTATTTTACTATGAGTTTGTATTATTTTTACTAATTTATTTTATAGGATTCATTATTAGTATCTATAATGATAGCTAATAAAATATTTATAAGGGGGAAATGGGAAGATGGTAATCGAAGGCTACAAAGTTGCAATTATGTTGGTTCAATAAGTCTAGAGATCTGATGTTCAGCATGAGGACTATAGTTAATGACAATGTATTGTATACAGAACTTTGCTAACAAGATTTTTAGGTATTCTTAAAAAAGTAACTATGCGAAATAATGCATATGTTAATGTCTTTGACTACAGTAAAGTAGTATGCATATAAAAATATGATGTACACTTATATATACACAATTTAAAAATTATTAATTCTATAGCCATTTATTCAAACATTTATGAGTTTATATGAAAGGCAGAGGAGAAAACTGAGAAACAAAAAAGTGTCCTATTGCTAGACCTTCACATTTGATTTTGAAACCAGTTTTCCCTAAGCAAAAAGATGCTACAAATTCATAATTTTAAACTACTGGTGCTGTTCAAACTGGAAATGAGAGGAAAATGTATTAATAAAAATAGCTGTATAAGAATTAACTAACTCATCCTAACTCAAAACAACACCCATTTCTTCCAGTTAAGTTTTCTGTTTCATTTCCCACCTCTACTTTTCCCTGTAAGTTTGGTGATTTGTGATTAAAATGGACATACTTTTCATAATAATTGCATTAACATGTCCCCGTTTTCATCTTACCTCCTAACTACTGCAGTAAACAGGAAAATTATTGCAAAATGAAAATACAAAAAACAACCTACGGTTTTTTTTTTTAAATTTATTTTGGGTAAGGAAAGGGAAAATTTGAGCATCACTTGCCAAAATAAATTACATACAAATTGTGTGTAAAATTAAGTTATTTGATTCTTTTAAAATTCTATGATGTTACAATCATCTTGAGTGAGTTACTAAACTAAGCTCCTTTCTTTTTTTTTTTTTTTTTGAGACGAAGTCTCACTTTGTCAAGTGCAGTGGCACAATCTTGGCTCACTGCAACTTCCGCCTCCCGGGTTCAAGCATTTCTCCTGCCTCAGCCTCCCGAGCAGCTGGGACTACAGGCATGCGCCACCATGCCTGGCTAATTTTATTTATTTATTTATTTTTTAGTACAGACAGGGTTTCACCATATTGGCCAGGCTGGTCTCGAACTCCTGACCTCGTGATCCACCCGCCTCAGCCTCTCAAAGTGCTGCGATTACAGGCATGAGCCACTGCACCCAGCCCTAAGCTCCTTTCTGACAGGTAAAGAAACCAGGTTTGGGCTGGGCACAGTGGTTCCTGCCTATAATCTCAGCACTTTGGGAGGTCAGTGCCAGCAGATGGCTTTCAACTCAGGAGTTCAAGTCCAGCCTGGCCAATATGATGAAATCCCATCTCTACTAAAAATACAAAAATTAGCTGAGCATAGTGGCTGGCGCCTGTAATCTCAGGTACTTGGGATGCTGAGGCAGGAGAATCACTTGAAACTGGGAGGCAGAGGTTGCGGTGTGCCAAGATTGTACCACTGCGCTCCAGCCTGGGCAACAGAGTGAGACTCCATCTCAAAAAAAACAAAAAACAAAGAAGAACAGGTTTGACATGATTTTGGATATCTCTGTAGTGGGGAGTGTAGAGTAAATAACTGGTAATTCCGATCTCTTTGCAAATAAGTGATGTTCGCTGGAGGTTTTCCTAGAAAGGCTGAGAAGTGAGTAATATTCAGTTACAGGGTTGCGAAGGTGTCCAGGGGTTTCTACTATAGGTATCTGTATGTGTGGATATGTTAAAGCGATTCCTTGGAGGCTAATGTTCAAAAACACTAGAAAACACCCACTAGAATTATTAATGACTCTTCAGTTTTATGATTGTAGTTTCCTGATTAACTTGGTAAATTAAATTGTTCTTAAGTGGACAGAATAAGAGATAGGTATATGTTTACACAAGATTGTTACAGATTACAAAAGAAGGGGTTTCACAAGGAAAGTCAGGTTAGGTATCATAAGAAAAGAAGGATGAGTAGGCAAACCCTCAGGGCACCTCCACGGCTGCAGTTCTTTTATAACTTTCTTCTATTTCTAATCTTCCTTGCAGACTAGAAGGCCTGATTTCTTGCCTTTCCTCAGTTCAGTCCTCAATGCTATTTGAGAGAGATGGCTTTGCCAGCAAGAGTTCCATAGCCACCGTGTTATCTTGAAGTCAGCAGTGTGACTAGAGGCTGGAGGCTGGAGTAGATTAACCTGATTATGGACTGGCTTGGAACACGGTGTTCCTGGCCTCAGTGCTTGGGCTTCAGCCTTCTCTCCTGACCCTGAGTGTGTAAATCTGCACAGTATGTCTTTTAGCACATAAGCTTCCAAAGAGTACACAAAATTTCTATTTTACTAACTCTGCAAAAGCTCTAAAACAGGGCTGTGACTAACCTCTTGCTGTGTTTGGGGGGACTTTTTCTACAGCATATTGATGCATAATTAGTAAAATTGAATAATAGTAAAACTTTTTTGAGCAATTACAGATTAGTAAATGATATTTGACAATTTTTCCTAACGAATTCATTTAACAATTCCTGAGCAACCACTACATACCAGGCACTGTTCTAGGCCCTGCAGTTACAGCAAAACAAAACTGACAAAGACCACAGAAGTAGAATCTACAGTGCATGAGGTGGTTATAAGTGCTGTGGACAAAAATTAAGCAGGAAGGGCAATGGGGCGGGGGCTATAATTTGTTAAAAATGGCTTCACTGAGAGGGTGAGTGACCTTTAATTAATGAACTGAAGCAGAGCCAGCTGTGTGCAGCATGGAGCGGGAGCAGGGCAGACAGGGAGAGATTGCAAGTGTCCAGCCTGTGAAGCAGGAGTGTGCCTGCCACACACAGAAGAGCAGGGAGACCAGTGTGGCTGAGAGAGGGCTGGGGAGAGGAGAAGGAGATGGGGTCAGAGGTCATGGGTGAATGGCATGGACCAGATGCACTGCGCCTTGATGCTGTTGTAAGGGCTTGGCCTTGGTTCTGGGTGAGATGGAAGGGTTCTGAGCAGAGATATGACATGAGCTGTCTTCTGTTTTATCAGGGTCACTCTGTCTGCTGTGTTGAAAATAACTAGAAAGGGACAAAGGTGGATGCTGGGAGACAGGAGCTGCTGCTGTGGTCAAGGGAGGGGTGACGGTGGATAATGGCAGCAGTGGAGGTAGTGAGGAGTAGCACAGGTATTTTGAAGGTAGAGCTGGCAGTATTTCCTGATAACTTTGATAAGGGGTATGAAAGAAAGGGAGGAGTTTAAAAAACAAACCATCAGAAAACCATAAGAAATGGAGCCTGAGCAACTGAAAGGATAGAGTTACCATTACGTGAGTTTTAGGGAAGCCTGTATGAGGAGCAGGTTTGCGGGGAAAATCAGGGCATTTTAAGTTCAAAATACCCCTATGTGTTCAAACGGAGATGCTGGATAGACAATTGGATAGTTAAGTCTGGAATTCAGAAGAAAGGTCCCAGCTGGAAATATCCATTAAGAGTTCATTTAAAGCCCTGTAAAGGAGTACAAAGGTGCTATTCAAAATAATTAACAACCAATATAGTAATGGTACTAACCAATCAAAGTACTGGAGCACAGTTCTAAAGGGTCAGGTGTCAACCTTTTAGAAATTAGATCCTTGGAAGGTCTGAGGGTCCCAGAGTGAGGCCAGAGTGGCTGGAGAGGGCAGAGGAGAGGGTGAGGAGCAGCTCTCAACTGGCCCAAAGGGCAGCATTTCCACGTTTTATCAATAGCATAGCACACCAGGACACAGCAGGTGAAAATTAGCCCCGAAGGAATACAGAACAAGAAGTCCTTCAAGGACTGAGCCCTGGGAAGTCCAATATTTAGAGGCTGGGGGAGGAGGACAGAGAGGAGACTGAGCAGAAACAGCCAGTGACATGCGGGAAATGCCAGTTGTGTGGTGTCCTAGGAGAACGGTGACTGTAAGGTCCAGTTGCCTGAGATGGTCCAAGTTGAGGCCTGTGTCTCAGCTGTACGTAGTAAGAGTACCACCCATCTTTCACTCTCGAAAGTGTCTTTATTCTGATGATAAATTACCTGGCCTTCCTACATAAAAGCCAAGTGAAAAAAGTGGTGTAAGTAGAAGGAATAATCAAGTATTTAAATGCTGCTCCTAAGACAAGTAAGAGGAGGACTGAGAAATGGTGGCTGCATTTAGTGTTATGGAGGTCACTGGGACCCTGTCAGAAAATGGCTTTAGTGCTGCGGCAGGCATGAGGACTTGAGGTCAAAGGAAAATAGGAGGAGAGGAATTGGTGACAGTAAATACAGATGCATCTCTTAAGAAGTTTTGCTGTTTAAACAACAACAACAGAAAGAGGCAGAAAATTAATGGTGAGTGGTTGGAAACAGGCTAATCAAGATAGGGTTTAGGGAGATGGGAAAATTGCAGTATGCTTGCCAACTGGGGGATACCCTAAAAGAAAGGGGTAAACTGATGCTGAATGAGAAGAAAAGACAGTGTAGTCAGGGCTATGTTATGACTTCCATGAGCCCTAGGCACTTTTGCCATCATGGGCCCATATTTAAAATATTACACATTATATAAAAGTGAATAAATTAACATATATTAAAGCATTTTCCTTGACCTAGAAGTTCTTACTTTTCTTATGATTTTAAAGGCGCCTCTAAAAGTATCATGAACCCCAGACACTGTACCTACCAGCCTGTGGATTCATCTGCCCTCAAAGTTGTTAGGTTGGTAAGAAGAGAATGGGGTTGGTGGACAAGTGGAGGGTTGGCCTGAGATGCAAGCCCTGGTTGCTCATCCACAGAACAGGACAGAGAGCAGAGTGCAGGGCACAGGTAGGTGGGTAGATACAGTGATGGGAATGGGTGCAAGGTTTTTTTGGTGTTTTTTTCTCTTGATTGTTTCTATTTTCTCAATGAAATGTAAGCACAGTCAAAAGCTGAGAGTGAGGATGGTGGAGGAGGCATGGATGTTTGAGGAGGGAGGAAAAAGTGTGAAACAGCCACCGAGGAGTGTGGCAGTCCATTCACTCGAATGGACTGGGAAAAATGGAGAAGGATTCCAGGGCAGCAACGAAAGCCCCCTGAGGTGAGGTGAGGAATTTCAAATGAGACCAGTCAGCATGAGTTGTGTGTTTTTCCTCCAGCCACATTCAGCTGCTTAGTTGCAGGGGCAGAGTAGGAGGAGAGTTGGAGTCAAGCGGGGATGGAGTTTTGCCAAGTAAGTATGACAAAGCAAGAGGTAGCTGGGCAGTAAGATGTATGCACAATGACTATAATAATGGGCCATGGAAATTAAGCTGGGTAACGATGGAAGTGGGCATATGAAGAGAGTAGGGATATTGAAATGATAGGAGGTTTGATTGTGGATCCTCGTGAGTCAAAAATAGAGTTAAGCTGTAGGGGAATTGAATTGGAAAGATGGCTAATGATGGTATGAGAGTGGGATGCCTGAAATTATGGAGGCATGTGCAGTTATTAATAGGAGGCCTACATGTAACACATGAATAGTTTTTGTTGTGCAAAAATTCAAATAACCCATTACCTCATACAACCTCCAAATATTAATATAATCACTGTTAAAGATTTGATACATGGCCGGGCATGGTGGCTCATGCCTGTAATCCCAGAACTTTGGAAGGCCGAGGTGAGCAGATCATGAGGTCAAAAGATGGAGACCATCCTGGCCAACATGGTGACACATCTCTACCAAAAATACAAAAAAATTAGCCAGGCGTGGTGGCGCGTGCCTGTAGCCCCAGCTACTCAGGAGGCTGAGGCAGGAGAATCACTTGAACCTGGGAGGCGGAGGTTGCAGTGAGCCGAGATTGCGCCATTGCACTCCAGCCTGGCGACAGAGCAAGACTCCGTCTCAAAAAAAAAAAAAAAGAAAGAATTTGATATGTGTCAAATATATATTACACACACATACACACACAAACACAAACACACACACATTTGATGCCTATATTTAATTTTTCTACATACATGGGATTATGCTATACATATTATCCCATGCCTTGTTTTTTCATTTAACAATATATTCTACAACTTTTATGATTGTTTATACAGATCTACCTCTTTCTTTAATGACTTCACTGTTTTAAGTTAAATGAACTTCCAACTGAACTGTCTATGGAATATTCTAGACATGTAGATAACAGTGGATGTGATGTGAAACTAATGATGTTCAGGCTCTGGGTCCGTCACTCTCACAGGCCCTGTCCAGGGATCCTGATTGGGGGTTAGCAACACATTCACATGGCCATAGATTTTTGTAAAATTTACAAGAGTAAGATATTTCAAATGTGATTAGTTAAGACTAGTCTCTTTCCAAATCTCCCCCATGGCACTTTCCCTGTATTGGATGCTGTTGGAGAAGTCCCTGTATTGGATGCTGTTGGAGAAGCTGTGAGCATTCAAAGTAAATATTCACTTCTAACAGAATTCATTTCTGAATAAGCATACATTTTCATACCTAATTTTGTATTCTTTTTTTAAGAGGGCTCTTTATAATTGAATAAGCTTCAGGCCCTGTAAAACTTAGATCTGCCTCTACAGGTTTAGCAATTCTTCTTTAATAGTCCGTTTCCTCAATGATGTCTAAATTCCTGGATTCCTGGCTATGTCCTGCTGCCCAAACATCTGTTGCTAAACGGTATAGCAAAAGCCTCTTCCCTGCTCCCTCTCCAAAAGCCAGGCGACTTTCACTTTCCTAGAAAAGTCATGCTCTGTAAACCTAAACCAAATTTTTGTGGCAGCAGTCCTGTACACTAACTAATTAGGATGAAGGTATTAACCTTCAAACTGATTTTACATAGTTATGAAAACATACAAATAACTCTAACTGTCTCGAATACTTTAATTTGGAGTGTTTTTTTCTATCATTGTTGCCTTAATTCTGTATCAACATAGATAATCATTAACTCAGAATTTTAGATGTACAAGATTATTTGGAGATCACTTAATCTCATCCTCTCATTTTATAGCTTTGTGAGCTGAGATGCAAAATAGGAGCTATGACTATTTACAGTTCTACTGGGAAGAATAATCATTTCTTAAGGAAGGCTCAGTCCTGAGTTAAGTGTAAGGTGAGAAGATCAAGTGAGGCACGTCCCAGCTCAGAGACAGAAAGCTGCTAACCACATACTCTTGTAAAATTCAAACACATTGTTTCTTGCTAACAGACACTAATGACTATAATAAATTAAGGAGGGTTAAGTTAAGCAATAAACAACTACATTGACACAGGGTATAAACTTGTTGTCCTAATTAATGTATTGACCAATAGATCTTTATAGGCTGAAAACCCTTGTCCTAATTCAGCCATAATACATACGTTCTTTTTCTATGTACTAGAACTGAACCGTATTCAATATTTAAACAATAGTTACACAGAGTTAGGTCTTCGAAAAACACAGAGAAGGACTCAGAATAAATCCAAGTTTTGTCACACTTTCCTCTAAGAGTAATGATACTTTGACTTACCTCATAGTATTATGAAGATTAACAAGATTATGCCTATAAATATTCTAAGCTCTTTGGATTTAAAAATTGCAGTTGGCTGGCAGTAACATTTTCTTTATGTCTAGTCTGTGTGGTTCATTTTATAATGAGATACAGCTTTAAAGTAAGGAGACTAATCTTGGACAAGCATATCCCATCAAGACTCATGTATCCAAACCTGCTTTGTCCTGCCATGTGGTCACCATGGGAAACTCTATATTTATTCTGATGAGGATTCCACTGCTTATAACATTTCCTGAACTTCTCTTTAGGCACTGCCTTGGAGTCAACTTATGAGACACAGGAGAAAAATAGCCTCCTTATTAGGGAAATTATGGAAGTACATAAAGTTCTTTAAAAAAAAAAAAACTACTACTACTCATTTACAAGGTAACTCAGTACCCTGCAAAGACAAAGTTCTATGCATCTAGCAAAGAAGCAATTGCAGAAGATGACAAATGTCAGGTTAAAATTCCTAAAGGGTTGATATAAGGTTCATCAAAAGTATTTTTAAGCATATCTATGCATATGACATTCTTCTGGAAGATAGGAAGAGGAGCTTTTTAAATATGAAAAGTCAAACATCTAGTTTTCAGTTATTTTGACAGGTCATATGTTGGCCAACAATTTTAGTAAGTGTGAACATCTGTGTAGTACGTTATAATTGTTAAAGAGTTTTTATGTACATTGGTTTATCTTCACAACAACCCTAAGATATTTCAAAGATAAATAATATTATCACCTTCATTTTACTTATATAAAAATTCAGGCTCACAAAGTTAAAAGAAAGCCCAAGTTAGTGCAACTAATAAATGAGTCTGATTTCAGACACACCTACTTCTAATTTCTCACCCTAGATTTCAACATTTTAATTTTTTTTTTTTTTTTTTTTTTGAGATGGAGTCTCACTCTGACATCCAGGCTAGAGTTCAGTGGTACTATCTCAACTCATTGCAACCTTCGCCTCTTGGGTTCAAGTGATTCTCCTGCCTCAGCCTCCCGAGTAGCTGGCACTACAGGCACGCCTCATCATACCCGGCTAATTTTTTGTATTTTTGGTAGAGACAGGGTTTTGCCATGTTGGCCAGGCTGGTCTGGAACTCCTAACCTCAGGTGATCTGCCCGCCTTGGCGTCCCAAAGTGCTAGGATTAAAGGCGTGAGCCACCACATCTGGTCAACCCTGAACGCTTTTAACATTTTAACTAATATTTTCTAAAGTGTGTTATGAAGAATTCTATACCCTCAACATGGTCTTTATAGTGGTTTTAAAATATGTCCACAAATTATTTGACATTACTCTATTCAAAAGTTACAGCCTACAAAAGGGAAAGGCAGAGAAACCTAGTTCTCCTCTTGAGCGTAGGGTGGATTTAGTGACTCATTAGTAGATGTGATCATATGTGACATCTGATACAAGGTCATAAAAGGCATTACAGCCTTCTCCTTGATGTCGTTTATATCATTCATTCTGAGGGAAAGCAGCTACCATGTCATGAGAATATTCAAGCAGCCCTATGGTGAGGGCCACATGGTGAGGAGCTGAGGCCTCCTACTAACAGCCGCATGACAGAGCCATCTTGGAAGCAGATCTTTCAGCTCTGGTCAAGCTTTCAGATGACTGAAGCCCCACATAACATCTTGATTACAATCTAAGAGAGACTCTGAACCAGAACCACCCAGTTAAGCGACTTCTAGATTCCTGATTCCCAGAAACTGTATGAGGTGATGTTTGTTGTTTGAAGCCCATAAATTGTGGGTAATTTTTCAGCAATACATAGCTGATATGGTCCTCAAACAAAGTTTGGGAAACCCTGTATTCTATAATCCTCTTAAAGATTTATAATATCTGTTAGTATATAAAGGCTCTTGAGAAGTCCTGCAGCAAAGAAACTTGTTTTTACTTTTTCATAATGCAATTCCAAGTCCCCCTTTGACAAAATATCATTCACACCCCCATGGAACTGATTTGGGATGATTTGAACTGCATCCTTATAGGTTGTTAGCAATTTCAGTTAATTGCAAATCTACAAGTAAGCATTTTGACAAAATATCAAAAACTATACTACACATCCAGTATATGTTTGAGTCTCTACTAGACATTCTACAAAGCAATGACTTGGATTCTTTCAAAATGTCAATGTCATAAAAGACAAAAATGTTTGGGAAACTGTTGTAGATTAAGAGAGACTAAGAAGGCAGGTCAACTAAATATAATGCTTGATTCTTGATTGGATTCTGGATCAGAAAAAATATATCTATAAAGTATACTATTGAGACAATTCAGAGAATTTAAATTATGGATTGTAGTTAGATAATAATAATGTATTAATGTTAAATTGTCCAAGTATAATAATTGTACTATAGTTATGTAGAAAAATATCTTTTTTCTTAGGCATGCTGAAACTGTAGGGCTAAAGAGTTAAATATCTGTAACCCTCAAATGATTCAGGAAAAAGTAGGAAAAATATCTTTTTTCTTAGGCATGCTGAAACTGTAGGGCTAAAGAGTTAAATATCTGTAACCCTCAAATGATTCAGGAAAAAGTAGGAAATATGCATTTGTGTCTGTGGGGGTTGGGGAAAGGGTGGGCAAAAGTGAGGAGAAAAATGTCAGAGTTTCTATCTAGAGTATAACTAAACAGTTAAGATGGGGGATAGGATATGAAGACCCTCTTCTAATTGCTGAATTTTGAGGTCTCTGTTCAGCAGCAGCCCCGACAGACAGATGAAGGAAGTGAAACACCTGATCCTGACTCATCCTTCAAGTTACAGAGTCAATATTTCTACCTGACCACCATATCTCAGTAGGTTCCTCTCAGTTGTTCTCATTCACAGACCACTCTGTAAATCTCATAACACTTGCTCAGTTTTAAAATTTCAAGTGGATATTTATTCTATACCTCTTTATTGCATATCTTTTTCTGCTAGATTGTATGTTCACTGGGGACATGAGTAATATCTCTTTCATTTACCACTTCTTTCAGTCCTTCACCCAAAGCCTGGCCCATAATATGCACTCACAGTGTATTTTTTTAGAGTAAATTAATGTTTTTGTCGCTCTTTTTTTCCTACTGTGTGGTGCTCGTAGGTTACCTCTCACATTCAGTAAGTGAAAAGGGCCTTTATGCTACCTGGTGGACATACACACATACCTGTCAACGTCAATGTCTCATATCATATGATGATTCCTGGTCCCCACAGCCAGATTTTTCCTAGAGGTTAGCTGAGTATCTAACCATCATCTAGCCACAATAAATGGTATGCTGGGTTGAACAGTGTTCCCCAGAAATTCATGTCCAACCAGAACCTCAGAATGCAATCTTATTTGGAAATAGGATATTTGCATGTAATTAGTTAAATTAAAATGATGTCATACTAAATTAGGGTGTGCCCCAATCCAATGACTAGTGTCCTTGTAAGAAGAAAAAAGAGAGATACAGGGACACACAGACACAGAAGGTGGAATGCCATGTGAAGAGTAGAAATTGGAGAACTGCATCTACAGGGCGAGGAACCCCAAGGGTTCCTAATAACCAGAAGGTAGGAGGAAGGAAGGAAGGATTCTTCCCTAGAGCCTTTGATGAGACCATGGCCCTGCTGACACCTTGATTTCAGACTTCTGGCCTCCAGAACTGTGAGACAATAAATTTCTGTTATTCTAAGCCACATAGTTTGTGGTCATTTGTTATGGCAGCCTAGGAGACAAATATAGATGGTGTGTATGGATATCTTAAAACTGAACTAATGTGCTAGATACAGCCTTCCTAGGTAAGCCTCCACTCTAGGTCTACTTTCCACAGTAATTAGCCCTATAAGCCTATTGCACAGAGACTGACCACAATGAAAAGAGTTTCAATAAACAAGTCCCCAGCCTATCAAATTGTTAATAGGGGTTGGCAGCTTATTTGTCATCCCTCTCAGGATATTTGCATTTTAATAAGATACTTAGACATTCAATATTCATGGAACCATTTACTCGCTAAGGTGAACTAAGTGCCCACTATGTCAGACATCGCTGTAGGTCAGCCAGAGAACTATTTCAGGACAAAAAAGTAGCCTTCCCTGAATGCTTCAAATCACACCCTAGCAATCATTCAATGAGCTTAATGCACTTATTGGATATTCTATCTGGGGAATACAATAATATGTATATTTTCTATTGAAGAAGAGGATGCTCTGTCTGGAAAAGTTATTCTCTGTGTGAGCACAGTTTGGGGAGATACAAACGAAGAATCAAGAGGAGGAAAAGCAATCATATGGCCAGTCAAGCACAGTTAGGCTAATCATTGCTGGAGAATCCCACAACACACGTTCTCTCGGCTTTACTCCTAGTTCTCTGGCCTCTTGTTCTCCTCCTTTAAATGTTCATCTCCCTCTGTCCATCCTGCAAATGTTTGTGTTCTTCACCATTTTGTTGATAGGTCTGCTATTCTACATACTCTCCCTGAATTTTTGCATCCAGTTCTATTGGTGTCAATTACCATTCAACATATGCTGATGTCTCCCCAATCTAGAACTTCCTCCTAAGCCCCGTACCAACTACTTACTAGAGAGCTCCCCTCTAGGTGTTCTATAAATATCTCAAATTTAACATTTCAAAAACTCCACCCATTGCTTTAACCATCAAATCTATTCTTCTATCCTAATCCACCATGTTTGTTACATGAGAAACCACACTGTAATTGGCTCAATAAGGTTAATATGGTATTTCCATTACTTGTTCAAAATTTAGTTCTTTTGAGCTTTAAGAGCAACCCCAATTCTAGTTTTCTGTGATTTTGAGAATAATTTCTGTTTACCCTGTCACTGATCCATATTTCTCCTTTCAGACTATAATCTTAGTTTCAAAAGTCCATCTCCATTTTTTTAAGGCTTTAAGAATTACCTTGGTCTTCTCCAACTCTTTCACAAAACAGCAGCTGAAATTTCTAACAGTAGAGTTCTGTTACCTAAATTATGACATATCAATATAATAAAAAATCATGTTATAGATGTATATTTACTAATCTAAAAATGTTTATGATTTAATATTATAAAAAGCAGGTTTTACAACTGTACAGAACATGGTAACAACTTTTGTTCCACAAAATAAGTATGATCACAATAGCCAGGTAAATATTGCAGACTGGACAATATTTACCTTTACTCTTCCTTGAAACTCCACTAAAATGACAATTCCATAAAGGAAATAAGAGAGAAACTGCAGGTAGCAGCCTTAGAAGTGAAGTCAGGGAAGATGCCTCTGAGACAACCATGCGAGAGAAGTTATCCAACAGCTGAGAATGAGCCTCTGTGTGAAGAATTGGAGAAAAGCACATCAAGACTAGGGAATAAGAGCAAAGGCCCAGAGGTGGCAAAGGGCTTTTCATTTATGATAAATTAAAACCCAGGAAGAGCCTTTGATGGGTTTTAAATTTGGGAGTGACATGATCTGATTTTTTGTTTTTTCTCTTGCTATGGCAAGGAAATCTATTAGAATTTGGCAAGACTGGCAGCAGAGGACCAATGAGGATTCCATTCCTGTTGTCCAGGTGAAAAATGATGTGATTTGGGCTAGGAGGAGGCTGCTGAGATTAAAAAATAGAAATATATTTTGGTGGTATATTTTGATGATATATTGATATGTTTGATGACAGAGATATATTTTGTGATATATCCTATTTGTTCCCTAGGACTTTAACATCCCTATCTGGATATTAAAATAAGAGAAATCAAGCATGTCATTAGCTTCCACAATGTGGCAAATACTGTGCCATCTACTGGGATGATATTTATATATTCAGGATATCTATTATGATTGGTTGAGCATCAATGGGATGCCCCTTGGTGGGGGTAGAAAACTACTTAAGAATTATATCACTTATTCTTATGTCTAGATGTATAGACTACAAATTACTTGCAAAAAAAATCCAGTTCAGAGATGAATTATTTGAAAGGAAATTCCTAGTTCTATAAATAACTAAGACACACAGTTTTAAAAGGAGACATAATACTGGCTTCTTAAAAGTGTTTTAACACAACCTACCTCACTATTTTACAAAGAGAACTTGTTCTTATAAGGCCATGGATTCATTTGCCAAAGGAATCCAGGCCTATGTGGCAAAGGGACCCACTTATTGACTCTGCTTCTTGAGACTCAGAGTTAAGTAGACTTGGGAGGGTGGACAGAGTGGTCCTGCCCCAGGCTCAGTGGCTAAAACTGTCAAGGAGGTCCCTGAAATAACCTTGAAGAATGGGCAAGTCTAGGCTGCACTGTGAAGAGTCTCAGTAGTGTGTGACTAAGGCTAGCCATAGTCACACACTTCCCAGGCTGCACTGTGAAAAGTCTCAATGGTGTGTGACTAAGGCTAGCCATGATGACATAGTGATACACAGAAGGTTTTGCTGTAGTGAATAACGACAGAATATCTGCATGCAAACTAAGAGCTATAATTTCAAAGCCCGAGTTCAGAGCCCCAGTGGTGTGCTGAGAGGCATTCAGACCAACAAGGGCATGACACAGAATAGACAAGCATCTGTTGGCCTTTGGGCACAGTCTTCAACAGTGACACTAGGTACCAGCCAGGATCAATAGCAATCCTGAGTTGATTAGTCATTACTGATCTCTTTATGCCCAGCCCTGGGAGCAGGAATGGCCCTGCCTATCAACCCATCCTCTGCAGCAAGTAAGTATATCCCTGGTATTCTTGGGAAATTGGCCAGAAGAGAGGAGAGATGAATTGGCCAGGTAGGTAGAGAAAGCTCAAGAGTGATAGTTAGGACTTCCTGCTAATAAGGCACTTAGTGGCTTGAATATGTTTCACAAATAAATACATAAAACATATCTGCTCAGATTTATATACAAATTTCAAGGGCAAATCATTCAAATGTGTATTCCTTCAAAGTTTTATACATATGAATGACTTATAAGTGCATATATGTTTAATTTCCCAAAACATTAAAAGTTATCTCTGAATGATAAAATATCTAGGCAACATATAATTTTTTTATCTTCAAAATTTTCCAAATATAAAAATGATATGTCAGAAAAAAAATAATGATGTAAGTTTTTTTTTTTTTCCTAAGGAGTGGAGGGCCACAGAGTTTAATATAGTTAGTTGAAAAACTCTGTTTTTTTTTTTTCTTGCTGAATATCTAAGGCCAGTGTGCTACCCACAGAACCCATCAGGTATGAATTTTGAGGAGTTTCCATGTCCTGGGTTCCCCTCCACTCCCAGTCCAAAGACTCCCCAGAACCAGCTGGGTAGAAGAAGACACTAATAAATATCTCAGATAAAGTTGGACCTCTGACCTTATAGAGCAGTAGTTACCATCACTTCTTGTGAGAAGTGGGAAGAGCAAGGAGAGTATAGGCTGGAAACGGCTCAGTCATCCCAGGTTACTCAAGAATATGGGTCTTAGTTATTCAGCATGCTATTACATTTATAGTATGCTTATTGACTTATTTCAGGAACAATGCTGACCTTTCAGATCGTTCTGAATGACAGTAGGCTCCTGCTATGATTTGAATGAATTCCCACAAAATTCAGATGTCACATTGGGAGGCAGGGCCTTTAAGAGGTGAGTAGGTCATGAGGGCTCCTCTCTTGTGAATGGGACTAAGACCCTTGTAAAAGTGGTTTTCATGTCAGGCACAGTGGCTCGCACCTGTAATCCCAGCACTTTGGGAGGCTGAGGCAGGCGGATCACTTGAGGTCAGGAGTTCCAGACCAGCCTAGCCAACACGGTGAAACCCCATCTCTACTAAAAATGTAATAATTAGCCGGGCATGGTGGTGCATGCCTGGAGTCCCAGCTACTCGGGAGGCTAAGGCATGCAAATCGCTTGAACCTGGGAGGCAGAGGTTGCAGTGAGCCAAGATTGTGCCACTGCGCTGCAGCCTGGACCACAGAGTGAGACTCTGTCTCATAAAAACTAAAAAAATAAAAAATAAATGAAATACAAGCCTTCAGCTTGCTTGTCCTTCTGCCTCCCACCATGTGAAGGTTCTTCCCCTCTGGAAGATGCAACAGTATGGCGCCATCTTGGAAGTAGAGAGCAACCCTTGCCAGACAACCAAACCTGCTGGCTCCTTGATCTTCGACTTAGCCTTTAGCACTGTGAGAAATACATTTCTGTTTTTTATAAGTTACCCAGCCTGTGGTATTTTGTTATAGCAGCACTTCCATAGACCATAGACCAGCCTCCCTCCACCTGGGTACATGCACCTCCATGGCAGCATTTCTGAAGGAGTCATTATAAAATCTTTATAATATTGATGCTCGTTTTCCACCAAATGGAAGTCTATAGCTTCTAGAATCTTAGTTGTATCTTGGTGACAAGCTTTTAATTCACTTTAAAAATGTTAACAACCATTTATATTATTAGCAAATCTCTTTTTAAAAGTTTCCAAATGTCTACCCCTTTTCATATAAAAAATAGGCCTTTTTTTTTCAGGAGAGAGAGGAAACTTACTTTGTTATAATACATGGCATGAGTCATGGAAAGAGCTTGAATAATTTGTAGACACGTTGCTATTGAGTCATCGTGAATGATACAAGACCACTTGAATACTGATGAAGTTAAATCCTTTATAATCATAAGAAATAAAAATACTACTACTTTTTTATTTTATAAAACTCAATTTCACTTTTAACCTAGAAGAGACACTGAGGCTAGATAGTAACAATTATCATTCATATATGAGGAAGCTTATTCCCTAAGAAGCCAAATGGGATCTTCAGCAGAGAGAAAGAAGTGGAGGTATAACATGGACTTGAACACAAGTATTACCTCTCCTTATCTAATAAATTCCTTTTTCCACCACAATAGGTAGAATATTATATTAAGAACCAAATTGTCTCAATTGTGACAAACATCTTCAAGGATCTTGTGATTCTAAATGTTTTAAGCTATATGACTGACAGGGTTTGATGGGTGCATTGGAAAGCCAGTGATTTATTATATAATTTAAGTGCCCATCTGTGCAGCTGGGCAAAGACATAGCTGATGAAAATATCAGCTGTCCAGCTGTTTTCTCTGCTCCATAAAGGTCATGAGGATTGCTTATCTGGCTGCCATCACCACTCTAACAACCCCACCTTCTGTCACAAGGATGCTTCATTTCCATACTCTCCTGAAAAAGCAATGACAACAACACTGGTCCTTAATTCTGCAGAAGATCCCAGCTACTTTCTAGGCTAGTTGCAATTTCATGATCCTTGACATTAGTTAAAGAAGTCATCCTCTCAACCTTTGTGTCACTGTGCCTCATCTTCCAGCTAGCTAGCCTGGGACATGGAGGGGCTGTGGTCTGGCCTAGTCTCCTGCATTTAATTTCTATTTCCTTACATTTGCCCTTCCAACCTTTACAACAATAAATAAATTATGCAACACCAAAAACAAGAGACGTGACGTTACCTTCCCACCTTTCAGGAGCTGCTTAGCTACTTATCTATTCTCCATGGCTCTGGGGTTATTGACAAGTGTGATGACTGTAAGAACTGCAGCAGCAAACTTAGCAATAATTTCCAATGGGTCTTGTTTTGTTTTAATATGATTCACTTGAACCATATGGGCCTTAGCAACCCTACTTACTATCCTTTCCATTGAAATAGCTACTCACTAAGTATCAGGGGTTATGGTAGATACTCTGTATATAAGTATGAACAAGAAAGAATGCTGAACAAGATAGTGAGTTGTTGACTGGTAAGTAGGATCAGAAGAAAGGACTGCAAATATATAAGCTATTTATTTAATATGCCATAGGCACAATGGGGATTCAAACTTCATACTACATTTATTGCCTACAACAGTAATTTAGACACATATCAGAAAATCAAGGAGCTGTGAGCAGGGTGACATTAAACATTAATTTCATAGCTATTGATCCTTTTATATGTCTTCCAAAGCCATAAGTAGCAATTTTGACCCAAGTGCAAACAGCAAAATAGTATCCTCAAATCAGCAGCATGGGGAAGCAAGGAGAGAGAGAGGAGGCATCCTGCAGGTATTAAGAGGCTTCCTGATCCTGACTTCTGGCCCCCAACTCCATCATCTCAGCTGGCTGCCAACAGGACTGGCCCAGGGCCCAAGACTGATTTGCCACCTTAATTTGTCAGGGGAGGCTAAGTGGCGAGTGGCTTAAAACCGTGTGCAACTTTTAAAAATCATTATTCCAAAAATATTGGCTGGGCGCGTGGCTCACACCTGTAATCCCAGCACTTTGGGAGGCCAGAGTGGGCAGATCTCTTGAGGTCAGGAGTTCAAGACCAGCCTGGCCAACATGATGAAGCCCTGTCTCAACAAAAAAATACACAAAATTAGCCGGGCATGGTGGCTTTTGCCTGTAATCCCAGCTACTTGGGAGGCTGAGGCCAGAGAATCACTTGAACCTGGGAGACTGAGGTTGCAGTGAGCCGAAATCACTCCACTGTTCTCCAACCTGGATGACAGAGTGAGACTTTGTCTCTCTCTTTCTCTCTCTCTCTCTCTCTATATATATATATATATACACACACACACATATATATACATAGGAGCCCTTTCAATATCAGTGTGTCAGGAAAAGACCTGGTTATCTCATTCTAGTTTTGAAATCTGACTTTTTACCCAAAAGCTGTTAATGCCTTGAGAACAACCTCTAAATGCTATCCATATTGTAAGTAATAAAAAATAGGACTGGTCCTATATACTATGCAAATAGTCAGCACTTCATTAACATTGAAACTCATTGCTAGCGATCATATGGATTTTCAATGATAAAGGTTCTTCTATGTAATATATTCAGAAAAAATATTTACACCATTGAGGAGATTTTAGGTAAAGTCAAGCAACAGAAGACAGCTAGATTTTATTGCAGCATTCTAGTCTCAGTTTCTCTGAACCTCTTATTTTGTGGGGAATGATACAGTTCTGGAGGCTTCTCTTCAAATTTCTCACCCATCACAATAATAATAAAAATATTTGAATAGTGTTTTAAATTTTGCAAATAATTTTCATATTAATTTGCTCATTCCACCTTCACTGATTACACAGCTAACATTCCCTTTTACAGATGATGGGGCAAAGGCTCAGAAAAGTCGTGATATACCCAAAGTCACCCTCCAAATCTCACCCTTTTTCAACTATATCCTAAAGCCGTTTATGTTCCTCTATTTTAGCTTCAGCCATATCTATTGCTCGAACTCTCATATGGGCAATTATGAATCGAAAACTGTTATAAGTAGTATCAATAAAACTAATTAAAATTAAGTTCATAATTACTTATCCTTTCTTGCCTCCTGAGTCATATGTATGAAATTATCATTCAAAGCAAAATTACTGGCATGATAATAAACACATGTGTAGCCCTAACTAGGTATTTCTTTGTTTTCAGTGTGCTAAAATTTATATTCTCACCTGACATATAAGATATGAACATAGGCTGAATTGTGTTCCTCCACCCAAATTAATATGTTGAAGTTCTAACACCCAGTACTTCAGTATGTGTCTGAAGTTTTCACTAACATGGTGGGATTTATGCTGAGCATTAAGGGTGGGTAAGGTTTTGACATAAGTAGCTAAGTAGTAGGAAAAGAAAGATACAATGAAAGTGAAAATTCATAGAGGACAACAAACAGGCAGCTTGGCTGAAGCGGAAAAAGTGATAAAACCAAGTCAATTTGGTTTCTGGGAGGAGAGAACTGAAGAGTGATGGGTAATCTCATTGTGAGAGGAGGGTGTGAGGATGAACTGGACATATTCACTAGCTTCCATTCATAAGTCAGCCTGTTACCCCATCTATAAGAACAACTCCATTCTATGCCTGTCTTAGGCATTTATTGAATCCTTTTTCAGAAATACCCAGGGAAACAAATGCTTCTTCCTGTGGCAAAGTGGCTCTCAGAATCACATGGGGACATTTATTCATTGTCCCCGTCCCAGACATAGTGAAACAGAATCTCTAGGGTCATGTGCTCAACTTTGGCTGTACATTATAAATCACCTGGGGAGCTTTAAAAAATTCTGTTGCCCAGGTTACAGTCAAAACCAATTAAATCAGACTTACTGGTGATGGGAGCTAGGCATCAGTATTTTTCTAAAGCATCTCCCGCCCCCTCCCCACCTTCCACCAGCCACAGGTGATTCCAACATGTAGCCAAGTTTTGGCTACTGCTATGCAGGTGATTCCAACATGTACCCAAGTACAGGCTACTTCTATGCAGTAGGGCCTGGCTATCTGTGCTTTTAGTAAGCCTCCTGAATGATTCTAGCCAACCCATGAAAAACATTTGATCCTCAGCACCAAGGCATCTATCTTCTATTCCTTGGTTAGCTTTCTCTAATCCCCTAACAAAAAAGAAACATGTTTCCTCTTGTTCTCCACTCTTGCCTATCAAGAAAACTTTGCACTTATTTAGCTAAACTTACTTCCCTATTTGGCAAGATAAAAAAATAGTGTTACACACAAAACATACAACATAGCATCAGGGTCCTAAAATCAACTTAACATCAAGGCCCTTTACAAGCTATACTATGTATGGATGAGTTCAAGAAGAAGAGTGTTGAAAAATAAGACACTTATGGACCAGATTGTGGAAGGACCAGTTTTTCAGCTACAGAGTCAATGGCCTTGAAAAAATAATACAGCAGGAGATTGGCAAGATCAACATAAATTTTAAGGAAACTATAAAGAAAGTAATAAAACAAAAAATGTGAGAGGCAGTGTAAAGGAGGAACAATTGAACTTGAGTGATAGTTAAGTATGTGAGAAAGTTGGGAATTAAAGACGTGATTCTGAAGTTGTAAGCCTGGGTGATAGAAAGAAATGACAGAAATGGGAAAATGAAGAGAAGGGACTGGATTTTCTAGGGGGAAAGTGGATACTATTACATTTGGGATTAAGTTTTTTAAAAAAAGAAAAAATAGGGGGAAAGTGGGGAGGGAAAGAGGACTGAATTAGGTTTTACTTGTCTGAGATAACATGGCGTTTAGAAAGCAAGGCCAGTCTAGAGACAGAGATTTCAAATCTTCTGCCAAGGAGTCTCAGGTGCAGCCAAAAGAGAATACTGGGAAAGATGAGTAGAGAACCAAAGACAGAAATTTGAGAAATTCCAGTAGAAAAGTAAGTGGAACCAATGAAGCCAAAAAAGAAACATCTATAGATCAGCAGGAGGAAAACCTGGATAAAGTCACAGAAGAAGAGAAAGGGGAAAGAGGAAGTGATCCATAGTGTGAAATGGCTAAGGAGAAGGAAGCCTAAGATAACAGATATGATAACTGCTCATTTCATAGCAGTGCCTAAGAGCTATCATTGGCTTTCCACTGCCTGCAGGTTAATATTAGCCTGACAAGAAAAGGCCTTTATAGTTGGCTCTAGTATACCTTTGTGATGCTTTATCTCCCAACTGACACTGAACTACATACTAAATATGTATTGCTACTATGTTCTCCTAAGCTTTTTTATACATGCTACTTTCTTTACTTGATGACATTTTACTCATTCCTCAGGATTCAGCTCATTATGCCAGTTCCTCCATGAATCCTGGTATACTCCTAGTCCCAATTTCAATAATGTCTAGTCAGTGCTTTGTCAATGCTAACACTTCAGTTTGTACATACCTTAACGGTAGAACTTACCACATGGCATCATCATTTTTTTACCCATCTGTTTCAGTTATCTATTGCTATGTAACAAATCATTCCAAAACATAATGACTTAAGTAATAACTAAGTTATTATTGTCTCAACATTCCATGGGTTGACTGGGATCTGCTATGTGGTTGTTCTGCTCCACGTGACATCAGCTGGAGCTACAGTCAACTTTAGGGCTCCATAAAGATGGAGCATGTAAGACAGTTCACTCATACGTCTAGGACCTTGGCTGAGATAGTTGGAGGATTGGGCTCAAGCTGGGATGTTGGTGTTGGGAAAGCTGGGCTTCTTTCTCTTCATGAGGTCTCTCCACATGTTTTTTCATGTGGTCCCTCCACCAAAGCAGCCCAACTTCTTATACAGCTGCTCAGGGTGTAAGAGCGTTCCAAAAGGAAGGAATCAGAAGCTGTCAGTCCTCTTAAAGGGGGCCCTGAACTGGCACTGTGTCACCTCCACTGCTATTAACACAAGTCGGGGCCAGGAACTGCTCAAAGGCATGAAAGGACACAGTTCCATAGGGACCACTTTGGAGCTGTCACCCTTATTAATCTGCTACTTGCTTGAAGAGCAAAGATTATATCTTTTTCATCTTTGTGGCCCAAGTACCTACTGGGGAACTTAACACATAGTGGACACCCATTAAATGATGGTTGAGTTGGATCTTG
Organism: Homo sapiens; assembly: GCF_000001405.40. NCBI lineage: Eukaryota > Metazoa > Chordata > Mammalia > Primates > Hominidae > Homo > Homo sapiens. The sequence goes on from NC_000003.12 coordinate 107,458,418, forward strand.
AGAATTGAGGAACAGGCCAAGTTAAGAAAAGTAAGGGCCAATGCCAAGTTGGGGATGGAAGTGGAAGTATCTCAATTTTCAACTTCTGGTGTTATATCAAAAGGAGGCCACACCTGCTGTCATCAATTTTTTATCTGAATTTAAAATGTTAATCTATTGAGTGGGAACATTTAAAATATGTCATAATTTGTGTAATCCTGTTTAGCGTATTAAAAAATACAGAAATGCTAAACAGGATTACACATATGGAAGTGGCCTGAGATGCTCCTGACAAGTTGAGAGTCCCCAGGAATAACCATTGTTAAGTGTACATGTGAGATAGTAACTTTTAAACTGTGTTGCTAAGAGAAACCTGAGAGTTCAGTAGAACTCCCTCAGGGACCACTTTAGAGGGAATGGGAATGAAGGGTCTGAGCTGAGCCTATGGGCCTGTGGACTCACAACCCATCCCTATCCAAACAAGGAAGCTTTTATTGATTTCACTTTTTTTTTTTTGACACAAATAAGGTTTTATTTGGAAAACAAAGGCAGGTTTTGGGTTTTTCCCCCTGCTAAATACATTGTGAAACTTACATGCTAGGAAAAAAAGAGGAGATGAATAACAAGATTAACCATGAAGACTTGGCTGGAACTGGACAGCCTAAATTGGCAGCAGGCCAGAACAGCATGGTCCTATTGGCAAGGCAAATATAAGAAGGGATTAAAATGACCAAGCTGTCTAGGGAGACAGTATGGAGGAGGGAGAGTGACATACTTTGAGTGTAGAGCCCAGATTTTAGTCCAGCTTCATCACAAACTAGCTCTATAGCCTTGGATAGGACACTTAACCTGAGTGGATCTCAGTTTCCCCATTTGCAAAACAAGGTCATTGGTCTAAATGACTTTCGAAGTCTGGGGTTCCTACTCTAAGACTCTGTGATTCCAGGGGGTTAATGTAGCAGTGCAGGTGATTGACAGTAATTTCCAGGCTTCACATTTATTCATTATTATCAGAGTAACCCCATTTTTGCATGGTATGAGGACCAGAAAAGAAAGATGAAAAGTTTAGGAGTTTGATATTGCAGTATAGAGTTCTTAGCTCAGATAATATCTGATATTAACTGGGCATTAAATACTGCTATTGTACTAAGCACTCTATCCATAACATAGCATTTAATTCTCACAACATCTCTATCAGGTAGGTACTGTTATCCCAATTATAAAGATGAATAAATTGAAGTTTAAAAGACTGTCATTTGCCTAGGGTCATACACCTAATAAGGGATACAGCAGGGGTTTAAATCCAGGGATTCAAATGCATATCTTTATTTTTTCCCCTATTCATGTAAAGTCTGCCCATATTATAAAGTCCTAAAGAACTAGGCTTCTTACCAGCTTAACTCACTTTATACAACCATAGCACATGGCTTCAGGCATGCTGGCACCTAGTGGGAATCTTTTTATAATGATGATGCCAGTAGTGTTGACAATATTAATGCTGGTTAAACAGAATTTATCTTTGAAATGCAAGTTAACAAACAGAATCTAGAATTTCAATATCAGTTCTATTCCACTGCTTGTATGTAATTCTACAGGAAACTCTACTGCTAAAAAGAAACTATGAAAGAATGGATGCATTTTCAGAGAAGTTCAAAAATTTCAAATTCTACTCTATGAATTAGGTAGATGTGTAGGTGGCAGAAGTGTCCAAAATATTTCACATTTTGGTAGCTTGTAAAATAGATAAGTTTAAAAAAACCTTATATTTGTAAAACATTACCAGACCACAGAGAAACTTCATAAATACTATTTCAGTTAATTTTCACAACCCCATGAACATTATCATCCCATTTTAGAGATCTAAAAACTGAGGTTTATATAAGTTAAATTTTTTTGCCCAGGGTGAGATAGCTAGTAAGTGGAAGCAAATTTTTATCTTTAGACTCCAAGTCCAGTGTCTTTCCATTACACTACAAGATACTTTACTAAAATGCACATTATGTATCAGTAAAATATAACAGCTATTACCTGCTAGAATAGAATTGATTAGTTTTGCCCCCTAGAGGATAAAATTATATATTTTCCAAAGATTTGGTTGCTACAGGTAACAACTTGGAGTTATAATATTAATAATATTGTATTAATATTGTATATTTATATAATAATATTGTGATATAGATGGATTAAAATATGTGGCTAACACTTTAAAAGAGGCAAATAAAAACAAAACCAAACATAAGTTTTTTTTTGAGATGGAGTCTTGCTCTGTCCCCTAGGCTGGAGTGCAATGGCGCGATCTTGGCTCACTGCAACCTCCGCCTTCCTGGTTCAAGTGATTCTCCTGCCTCAGCCTCCTGAGTAGCTGGGATAACAGACATGCATCACCACGACCAGGTAATTTTTGTATTTTTAGTAGAGACAGGGTTTCACCATGTTGGCAAGGCTGGTCTCGAACTCCTGACCTCAAGTGATCCACCTGCCTCGGCCTCCCAGAGTGCTAGGATTACAGGCATGAGCCACGGCGCCTGGCCCAAACATAAGTTTTGTTGTTGTTGTTGTTGTTGTTGTTTTAAATTAGGACTGTGAGCACAGCTAAATGCACTATTCTGTGTATATAGGACTAGGTAATGTATCGCTATTTTAATGTTTTTAGGATTTTAAACCTAACTATTATAAATCAATAGTTTATGGTTGGACTTTAAGCTACTAGGGGTTTTGATATTTAAAGAGCTTAATTTTCTTGATCACAAGGAGAAAGCTTATATGCAGTATGTTCTTTAAATCCATACAGATTTGGAGCATCCTCTGGCTCTATTGCTAACTACCTGTGTGACCTTGAAGAAATGCATTAACCTCTGTATCTATGTTTCCTCAAATTTATATGGGGCAATCATTCCTATGATTGCTTTGAAAATTAAATATGGAAGTGTCAACAAAGCATATGGTGGAGGATCTGGTGCTCAAAGAATATTAGTTATCTTCCTTAAGGAACTTGTGAGTATTGGTATATTGGGCTACAATGTGCCTGCTACAAAACCAAAACCAAAAACCCCTTCATCTCTACTTGTCTCTACTACTAATGTCAGATAGTAGACATTAATATCTGACATTAAAGAGTGAGCTATTTAGCACCCCCTCTGGTACCTTGTTCACAGCCAGGAACTTGGTAGGTGCCCAATAAATGTTAGTTGAATTAAACTGAAATCAAATTACCACATCCCCCCAGGGTCTCAAGTGTTTAATTAGAAGCCCACCATAGTCAGTATCTCATTGGCCAGTATTCGGCCAATATATAAAAGGATGTTGTCCTTGTAACATTCCTCCTTGGTCTCTGGGCCCTGCTTTTTTGTCATGGTTCATTCCAGCTGAACTAAAATTTCCCCAAACATGACTGAAGCGATGGGCCGAATCTAACAAGATTAAGTTTAATAGGGATAAATGTAAAGACTTATACTTCAGTCCAAAAAGAATCCTGTACAAGTGCTAGATGGAGAATATGGGGATTAGCAGCAACATGTGTGAAAAGGACTTAGGGGTTTTAGTTGATATTAAGCTCAATTAGTCAACAGTGTGCTTTTCCTAACAAGAAAGTTGACGTGAACTGAGCCTGCATTAACTCCTGCACCAGCCTGGCGATTACCCGACTGCACTAGTTTTCAAACTTTAGCTATATCAGAATCACCTGGCAGGCTTGTTAAAACACAGACCATGGCCCCATCCCCCAGAGTTTCTGATTCAGTAGGTCTGGGGTGGGGCCTGAGAATTTGCATTTCTAATGAGTTCCCAAATCAGTGCTAATGTTGCTGGTTCTGGGATCATACTTTGGAAATCACTGCCCTCCTTTATTTTGCCTGGTCAGGTAACACGGGTACTATTAGTAACAAAAATAGTGAAGAGACTGAAAACATAAGAGGGACAAGGAAGGAAGGAAAGAAATGAAGAGTTGTTATGTGCTATAGTGATATTAGTATGAATAATAATAATAGCTAACATTTGTTGAGAGTTTATTATGGGCTGGAAGTTCTACCAAACATATCATATGCAATTAATGACGGTAATAATAATAACTACCAACCAGATAGCACTTACTGTGTGCCAAGTTTTGTTCTATATGCTTTACATATTTCACCCTTACAACAGTCCTAAGAGGTACATATTACTATGCTCATTTTTCAGATAAGGACACTGCAGCCCAGAGAAGAAACCTGCAAAGGCCGTGTTCACACACTCACAAGAGATATGGCTGTGATTTGGATCCAGATGTGATGGGCTGACAACAAAACTCCTGTGATACCATGAAGTCTTCGGGAGGCAGAATTGAAGTGAACATGAAGTTTAGCTTAGAGAAGAAAAGAATAAATACATACAAAACATTTGATGGTGAATAAACAGAAAATGGTGTATTCAACAGAATTTGACTCAGCAATAAAAATGAACCAAACTATGGAAAACAACACCCAACAACAGGAAGAAATCTCAAAATAATTATGGTGAGTGAAAGAGGCCAGACCAAAAAAAAAAAAAAAAAAAGACTAGAAAATGTTAACTACCCAATAGTGATGAAAAACAAGCAGATCAGTGATTGCCTAGGGAGTGGAGGGAAGGGCACCCTGAAAAGAGGTAGGAAGGAAGGGATGATAAACAGGCAGAAGGAAACTTTTGAGGGTGGTGGATATATTCACTACCTTGATGGAGATGCTTGCAAGGGTGTCAAAATGCATCACATCGTATGCTTTAAACATGCACAGTTTATCGTATGTTAATTATAGTTCAATGAAGCCAAAAAACATATTTGAATTTAAATATGTTTAGTACAATCCACAAATCCTATGAAGTAGACCAGTATTATTGTTCTACTAATAACAGATTGAAAATTGTGTTCAGTATACCTATAAAACAGGTAATTTTGACAAATAGCCCCTTCAGCATATCTAATGTATACTCAATATGTCTTACCAATTTCCAAGTAGAAATTATCCATTAAGTAATAACTTAGGTTCTATTAAAACCTAATTCAATGGAAAAAACCTATTACTAAATTCTAGCTTATTAAAAACCAGTTTGGCCATAAGAGGTCACGAATTCTAAAAACTAATAATACTTAAATAAATTACTTAAAATTACTTAAGTATTAAATAATACCTAAATATATTTACAATAATAATAGTAGTAGTAGAAGTAATGCCATTTCCTTATTAAGTTTCCCATTTTAAAAAATACCTTAAAAACTCTGAAATTTTTCTTCTGAAATAAATAAGAGGATAGATAGAATTATTCTCATTTACCAGACATTAATTTTTAAATTGCCCGAAAAATGCCTTTTCTACAACTTTTTTTTCATAACTGCTTTGATAAGAAGAATCACAATCTGTTTGGAAGTTTGCTTTGCTCAATGTCATAAGTTGGTTTACAATTCAATCGAATGCCCTGGTTTGTCACAGGAGCTCACCAATAAGCAAAACAGCCAAGCCTTTTGAAGACTAATTAGAAAAAGTACAATAAAATTAATTCACACAGCACATGTGTTTTCTTAGACTTGGAAGAAATATACTGTCTGTGAGCAAAGAATTCTAATCACATTTGGAGGCACTGCTATAGAACTGTTCCTGGGATTTTTCAGGATTATTAACACATGCTGTTCTCTAATTATTTGTGATTTAGTAGACACATAAAACTCACCTGATTAAGCAATCAAAACTGAATCTACGGCAGAGGTGGGTCTCATGCCCTCTGCATCTTTATTCTAATTTCAAGACAGAACTGAAGTGTTTCTATCCCCTGACTCTATCCCTAGGGAGAACAAAGTCATACAAGTCAAAGATAAACTAAAGGATACAGCTGGGCCTCCAAGATAAGGAGGAGTAGAGTGTGGGGAAACAGGAGTAAAGACCAAGTTCTCTGGTTCAGGAAGATCGATCCTCATCCCTCTATTGCCTGGAGGGGTGGTTTGGGAAGGAGGAGAAAAGGCCTAGAGGAGATGGCTTCCACCTGCCTGGAAGGTGGCCCAGAAAGAAAAGGAGTACACAGATTCAGTTTCAGCAAGGGACAGAGATCAGGGAGGAATTTGTGAGAAAGGCCATAGTGAAATAATCATGTAAGTGCCTTTGCCATTTCTCCCTCATTCCAAACTATATGGGGGTAGATGACTGCATGAAATCTCAGAATCCCAAGACTGGGGTCTTGGCTTTTAACAACTGACAATCAAGTGGGAAGGAATGCAAGCATATACTTCTAGGATGAATTATTGAAGTTCCTTTTTTTTTTTCTTTTTTTGAGTCAGGGTCTTGCTCTGTCACCCAGGCTGGAGTGCAATGGCACAATCTCGGCTCATTGCAACCTCAACCTCCTGGGCTCAAGCGATCCTCCCACCTCAGCCTCCCAAGTAGCTGGGACCACAGATGCAAACCACAAAGCCCGACTAATTTTTTTATATTTTTGGTAGAGACGGGGTTTCCCCATGTTGCCCAGGCTGGTCTTGCACTCCTGGGTTCAAGTGATTTGCCTACCTTGGCCTCCCAGAGTACTGGGGTTATAGGCATGAACCACCACACCTGGCCCTATTATTGAGTTCTATTAAGAGCCAGCCCTACCCAAAAAATCTTTGATGTCTTCCACTGGGGGATAGATAAGGGTTCTAGTATATTAAGAAATCACAGAATAATAAGAAAAAAAAATCACAGAATCATGTTTACATAGCACCTCTATAGACTCAGTCATAATCTGGATTTCTCATGTGTGTCCAGGGATACATCATTTAATCAAGAAACACTAAGAACAAAATCTTGCGGAGAAGGATCTCAGTAACTGGTGGGTAACCAGGACTGGTTTCACAAGTGTAGGACTTATACAGTAACACCAGTAACACAGTCCCCAAGCACCTCTCCCCGACCTGCCCCACATCCCTACTTGGTTTAATGCTCTACTGTGCTAAAAAAATTCTTAATACATTTTGAACAAGGAGTTCTGCATTTTCATTTTGTATCAGGCAATAAGTTTGTAGCCAGTCCTGAGGTTAACAATGTAAGACCTGGATTACAGACCTCTCCTTTCTGGGAAATCCCTTCTGTCTGGGCACCTTATTACTAGTTGCAATATTTGTCAGATGTTTTTCAAAAGGGAACATAATTAAAATAAACTGCTACTCCCTAACCATGTGTTTTATTGTTCTTTAATAATAATTTTGGGCCGGTGTGGTGGCTCACATCTGTAATCCCAGCACTTTGGGAGGCAGAGGTGGGAGGATTACTTGAGGTCAGGAGTTCCAGACCAGCCCGGCTAACACAGTGAAACCCCATCTCTACTAAAAATACAAAAATTAGTCAGGCATGGTGGTGCATGCCTGTAATTCCAGCTATTTGGGAGGCTGAGGCAGGAGAATTGCTTAATCCCAGAAGGTGGAGGCTGCAGTGAGCTGAGATCATGCCACTGCACTCCAGCCTGGGTGACAGAGTGAGACTCTCTCTCAAAAAATTATAATAATAATTTTTAAATTTTGCAGGGTGAGCCATTAAAAGTGGCTCACACTTGTAACGCTAGCACTTTGGGAGTCCAAGGCAGGAGAATTGAGTGAATTCAGAAGTTCAAGACCAGCCTGGGCAACAGAGTGACAACTCATCTCTATTAAATTAAAAAAAAAAATCAGCCAGGCATGGTGGTGTGTGCCTATTGTCCCAGCTACTTTGGAGGCTGAGGTAGGAGGATCACTTGAACCCAGGAAATTGAAGCTGCAGTAAGCCGAGATCATGCCACTACATGCCAGCCTGGGCAAGATAGCAAGACACTGTCTCAAAAAAATAAAATAAAAATAAAAAATATTTTTGGAATCAAGCATACATTGTGTGTGAGACATCAGGTAAAGTGCTAATACTATAAAGAAACATAAATGCCAGAGATGTAATCCTAAGTATAGTTTCCTGCAGAATTTTTTTCTTTATGTACCTTTGAGTTGTATCTGTATTCCTTTTAGCAGAGTAACTGCATCTGAACAACTACATCCACAAGCTCTCTGGCCATATCTATATGCACAATCTATTCAAAAGTATTTCATCAACTTTTATCTCCATTGTAAAATTACGCAGATATTTGGATCATCCCAAGAAGTAAAGGTCTCTACATGTGAGTACAGACTGATCCCTTAATTTGTTCCTTCTTGGCTGCCAATGCCACTGGCAGAGGAACCTCTAACACTATTTTCTAAGGGACAAGGCCCAAGTGAAATTCTGATCTACCAAGACTTGCTAATTATTAAAGTAAAGCTGAAACACCACACACAGAAAGAGTTGCTTTATAAGAGCGGTAAGAATAGGTCCAGGCCATACAACACTGATTTCCACACACACACCTCTATTGTTTTGTGTTATTTTGTTTCCTTTAACTAAGCTAACTTTTAAAGGGTTATGTCTACAGCAGCCTAGCAGACACACAACTGTGTCTGTTAACAATGAATTAGATTTTCTGGTTGCAGAAAAGTTACAAGATCTGGGCCTCTTTGGGGTGAAAACACAGAGCTAAATGTGAATAAATGCTGCAGTAGAGATGATGGCCAAAAAGAATGAAGACTACACAATTAGGATATTCAGAGACTGTTAATGTGAATCACACACTCTCTCTACAAGATCTTGATTTCAATAATTGTCAAATTAATTTCATAAGTACAGTAAAACCTCATTAATTTGGATGCTCTCAACTTAAAATTTGTATAAGTAATATAATAGAACTCCGCTGGTTTATCTTTCTATAGTGGGCACAAAAATGACAGGTATAGGCCAGATGCCGTGGTTCACGCCTGTAATCCCAGCACTTTGGGAGGCTGAGGCAGGCGGATCACTTGAGGTCAGGAGTTTGAGATGAGCCTGGCCAGTATGGTGAAACCTCGTCTCTACTAAAAATAGAAAAATTAGCCTAGCGTGGTGGTGCACGCCTGTAATCCCAGCTACTCAAGAGGCTGAGGCAGGAGAATCACTTGAACAGCAGGTAGAGATTGCAGTGAGCCAAAATCGCACCACTGCACTCCAGCCCGGGCAACAAAATAAACCACCTCTTTAAAAAGAAACAATTTTAAAACACCCTCATGTGCTTTAAAATTCTTGGTTTCATTAAATAATAATTTGGGCTGGGCATAGTGGCTCACACTTGTAACAACAGCACTCTGGGAAGCCAAGGCAGAAGGATTGCGTGATGAGCTCAGGAGTTTGACACCAGTGAGGGCAACAGAGTGAGAACTCGTCTCTATTTAAAAAAAAAAAAAAAAATAGCCAGGCATGGTGGTGTGTGCCTGTTGTCCCAGTTACTTGGGAGGCTGAGGTAGGAAGATCATTTGAACCCGGAAGATTGAGGCTGCACTGAGCTGAGATCATGCCACTGCATGCCAGCCTGGGCAACAGAGCAAGACACTGTCTCAATAAAATAAAATTTAAAAAATTAATAAAACATATTTTTGGAATTGAGTATATACTGGGTGCAACACATCAGGTGAGGGGCTAGTATTATAAAAAAACATAGATCAAAGGTCTGTCTTTAGTGAGCTTAGAGGCCAGTGGGTGAAACGGGTCAGGTACATGGAAATGTGACTCTCAATACCAGGTAACTCAAAAACTATGGAATGAGGCTGGGTGTGGTGGCTCATGCCTGTAATCCCAACACTTTGGGAGGCTGAAGCAGGAGGACTGCTTGAGGCCAGGAGTTGGAGACCAGCCTGGGCAACCTAATGAGACTTTGCCTCTACTAAAAATTTAAAAATTAGCTAGGCCTGATGGTGCACACCTGTAGTCCCAGCTACTAAGGAGGCTGAGGAGGGAGGATCGCTTGAGCCCAGGAGATCAAGGTTGCAAGAGCTATGACTGCGTTGCTGCACTCCAGCCTGGACAACAGAGTGAGATCTTATCTCAACAACAACAACAACAACAACAAAAAGTATGGAATATGAAGGCTACAGATAATTTGTTCTGTTCATTAGAGCGGAGCTTCTAAAGTATGATGTGGTCATTGCTCTATAGAGAATTATTGTAAATACTTAATTTTTTTTATCTTTTTATTTTAAGTGCCATAATGCAGATTTTCCTCTTCATTGAAGCACTTACACTTAACCTTTAGTTGTTGAACGCCTACTTCGAGTAAGAGATTGTGCTAGGTATTGAAAGGAACATGCTGAGAAAGATGCTGTTTCTGATCTCAACGACTTTTCTCAAACGAGTATTGCCCACGCTAAATGAAGTTAGGAAGGGGAAAGTCTAAGTAGCCTGCTATGAGAGCACAGGGACTGTGTATTACATTAGCTTCCACCAGAAGCCAACCATGAGACAAGAATGCATGCACAAGTTGTTTATTTGGGAGGTGATCACAGACAGCACCAAAAGGGGAGTCAGGAAGTTAGACTAGCCGATAGCAAAAGGTATATTATGGAACAGATTCCTGCTGTGAGCAACTGGGGCTCAATGTTGCTGGGGAGCTCTGGGGACAGAACAGAAGATGCCTTCGTTAGCCTGAGGGGCAAGGACACTCAGGTATTTATCTTCCAGTTTGCTTCCTCCATTGGTTAAAGGCTACTCCTGAGGAATGAAAACTTCTGGCACTTGTGAGCTGCCCTGGTACCAGGTGCAAGAGGAATGTCCTCAGGCAACTGCTCACAGCTGGAAACCTAACTATGTTCCTGGAGATGATGTGCCTGGGGGAAAGGGCAGGATGCTCATTGTATCTCCCATGCAAGGGGGAAATATGATTCCAGATTTGATTATGAAAGAAGGCTGCTGGCAGAAGTGGTATTTTTAGTAGGGCCACACAAAGATGGAGGTAGTGATGGAGGAATGACAAACTCGGCTGTAGTAACTACAAGACTAAAAGCAAAGAGATGGAGAAGGGTGCATAGTCATCACTAAAAGCAAATATCCCTGCATAAACAGAGTTTAGGGTTCACAAACGAGGAGGAATAGAGGGAAATATGGCCAAAAGACAAACAGTAATCAGAAAGAGGCCTCTTTACATGTCCTGTCGAGCAACTTTAAACTCTATCCCGTAGGGTCTCTATCCTGTAGTCAAGGAGACTAAATATGTTTGATTACTGGAGTGACATGATTAAATTTTTATTTTAGCAAAATTACTCTAGAAATTTTGGCACAATGTTTCAGATGGCTTGGAGGAAGGGACAGGAGACTATCATTAGAGCCAAGGTGAGACATAATCAGTGATGGTACAAGGGCATTAACAGTGAGAACAGAGAAAGGAAATAGGTGGAAGACACTCTGAGAGATGCTCCCGGGACTGCACACCAGAAAGGAAGATGGAGAAGAAGAGGAGGGTCTCAGAAATGAAGCCCATGACTCACTGGATTGATGTTGTCTTAAACTGAGGTAATATATTATAGCAGGAAGAAGAGAATTTGTGGTTGGGGTTTGGATCTGTTGAATGCAAGGCGGACTATTAATCTGGAGAAGTCTGGCAGGTAAGGTGTATCCAGAGAGCCAGAGCCAGAGGTATACATTTGGGATGCATCCAAACAAACTGACCAAGGAAAAGGATAAAATGAGACAGCTTCAGTTTGGTATTCCCCCATTATTAATTCCGAATTAATAATGTTTTTCCATAAATATAACTTGGAACAATCATTTCAGGATACTCACTAATTGGGATATAGAATTTCCTTTTCTAATTTTTGTTTTAAGGAGGAGGGCTGGCAAGATGGCCAAATAGGAACAGTTCCGGTCTGCAGCTCCCAGCAAGATCAACACAGAAGGCAGGTGATTTCTGCATTTCCAACTGAGGAACCAGGCTCATCTCACTGGGACTGGTTAGACAGCGAGTGCAGCCCACAGAGGGTGAGCAGAAGAAGGGTGGGGCGTTGCCTCACCCAGGAAGCACAAGGGGTCAAGGAACTCCCTCCCCTAGCCAAGGGAAGCCGTGAGGGACTGCACCATGAGGAATGGTGCATTCCGGCCCAGATACTATGCTTTTCCCACGGTCTTTGCAACTCGCAGACCAGGAGATTCCCTCGGGAGCCTACACCACCAATGCCCTGGGTTTCAAGCACAAAACTGGGCAGCTGTTTGGGCAGACACCGAGCTAGCTGCAAGAGTTTTTTTTTTCATATCCCAGTGGCACCTGGAACACCAGTGAGACAGAACTGTTCACTCCTCTGGAAAGGGGGCTGAAGCCAGTGAGCCAACTGGTCTAGCTCAGTGGATCCCACTCCCACGGAGCCCAGCAAGCTAAGATCCACTGGCTTGAAATTCTTGCTGCCAGCACAGCAGTCTGAAGTCGACCTGGGACACTCCAGCTTGGTGGGGGGGCAGGGCGTCCACCATTACTGAGGCTTGAGTAGGCGGTTTTCCCCTCACAGTGTAAACAAAGCCACCAGGAAGCTCGAACTGGGTGGAGCCCACTGCAGCTCGGCAAAGCCGTTGTAGCCGGACTGCCTCTCTAGATTCCTCCTCTCTGGGAAAGGCATCTCTGAAAGAAAGGCAGCAGCCCCAGTCAGGGGCTTATAGATAAAACTCCCATCTCCCTGGGACAGAGCACCTGGGGAAAGGTGCAGCTGTAGGCGCAGCTTCAGCAGACTTAAACGTTCCTGCCTGCCAGCTCTGAAGAAGGCAGCGGGTCTCCTAGCACAGCCTTCAAGCTCTGCTAAGGGACAGACTGCCTCCTCAAGTGGGTCCCTGACCCCCATGTCTCCAGACTGCGAGACACCTCTCAGCAAGAGTCAACAGACACTTCATACAGAAGCGCTCTGGCTGGCATCTGGCAGGTGCCCCTCTGGGATGGAGCTTCCAGAGGAAGGGACAGGCAGCAATCTTTGCTGTTCTGCAGCCTTTGCTGGTGATACCCAGGCAAACAGGGTCTGGAGTGGACCTCCAGCAAACTCCAGTAGACCTGCAGCAGAGGGGCCTGACTGTTAGAAGGAAAACTAACAAACTGAAAAGAATAGCATCAGCATCAACAAAAAGGATGTCCACCCAGAAACTGCACTCAAAGGTCACAAACATCAAAGAACAAAAGTAGATAAATCCAAGAAGATGAGGAAAAACCAGCACAAAAAGGTTTAACATTCCAAAAACCAGAAAGCCTCTTCTCCAAAGGATCACAACTCCTCATCAGCAAGGGAACAAAACTGGACAGAGAATGAGTTTGACAAATTGACAGAAGTAGGCTTCAGAAGGTGGGTAAGAACAAACTCCTCTGAGCTAAAGGAGCATATTCTAATGCAATGCAAGGAAGCTAAGAACCTTGAAAAAAGGTTAGAGGAATTGCTAACTAGAATAACCAGTGTAGAGAAGAGCATAAATGACCTGATGGAGCTGAAAAACACAGCACAAGAACTTCGTGAAGCATACACAAGTATCAATAACTGAATCGATCAAGCAGAAGAAAGGATATCAGAGACTGAAGATCAACATAATGAAATAAAGCATGAAGAGAAGATTAGAAAAGAAAAATGAAAAGGAACAAACAAAGCCTCCCAGAAATGTGGTACTATGTGAAAAGACCAAACCTACATTTGATTGGTGTACCTGAAAGTGATGGGGAGAATGGAACCAAGTTGGAAAACACTCTGCAGGATATTATCCAGGAGAAATTCCCCAACCTAGCAAGACAGGCCAACATTCAAATTCAGGAAATACAGAGAACACCACAAAGATACTCCTCGAGAAGAGCAACCCCAAGACACATAATTGTCAGATTCACTAAGGTTGAAGTGAAGGAAAAAATGTTAAGGGCAGCCAGAGAGAAAGGTGGGGTTACCCACAAAGGGAAGCCCATCAGACTAACAGCAGATCTCTCTGCAGAAACCCTACAAGCCAGAAGAGAGTGGGGGCCAATATTCAACAGTCTTAAATAAAAGAATTTCAACCCAGAATTTCATATCCAGCCAAACTAAGCTTCATTAGCAAAAGAGAAATAAAATCCTTTACAGACAAGCAAATGCTGAGAGATTTTGTCACCACTAGGCCTGCCTTACAAGAGCTCCTGAGGGAAGCACTAAACATGGAAAGGAACAACCGGTACCAGCCACTGCAAAAACATATCAATTTGTAAAGACCATTGACACTATGAAGGAACTGTATCAACTAACAGGGAAAATAACCAGCTAGCATCATAATGACTGGATCAATTTCACACATAACAATATTAACTTTAAATGTAAATGGGCTAAATGCCCCAATTAAAAAGACACAGACTGGCAAATTGGATAAAGAGTCAAGACCCATTGGTGTGCTATATTCAGAAGACCCATCTCATATGCAAAGACACACATAGGCTCAAAATAAAGGGATGGAGAAAGATCTACCAAGCAAATGAAAAGCAAAAAAAAAAAGCAGGGGTTGCAATCCTAGTCTCTGATAAAATAGACTTTGAACCAACAAAACTCAAAAAAGACAAGAAGGGCATTACATAATGGTAAAGGAATCAATGCAACAAGAAGACCTAACTACCCTAAATATATATGCACCCAATACAGGAGTGCTCAGATTCATAAAGCAAGTTCTTAGAGACCTACAAAGAGACTTAGACTCTCACACAATAATACTGGGAGACTTTAACACCCCACTGTCAATATTAGAGAAATCAATGAGACAGAAAATTAACAAGAATATCCAGGACTTGAACTCAGCTCTGGACCAAGCAGACCTAATAGACATGTACAGAACTCTCCATCCCAAATCAACAGAATATACATTTTTCTCAGCACCACATCACACTTATTCTAAAATTGACCACATAATTGGAAGTAAAACACTCCTCAGCAAATGCAAAAGAACAGAAATCATAACAAACAGTCTCTCAGATCACACTGCAATCAAATTAGAACTCAGGATTAAGAAACTCATTCAAAACTGCACAACTATATGGAAACTGAACAACCTGCTCCTGAATGACTACTAGGTAAATAATAAAATAAAGGCAGAAATGAATAAGTTCTTCAAAACCAATGAGAACAAAGACACAACATGCCAGAATCTCTGGGACACAGCTAAAGCAGTGTTTAGAGGGAAATTTATAGCACTAAATGCCCACAGGAGAAAGCAGGAAAGATCTAAATTCAACAACCTAACATCACAATTAAAAGAACTAGAGAGGCAAGAGCAAACAAATTCAAAAGCTAGCAGAAGACAAGAAATAACTAAGATCAGAGCAGAACTGAAGGGGATAGAGACACGAAAAACCTTTCAAAAAAAAATCAATGAATCCAGGAGCTGGTTTTTTTGAAAAGATTAACAAAATAGATAGACCACTAGCCAGACTAATGAAGAAAAGAGAGAAGAATCAAATAGAAACAAACAAAAAAAATGATAAAGGGGATATCACCACTGATCCCACAGAAATGCAAACCACCATCAGAGAATACTATAAACACCTCTACACAAATAAACTAGGCAATCCAGAAGAAATGAATAAATTCCTGGACATATACACCCTCCCAAGACTAAACCAGGAAGAAGTCAAATCCCTGAATAGACCAATAATAAGTTCTGAAATTGAAGCAGTAATTAGCCTACTGGCCAAAAAAAGCCCAGGACCAGACGGATTCACAGCCAAATTCTACCAGAGGTACAAAGTGGAGCTGGTATCATTCCTTCTGAAACTATTCCAAACAGAAAAAGAGGGACTCCTCCCTAACTCATTTTATGAGGCCAGCATCATCCTAATGCCAAAACCTAGCACAGACACAACAAAAAAAAGAAAATTTCAGGCCAATATCCCTGATGAATATCGATGCACAAATCCTCAATAAAATACTGGCAAACCGAATCCAGCAGCACATCAAAAAGCTTATCCACCACAATCAAGTCGGCTTCATCCCTGGGATGCAAGGCTGGTTCAACATACGCAAATCAGTAAATGCAATCCATCACATAAACAGAACCAATGACAAAAACCACATAATTATCTCAATAGATGCAGAAAAGGCCTTCGATAAAATCCAACACCGCTTCATCCTAAAAACTCTCAATAAATTAGGTATTGATAGAATGTATCTCAAAATAAGAGCTACTTATGACAAACCTACAGCCAATATCATACTGAATGGACAAAAGCTGGAAGCATTCCCTTTGAAAACTGGCACAAGACAAGGATGCTCTCTCTCACCACTCCTATTCAACGTAGTATCAGAAGTTCTGGCCGATGCAATCAGGCAAGAGAAAGAAATAAAGGGTATTCAAATAGGAAGAGAGGAAGTCAAATTGTCTCTGTTTGCAGATGTCATGACTGTATATTTAGAAAACCCCACTGTCTCAGCCCAAAATCTCCTTAAGCTGATAAGCAACTTCAGCAAAGTCTCAGGATACAAAGTCAATGTGCAAAAATCACAAGCATTCCTATACACCAATAATAGACAAACAGGGAGCCAAATCATGAGTGGACTCCCATTCACAATTGCTACAAAGAGAATAAAATACCTAGGAATATGACTTACAAGGGATGTGAAGGACCTCTTCAAGGAGAATTACAAAGCACTGCTCAAGGAAATAAGAGAGGACACAAACAAATGAAAAAACATTCCATGCTCATGGATAAGAAAAATCAATATCATGAAAATAGCCATACTGCCCAAGGTAATTTATAGATTTAATGTTATCCCATCAAGCTACCACTGACTTTCTTCACAGAATTGGAAAAAATGATTTTAAACTTCACATGGACTCCCAAAAACAGACCGTATAACCAAGACAATCCTAAGTAAAAAGAACAAAGCTGGAGGCATTACGCTACCTGACTTCAAACTATACTACAAGGCTACAGTAACCAAAACAGCATGGTACTGGTACCAAAACAGATATATAGACAAATGGAACAGAATAGAGGCCTCAGAAATAACACCACACATCTACAGCCATCTGATCTTCGACAAACCTGACAAAAACAAGCAATGGGGAAAGGATTCCCTGTTTAATAAATGGTGCTGGGAAAACTGGCTAGCCATATATAGAAAGCTGAAACTTTCCTTACACCATATACAAAAATTAACTCAAGATGGATTAAAGACTTAAATGTAACACCTAACACCATAAAAACCCTAGAAGAAAACCTAGGCAATATCATTCAGGACATAGGCATGGGCAAAGACTTCATGACTAAAACACCAAAAGCAATGGCAACAAAAGTCAAAATGGACAAATGGGATTGAATTAAACTAAAAATCTTCTGCACAGCAACAGAAACTATCATCAGAGTGAACAGGCAACCTACAGAATGAGAGAAAATCTTTGCAATCTATCCATCTGACAAAGGGCTAATATCCAGAATCTACAAAGAACTTAAACAAATTTACAAGAAACAAACAAATAGCCCCATCAAAAAGTGGGCAAAGGATATGAACAGATACTTCTCAAAAGAAGACATTTATGCAGCCAAAAGATACATGAAAAAATGCTCATCACCACTGGCCATCAGAGAAATGCAAATCAAAACCACAATGAGATACTATCTCATACCAGTTAGAATGGCAATCATTAAAAAGTCAGGAAACCACAGATGCTGGAGAGGATGTGGAGAAATAGGAATGCTTTTACACTGTTGGTGGGAGTGTAAATTAGTTCAACTATTGCGGAAGACAGTGTGGCGTTTCCTCAAGGATCTAGAACTAGAAATACCATTTGACCCAGCCATCCCATTACTGGGTATATAACCAAAGGATTATAAATCATGCTACTATAAAGATACATGCACACGTATGTTTATTGCGGTACTATTCACAATAGCAAAGACTTGGAACCAACCCAAATGTCCATCAATGATAGACTGGATTAAGAAAATGTGGCACACATACACCATGGAATACTACTATGCAGCCATAAAAAGGGATGAGTTCATGTTCTTTGCAGGGACATGGATGAAGCTGGAAACCATCATTCTCAGCAAACTATCACAAGGACAGAAAACCAAACACCACATTTCCTCACTCATAGGTGGATGTTGAACAACAAGAACACATGGACACAGGGCAGGGAACGTCACACACTGGGCTGGGGGAGGGATAGCATTAGGAGAAATACCAAATGTGAATGACGAGTTGATGGATGCAGCAAACCAACATGGCACATGTAGACCTACGTAACAAACCTGCACATTGTGCACATGTACCCTAGAACTTAAAGTATACATATTAAAAAAAAGAACATTAGGTCAATGGAGAACAATATTTCTCCTATATCATCATCATAATCATCACCATTATCATCACCACCATTGATAAAGGCCAGGCTAAAAGACATGGCTTAGATGAGGAGCAACAATGGGCATTGTAATGCTAAACCCTACAATTGAACAAATTTATCCACCAAGTCATATGCAAAAGAAGACAACTACAGACCTCTCCAGGTGAGAATTCACCTTGTGAAACAACTTCAGGCATGGAAAAGCTGACCAGAATTCATACACCCAGCAATTTATTCTCAAGAGTAAAAGAGAAGGGATAGAGCCATGAATGTTCAGTTCCACATCCCATACTCACCAACAAATTATTTAACTCACTTATACATATGGATGCCCCATATCCTGAAAACTGAATTTAAATAAATTTCTTCCTTCTTTGTCACGTCCCTCCTCCACCACCTATAAAGTCATAGTCCAAGGACTTAAGGAGAGTTGGAAAATAGAATATAGAGTTAGAGAAGTCTTCAGAGATCACTCAGCCTGCCTCATCAGTGCAGGAAGGTGAAGTGACTTGTCCAAGGTCACACAGTTAATTAGTGGAAAATCTTAGGCTAGTATCCCTTAGTTCATAGAGATCTTGGAAAATATGCTGTTACTTGATTCCATAATTTTTTACACCACTCAGAGGTGCCTTTGAGAAGAAACATCAGCCAGATGGTGATAACTTTTTCAAAGAATCTCTAACCCAGAGAGGGAACTTAATGAAGCAGCAGTCTTTCACATGGCCCTTATTTATCCTAATCTGAGCAATGTCTTCTGAGGCCACTAGCTGTGTTCCTTCTCCTACTCTGGAAAGTCCATGTCTTTCTACCCAGAAAATGACAAAAGACTGACTCTGTCCATTGCTTCTGGGGAACCACCTCCCAACTAGAACAGGACTTGACACATAGCAGGCACTCAAGAGATGGTGAGTGATGAATGAATAAACAGGTTTTCCTCTCATTCAGAGGGGGTATGAGATGAAAAAAGTCAGTGCTATTCCAGTTAAGGCAATAAAGAAACACAATCAAGAAATGCATCAATTTACTAAACCCTGCCAAAAATATTTTCTAAACATTTTGGCCTGAAATGAATCCAATTATTAACAATTATCATTCGAATTGACTTAAGTGGAAAGAATGGAAAGGAAAACCCAGAGTAAAGAAACAGTGGGAGACAGATGCAAGTAAAAAAATTAAAAAGTATTACGGAACCACAATATTTATGAGGGACAGTCCTAAGAATCCCATGATTTCCCAGATTGATAAGGGAACAGTGAGCACTAAACCAAGTTCACTCCTGAGTAAAATGCCTCACTTCTGAATACCAGCCCCAGAGCATTTAAGATTTGTATTATGCCAGGAACTTTATGTATCCTATTCTATTTTAACCTTACAATCATCTACCATGAGGTATGCATCACAGACTCCATCATATGAGGACATTATGCTAAATGAAATAAGTCAGACATAGAAAGAAAAATATTGCATGATCTCACTTATATGTGGAATCTAAAAAAAATAATAATATATAGAGAGAATAAAACAGAGGTTACTGGCAGAGGAAATGGGGCAATGTAGGTCAGAGTATACAAAGTAGCAGATATGTAGGATGAACAGGTCCAGACATCTAGTGTACAATATGAGGACTACAATTAATAAAATTATACTGTATTTGGGATTTCTGCTAAGTTAGTATATTTTAGCTGCTCTTACCACAAAAATGTAAGTAACTATGTGAGATGATGAATATATTAATATTAGTTGGCTTCATTACAGTAACCATTTTACTATGTATCGGTATCCCATGACATCATGCTGTACACCTTAAATATACACAATACAATTTATTTAAAATAACAAACTCCACCATATACTATACATGTTAGGAACCTTCACAAATGTTAAATTGCTAGATACCAAACTTGTGCTATATAAATGTTTAAGTTTACTTCCTTCTCTCTCTCTCCTTTGGCTAAAAATTTTCCTCTTGCTCATTCACATGTAAATCCATTGATTTAAAAGTATTTATTAAGTAATAGATGGGAAAATAGATTAGTATATATGAGCAATGAACAATTTGTAATAAAATTAAGAATACAATGCTATTCAAAATAGCATCACAAGGAATAAAATACTAAGGAATAAATTTGACAAAAGAAATGCAAGATTTATACACTGAAAATTACAAAACTTTGAGGAAGCTAAAGAAGATATAAAGGCCGGGTGGGGTGGTTTACACCTGTAATCCCAGCACTTTGGGAGGCTGAGGTGGGTGGATCACGAGGTCAGGAGATTGAGACCATCCTGGCTAACGTGGTAAAACCCCGTCTCTACTAAAAAATACAAAAAATTAGCCAGGCGTGGTGGCACGCACCTGTAATCCCAGCTACTCAGGAGGCTGAGGCAGGAGAATGGCGTGAACCCAGGAGGCGGAGCTTGCAGTGAGCCGAGATCGTGCCACTGCACACCAGCCTGGGCAACAGAACGAGACTCTGTCTCAAAAAAAAAGAAGATCTAAATAAATGGAGAAACATTCCATATTTATGGAATGGGAGATTCAGTATTGTTAATATGACAATTCTCCCCAGCCTGATCTATACATTGCATGCAAATTTCAGTATGCATTTTTGAAGATATCATCAAGCACAGCCAAACATTTATGTGGAAATGCAAAATACCTAGCACAGCTGAAACAATTTTGAAAAAGAACAAGGTTGAAGGACTTTCACATCTTCATGTAGAAACTTATTATAAAGTCACAGTTGTAAAGACAGTAGGACTAGGATCAAGATAAACATATACATCTGGAACAGAATTGAGAATCCAGAAATAAATCTCTATATTTTAAGTCAATTGAGTTTTGGCAAAGGTGTCAAGGCAATTCACTGGGCAAAAGATTACATTTAACAAATGGTGCTGGGACCAGATGCAAACCAGATGCAAAAAAGATGAACTTAGATCCTCACCTCACACCATATACAAAAATTATTATGGATTATAGATTTAAATGTAAGAGCTAAAAATACAACTTTTAGAATAAAATATAGGAGAAAATCTTCAAGACCTTGGATTAGGCAAAGATTTCTTAGATATGACACTAAAAGCACAGTCATTACAAGAAAAAAATTGAAAAATTAGACCTCATCAAAATTTAAAACGTTTGCACTTCAAAATACATCATAACAAAAATAAACAGACAAGCAACAGACTGGGGGGAAATGTTTGCAAAACTCATGTCAAAATAAAGGACTTGTAACTAGAAGATATGAAGAATACTTACAACTCAATAAGACAAAAAACCGAATCAAACCATGGGCAAAAGACATGAACAGAGATATATGAATAGCTAATAAGCATATGAAAAGATGCTCAACATCATTACTCATTAGGCTAATACAAATGAAAACCACAGTGAGACACCATATCACATTCACTAGAATGGCTAGCAGACAGACAGTAATAAATGTTGGTGAGCAGGTGGAGAAAAAGGAACTCTCAACCATTGCTAGCGAGAATATAAATTATATAGCCACTTTAAAAAATGATTTGCCAGTTTCTCAAAAAGTTAAACATAAAACTACCATACAACCAAGCGATTCTACTTCTAGGTATCTACCCAAGATAAATGAGAACATATGTTCACATGAAAACTTTCACCAGAGTGTTTATGCCAGCATATATTAAAGACAACCCAAATGTCCATCAATTGGTGAATGTATAGACAAACTGTGGCATATCATTACAATGGAATATTATTTAGCAAAAAAAGGGAACAGACTAAGCTAGGTGCAGTGGAGTACCTGTAATTTCAGCTACTCAGGAGGCTGAGGTGGGAGCACTGCTTGAGACTGGGAGTTCAAGACCAGCCTGGGCAAAAGAGCAAAACCCTGTCTCAAAAAAAAAACAAAGCAAAACAAAAAACAGACCATTGACACAAGCTACATGGTGAATGAACCTCAAAAACATTGTATAAAGTAAAATAAGCAAGACACAAGAGACCATACATTGAATGACCCCATTCATCTAAAATGGTTTCTCAAAAAGATACATTTATAGAGAAAGAAAGTAGAATAGTGGTTAATTGGGAGTAGGGTTATATGAGCTGTGACTATAAATGAGCATAATGGATCCAATTCGGGGACAAAAATGTTATAAAACTGATTTATGGTGATGGTGGTACCACTTGGTAAAGTTACTAAAAATCATTAAATGGTATGTTTGGAATAGGTGAATATGTAAAATATACCTCAATAAAGTTGCTAAAAAAAAAACCCTAAATTTTAAAATAAATTATTAAAAGCTAACTTATCTTTGATTTTAGATCTAATGTACATTATTTGCTCAAGTTCAAACCTTACTTATTTTTATATTTTATTTTTAGAGACAGGATTGCCCTCTGTCATCAAGGCTGGAATGCAGTGGGTGATCATGGTTCACGGTAGCCTTGACCTCCTGGGCTCAAGGGGTCCTCCCACCTCAGCTTCCCAAGTAGCTGGACTACAGGCACATATCACACTCGACTAATTTCTTTTTTATTTTTTTGCAGTAACAGGGGTCCTGATATGTTGCCCAGAATGGTCTCAAACTCTTGGACTCAAGCAATCCTACCACCACGGCCTCCCAAAGTGCTGGGATTACAGGCATGAGCCACTGTGCCTGGCCAAATTCAAAGATTAAAGTCATTTTTGAAGCATTCCTCCTCTTCTTGGCCATACAGATGAGGCACCAAGGCCTTCTTTATTCTTCCTGTAAATTCTATTGCATGAAACCATTTCTTTCTTTTCCTCTCTAAAAAAAAAAACCATATTATTCATTCAGGTTTTCCTTATTTACCTTATCTAATTTTATTATAATTGTAGGTGGCTTCCCTATTTTTACTTACTTCCTACAGGTTATATAGCATTAATTACTAGATTAATCTTCTAGTGACATTGGTTTCATCAGGTGGCACTTTAACTCCAGACCTCTAATTGTTCTCATTGCAGGCACTATACTGTGTGTGATGGTTAATTTTAGGTGTCAACTTGACTGGCTAAAAAGATACTCATTTAACTTGGTAAAGCATTATTCCTTGGGATGTCTGTGAGGGTGTTTCCAGAAGAGATTAGCATTTAAATCAGTAGACTGAGTTAAAAAGATCCCTCACCAATGTGGGTGGGTAGCATCCAATCACTGAAAGCCTGGATAGAACAAAAAGGCAGAAGAACAAATTTGCTTTCTCTTCTGGAGCTGAAACATTCATCGTCTCCTGCCCTCAAACATCAGAGCTCCCCAGGATCTCAGGTTTACACCATTGACTCCCCAGTTCTCAGCCCTTCAAACACAGACTGAATGACACCATTGGCTTTCCTGGTTCTCCAGTTTGCAGACAGCAGACTGTGGGACTTATCAGCCTCCACAACTGTATGAACCAATTCCCATAATAAATCTCCTCATAGATCTCTATATATACCCTGTTAATTCCACATCTCTGGAGAACTCTCACTAATATGACGTGCAAACAATAGCCTTCCTGTTTGGACCCACACTATAGTTCCAGATTTGTTTTTCACTCAATACAATTCATTTACTCTATCAGATTGGTTTCCATATTGTCCCCTGTATTAGTTTCTTAAGGCTACTGTAATAAATGACTACAAACTAGGTAGCTTAAAGCAAGTTATTTGTTCTCTTACAGTTCTGGAGGCCAGAATTCTGAAATTGAGGTGTCAGCAGCTGTTCCGTCTGAAGGGTCTAGAGAGAATCCTTCACTGCTTCTTCCAGCTTCTGGTGGCTGCAGGCAATCCTGGTGTTCCTTGGCTGGAAGGCACATCACTCCAAACTCTGCCGCTGTCTTCACATGGCCTTCTTCCTGTCTGTCTTCTCTTCTAAGGACTTAGGACCCACTCTAATCCAGGATGCTCTCATCTCAAGATCCTTAACTCGATTACAGCTGCAAAGACCTTTTTTCCAAATAAAGTCACCTTCACAGATTCCAGGTGGACCTGTCTTTTGGGAGGCCACCATACAATCTACTGCCTCCCCCAAGCACCCTATGTCCTTTTATACCTTTGGCTCTGTTGTTTCCACATTAAAAATTTCTTTTTCATTCTCTTTTCAAAATACTGCCCAGATTGTCTGTCCAGCTAGCAAAGCCTCTCCTAGTCAGAACACCCTGTATTCGTTTCTCCTTTTTCTGAACTCTATCGCACTCACTGTTCCGTACATTTCTGCATTGTTTATGATCATGTTTGTAGGTCCTGCTTGCCAACCAGATTTTAATCTCTTGTAAGAGGATCTCAAACTCTAAAACAGTGTTTCTCAACTTTGGCTGAATATCAGAATCATCTGGGGATCTTTAAAAAGACCACCCCAGAGGTTCTAATTTAACTGGTCTGGTTGTGTGTCCCCGGCATGGGTGTTTTTTTAAAGCTTCCTTATTTCACTCTAATATGGATCCAAGATTGAGAACCCACGGGTTTAAAGCATTCTCAATGGGGAGGGCTAAAATTGTTTCTTGGTGGGGAGGCCGTACAAAAATCTTAGTAACCATGTTTTTGTTTGTTTGTTGTGAGACAGAGTCTCGCTCTGTCGCCCAGGCTGGAGTGCAATAGTAACCATGGTTTTGTCAGCCTTCAAATGGCCAAAGTACATAAACAGATATATGGTACCATATATCTATGCCATTCAAATTTAATAAGCAAATTTCATGAGGGGGGTGGCAATCAGAGGAAAAAAATCTTATTGGGGGGAAATAATGAAAGGCTTAGAAACACTACCCTAAAGTATATCAAAATCATTTGTGGAGCTTGATAAAATGCACATGGCCAAGCCTCCAGAGATTCTGAGTCAGGAGTTTGGGCTGTGGACCTGAATTCTATATATTTCATAACTAATATTTATCACATGCTAACTATATAGTAAGTACTGTCCTGAAAGCACCCATATATGATCTTCACTTTACGGATGGAAAAACAGAGGTACAAGGAGCAGTCTGCCCAAAGTCACTCAGCTAGTAAGTGGCAGGAAAAAAGAAAGTAACCTAGGCATTCATGTTCATGCACTTAACCCCAATCACAGGACCTCAAGTATCGGAGCATGAGGACCACTGTCCTGCTAGAAAACATACCCCATATTTCATTTCTATTCCTTTCCATAAGGAGCAGAATGCTTCATATACAGGAGAAGCCAAAGTGCACTTTTGAGTAAAGACCATGATTAAATAAAGAACCAAAGAATTGCCAGCTAGACTACAGTAGGGCTACAGGGTACACAGTATCAAGATCACCAGTCAGGGCTACAAGGGGTTAGATTCCACGTGCTGACAGGGTTGGTTACTGTGAAACTGGTTAAATGGACAAGGATAAAGAAGCTTTTGTCCTTAGTCTGAGGTTTAGGTAGTACTTGGGAAGCCTCCAGTATATTAGTGATGACAATTAACACAGAGTTAAACCAACAGAAATCAATGCTGGCCAGGCGCAGTGGCTCATGCCTGTAATCCCATTACTTTGTGAGGCTGACGCGGGTGGGTGGCTCCCCAATCTGGGCAACGTGGTGAAACCTCGTCTCTACAAAAAATACAAAAATTGCCCAGGAGTGGTGGTGCATGCCTGTGGTCTCAGCTACTTGGGAGGCTGAGGTGGGAAGACGGCTTGAACCTGGAAGGTCGAGGTTCCAGTGAGCTGAGATCACACCTCTGCACCCTAGCCTGGGTAACAGAGGGAGACCCTGTCTCAAAACGAAAAACAAAAAACAAAAAAACGAAAAAACAAGGCAACACTCACTTCTATTATTTCAAAAGCCACTTGATTGTTTAGGATTCCTTTAGAACAGGGGTTTTTAAATTCCATAGACTTCTTTGGCAATCATTTATGATTGCCATATAATAATGTATGTTATATATTATGTCATATAGTAATATACCATTAGAAAATTATTCTGAGAAAGGTAAAGCCTATGGACTACATCTCAGAATAATGTTTCTCAATGTATATAATAAAATTATGAGCTTACAAAGGCAACCAACTATACTGAATTACAGTTATCAAAATATTTTTTAAATGTGTGATAGGGTAATATCTTGTGTTTCCTTTACATTTTTAAAAAGATCTAGTGGCATGTCTAAAAACAACTGTAATTTGAAGTTGTGATGAATGTAAATGATATTTTAAGCTATTCATAACAACTTAAATGTGGTAACAGATATATCTGTGATTTCTAATGGTGACAGAGTCATAGGTACTGCTAACACTAGTGTGGTTTATTGCCAAATTCATAGTAGAAAGAAATGTTAATTTTCAGTTACAGACTAGTAAAAATAAAGTTGTAAACATATTTTTCCCGTCCATGAACCTTACAAGTGGTAAGATTCTTGTGAGGATCTGTGGACCCCAGGTTAAAAACCCCATTTACAGCATACAGAACTTCAACAGCTTAACCCTGTCTGCTTAATCCTGTCCAGTTTGGCCCATCTTGATTTAAGAAAACTCCTTAGACCAGCTCCATCACTGTTAATATCATTTGGTCATGAAAATTTCTCCAGAAGTTCAGGACACAGCCTCTTGACAGCAGCACTTTGGACATGGTGACCCTTATAATGACAAGAATTAAGCAGTGTGGTGAAGAAGGGTTAGTTACAAAAGTGTTTCTGGAAAGGAAGGCAACCTTTGTTTTTACTTTGCTTAACAATCAACTGGGGAATCTATTAAAAAATGCAGGTTCTTGAATTCTAAGGCACCACCTCCCATAAAGCTCAAAGCTTCTATTTCAGTAGGTTTGGGGTAGGCCCCAGGGATATGCATCTTAAATTTCCAGGCCAGATGATTAAGCGGCTTGGATCAGGTACACGGGCCTGGAGTCTAGCTTGCCAGAGACCTCTTTTGAGAGTAATTTGAGTTTCCAAGTGGAGGAGAAAGAAGCAAGCAGCAAAGCCTTTCAGAGTGTTTCCCAACAGTTGCCAGGTCAGCCCATCAGGTGAATGTTTTAGGGCTGACCACAGCCAAAATCTAGGGATTCACCATCAGGACAGAGTGGTTTATGGTTGCCATCAGAAATTAAATCTTTTGACTAAATTTTCCTCTTTCTCGAAAGGAAAATTATTTTCCCTCCTTTTCTCCCCCACCTCCTCTATTCTTCCCTGGGGATGCTGCAAAGACTACAAGGGAGGCTTGAACTCTAATAAATGCCAGATAAATACACTGATGCTTCAAGAACCCTATAATTTTAAAGCACATAGGGTAAGGATATCTTGGACCTAGGAGGCTTGCTGTTCTACAGTGTATGGGATCACTCCTTTATAATCTACTTATCTGCAGTCTGGAAGATAACTTCAGACTTGTTAAGAGAACAATGATATAAGCCTCGCTCTCAGCCACTCGATCCTTGACCTTTTTCTGGAAGAAACACAGAAGGGAGGGATGTGGCTTCCTGATCCTTTTATATCTTTAGTCTCACCAGTCAAGACGTTATTAGAAATTTAACTAGACTCTATCTAGCAGACAAGTGGTAAGATTTTTCATTCAGGCCTGAATGAATCTAAACTGACAGGTTGGAATTGTAGTTTTTTTATGTTAACAAAGAAGCAAATAACATATTTTCCTAACATATTAAACAATCTTTTATATATAACACCATGCCAAATTATATTTCTTAGCAATTACAGTGTGATTTATTTTTTCCCCTCTTGTTATGGGGATACTTATAGCTCCTGGCTGTAAATTTAATTTACCAGTATTTTAAATTTTTTAAGGCTTCCTATTTAATAGGTGATTGGTCAGTAAAATGAACAGAGTTTAGGAACGTCTTTCTCTTCAATGTTCCATCTCCCTCTCACAAATAACAACGGCACTCTTTACTACTTTTGTTTATTTTTTCTTTTCCTGATATCTTCAATGTTTAGAACAAAGTCTAACACAGACAATAGTTCTTAAATAAATTCCATGCCAGGCACTGTATTCACTACTTTACTGTAGTTAATCTCATTTGGTCTGATTAATTAAATATTCTCGATCAAATTCTATGAGGCCAATTAAAATTATCACACTGTCATTTTATAAACTAAAAAACTTGAGTCTATTAAACACTGAATATATTTCCTAGGTCACAGGGAATCACTGGAAGAATTAATATTAAAACTTGAAGTTGCTTAAGCCTAGAGGTTCATAACTGCTTAGTCCAGGTGTCAGCACATTACAGCCAAAGGCCAAATGTAACCTACTGCCTGTCTTATTGAAACTCATCTCACTCATTTACTTGCCTATGGATGCTTCCACAGCGCCTTCAACACCACAATGGCAGAGTTGAGAAGGTGCAAGAAACCAATGGTCCATGAAGCCTAAACTTACATCTGGGCCTTTACAGAAAATGTTTGTCAACTCCTAGAAAAGCCACTCCGAAAGGTGATCTGAAATAAGGAATATTATGAACTCCAAATCCTTATTTCCTAAACCTCAATAAAGAATAAATATGTTGGCTTTGGACTGTAGAATGAGGTAAACAAAAAAAAGTAAAATAAAAAAAGAATAAATATTTCAAAATATTTGGCAACCTTGGTATGTTGATAGTACTTTAATAGATCAACTGTACTTATAGTTCCCAGATTAATCAGATCATAAAATTTTCAATTACATAGGCATTTACTAATTTATTTTTTAACTCTCTGTCCTGATGCTTAAGAACTGTATGACTGTAAAAAAGAGATGCACTCTGGAGAAAGCTGAAACCAAGGAAATCACAGAATCCAAGGGCAGGAAGAATCATTGAGTATTACAACTGGAATGAACTGAGAATAAGAAAGCTATCAGAGCCCACAGCCAATTATGTTTCCATCTCTCCCACTTTCCAAAATCACATGATCTCTTACCTCAGTGCTCCCTACCTGCTTATCGAACACACATGACTCACAATTAATACCCCTCAGTGATGGCCTCAGTTGCTATACAACCTTACACATCTAGCTTTTGTGGCCATTAACACAGCTGCTGATTGCATTCTTGGTTCAAGCATCTAATGCACAATTGCTGAGGGAATACGTGATATAAACCTCTGTTTCTTCCAACATTGTGGAGGGTCAAATTCCTCAAGAAGGCTGTATAAGGAGAATAAATGGTGTCATCACTAACATGCCCTATTACAATTCTTCTCAATGTGATGGGAGTGGGTGTATAGACAGACTGCATTATAAGTACTGTAATGAACCACTATTACTCATAGGCGTATATCACATCTTTCAGTTTTGCTTGTGTGGATAAGAGGTGGAAAACCATACCCTTGTGTGATTTATAATAATTTATCATGCTAAGAAGAAAAAGCTTTGTTATTTTCAGAAACATTATATTTGGAACTAACACAAGCATCATGAATGTTGTTCCTTAAAATATTTAACTTGGTATATATCCTTAAACACCAACTGATAATTAAATAGAGGCACTGAGATGCTAATTTGCATTACTTCGATGTGCTGTAAATGTTATTTTTCTTTTTGCTCCTTAATCTGACCTATTTATTTGCTTGCTTTCTGTGTATTTCTTGTAATATTTGTGCTTAGTAAAAGAGGAATACTAATAAGTACCACAATTTTATGAGGCTTGTCAAACAGGAGACTATCTAGTGTGCTGGTAGGCTTTAATGATGTTATCATGTCTCTGTCCCAGTACACCTTGTAGCAATTTCCCAGCACATTCTTAGGATTATATTTATAATGCAGTATTAATCCATTTGAAAACTCACATCTGAGGTCATAATGTTGACCTGCAAAATTAACAGTATACTCATGCTGTTCATCCAGCAGCTAAGTATAACCTCCAATTATTTTAAAATTGTTTTGATGGCTGTAGTTTCTTTTGTACATGAA
Source organism: Homo sapiens (assembly GCF_000001405.40). NCBI lineage: Eukaryota > Metazoa > Chordata > Mammalia > Primates > Hominidae > Homo > Homo sapiens. Next base: position 107,488,355 of record NC_000003.12, read on the forward strand.
AATGATCATCCTTTCTCAGCTGAACTTAGACTTGGATTGTTCCCCTTTGTGATAAAAAGTACTCATATTGATAAATGAAGTGATCCAGACTGCTGGTGTTTTCCCAGACCAAAGAACAGCATCTTCCTCTATAAAATTGTTCTCATCTATCCTGTGAGTGAGACTGATTTGGGACTATGAATTACTAAGTAAACATTTGTTCAGTGCCTACAATATTCAAAGCATTGTGCCAGAAGTTTGGGAGACAAAAATGAATAATACACTTACTGTCCTCAAAGAGCTTCTATTTTGTTAGGGAGCAGCCACTTAAACATCTAAACCTTACTAATTGTGGCATGTGTTGTAATAGACTAGAGGGGTGTGCAAATGCCATGAAGATCAGAAAAAGAAGCCATTAATTATACTGGGAGTGGGATAAGAAAAACTTCATATAAACATGACCTTTGAGTTTGGCCTTGAAAGAAAAAAGAAAAATTCAGATAATAGAGGGGCAACATGAAAAAGTATGGGGAAGTGAGGCAAAATAATTAAATTAGTGAAAGAATTGTGTTTAGGGTGGCTGCAATATATTGTGGAAAGAGGTATGAAATAAAGTTGGGTAAATAAAATGGGATCATGGTATCAAAAGCCTTATATGCCACCACAGCGCATTCAATTGAATAATAGAAATGATTGAAAATGTCTTTGTTTTCTTGATACAGGGTTTCACTCTGTCACCCTGGCTGGAGTGCTATTGCACAATCGTGGCTCACTGCAGCCTTGACCTCCTGGACTCAAGCAATCCTCCTACCTTACTCTCCTGAGTAGCTGGGACTACCGGCACACATGGACCACTAGGACCGGATAATTTTTTTCTTTTGTAGAGAGAGGGTCTCACCATGTTGCCCACTCTGTTCTCAAACTCCTATGCTCAAGTGATCCTCCTGCCTTGGCTTCCTAAAGTACTGGGGTTATAGGCATGAGCCATTTGGCCCATTAAAAATTTTAATTTGGGGATTTACAACAACACATTTGTATTTTAGAGAGATAATGCATGAGGCAATGAGGACTGATCAAGGAAAATAATTTCATGAATATCCATGTAATATCAATCTATTTTATTTCATTCTGCAATTAAGACATGTATTTATCCATTTATTCATGTAATGACTACCACCAAGAATCCTATTTTGAGTTATCATGGCCATGTCTATATAACTATCACTGATTGACTAAAGGTTAATTCCTTTTAACTCCAAGAAACCCCAATATTCTTAGATTTCCTTTGTACTAAATCTACAAATGTGACTTTCATTAGTAGTTAAGCCACATTTGCATCAAGTTTGCTTCTTGCTATTTTCAATTATGTAATATAGAAATATATATAATTATTCAAATTATTTTAAAATGGTTTTAAAAACTCAAGTTACCAACATCAAGAATAAAAGAGGAAACATTACCACAAGTCTTATAGATATTAAAAAGATAATAAAGAAAAATTATCAATACTTTGTTGTCAATAATTTCAACAACTTAGATAAACAAATTCCCTGAAAGGCACAAATGAACAAAACTGACAAAAAAGATTCAGAAAATCTGAATAATCTTATATATATTAAATAACTAGAATTCCATAATTTAAGTAATGTTCTCACAAAGAAAACTCTAGGTCCAGATGGTTTCACTGGTGAATTCTACTGAATATTAAAAAAAAAATTAAAAAAACACAAACTCTTTAATAAAATAAAGCAGGAGGGAACATGTCCCAACTTATTTTATGAAGATAGCACTACTATTATACCCATACAAATATTACAAGGAAAGAAAACTACAAACCAGTATCACTCCAGACTCAAACGTTCTCAAGAAAGTATTAACAAGTTGAATTCAGCCATGTACAAAAATAATATTATATCATGACGAAGAGGGGTTTATCCCAGAAATGTAAGTTTTTATTTTATTTTATTTTGAGACAAGGCCTCAATCTGCCACCTAGGCTGTAGTGCAGTGGTGTGATCATAACTCACTGTAGCCTCCAACTCCCAGGCTCAAGCAATCCCCCCACCTCAGCCTCCTGAGTAGCTGGGACTACAGGCATGACTCACTACGTCTGGCTAATTTTCTTATTTTTCCTTTTTAGAGAAAAGATATTACTGTGTTGCACAAGCTGGGCTTGAACTCCTGGGCTCTATGAATCCTCCTATCTCAGCCTCCCAAAATGCTGGGATTCCAGTTATGAGGTGTGGCCTCAAATTATTTTTAAATCTAAAAAGGTAAGATTTAGAACTAACACAAAGCTTCAATAACAGCACATGGTGTAATAGACAGACAGATGTCAGTCTTCATAGCTGCTGTCTTATTTTCTTTTAGCTTAATGAACCTTCACCTAGTTGGATGCCTAGAGAGGTCTGTGCAACCCGTCTAATATAATCAGTGACCGCCCCTCCCCTGGCCACAGTCATTGGTTTACGTGTAGATTCAATCAGAGTGATGTCTAAAACATCTATTTGTTTGTTTGTTTGTTTGTTTGTTGAGAAAATTGAAGTTCTCTCTTTCTCAGGAATTTGAGTCATACAGATATGATCTCTTGACCTGCTGCAGCCATTTTGTTGTAAGAATGAAGTTCACATACCAAGATGTCCACTGTGAGAAAATCATAAAAAGAAAATATAGAAACAAAGCCCAGATCAAACCATTCACAAAGCCCTTAATACATTTTTTTCATAAAGCTAAATGATTTTGATCTTAGCTGACTGGAATTTTTTTATAACTAATAACCATAGAAGAAAAATCTGAAAGTACAGAAAGCCCAGTATATTTCTATTACTTTCTTATTTACCGTAACAGTTAACGTGTATGTTCAAAAATTACTAAATATCTGTATCATCCTCCTGAATAATACAAGGTCTCTAGAACACTTTAATATATTAATCTTTCACAATTTATAGCTGTGTATTCTATATATCTTTTTTGGTCTCTCCAAAGTTATTTTTTAGTGTTTGTTTAGATTTGCCTATATTTTAACATTTTGTTTTATCATCTCTTCTTGAATCCCAGACTGTCAATTTGGAATCACTTTCTTTCATCAGAAGTACATTTTTTAGAATTTCCTTAGATTAGGAATTAATCGCAAACTCAGGTTTTTTTGTCTGAACTGTGTTCATTTTGCCCTTGGTTTGAACTATGTTCTTCATGGGCATGCAATTCCAGAGTGACAGTTATTTTCTTTCAACACATTAAAATTATTATTTCTTTTGTCTTCTATAGTTGTTCTCAGTTTAATTACCTTTTCTTGATAATCAGTCTTTTTCTTTTAGGAGATTCCTTGCTACTGGTGTTCTACATTTATCTACAAGGTGGCTGGGTGTAGATTTCTTCTTTGGAAATGGATGTGCATTTTAAATCTTCAGATATACATTTTTCATGAGTTCTGGAAAGTTCTCTACTATTAACTCTTTTAATATTGTTCCTGCACCATTCTACCTCTCATTCTTACTGGAATTCCAATTTTATATATGTGGAATCTTCTCACTCTATCATTCATGTCTCGATGTCTTTTTATGTTTTCTGCCTCTTTTTCTCTGTGTACCACATTCTGCATAATTTTTAGTTCTATCTGCCAGTTCACTAATTCTGACTGCAGAAGTGTCTAATCTGTTTTTAAACCAACCTATTGACATTTTTTCAAGTATTGCACTTTTCACTTCCAGAGATTCTATGTGATTCATTTTCAGATCATCTTGATCATCTTTTAGTCTTTTATTTCTTTAAACATATGTTAAATATTTTAAATTATTTAGACATACCAATTAAACATTGGTTAAACATACCAATTGTTTTGATAATACAAATAGTTGAAGCTTTTGTGGGTTTATTGTTTCCACTGGTTCTTGCTCATTGTGGGTAGTTTCCTTGTGTATTTTGTGATTCAAGGCACATCCCTTCTGAGAGGATTTGTGCTTACTTTTTCCAAACCTTACATGAACACTACCGACCTGGCATCACTTTAATTTTCACCTTGAAGTTTTTCAGAACATGTGAGTGGTGTGAATTCAGGCTGTAATCCTTGAGGGGAGGGCTTATGATTAGGGATTCTGGGAGAATTTTCCTCCTTCAACCAGTGCCAGAGTTTAAATACCATAATTTTCTTTGAAGTTCCCTTAGGAAATGGGGAGTAAGGGTGAGTTTATTTCACTGTCATAATGAGTAAGTGTACAGATTCACCCTCAGTGTCTAGTTTACTGAGTATTCTGCATCCTAATAAAATGTAATATGGTCTCAAAATTAGACTCCCCAACTTGAGAGGATCTTGGAATCAAACTTTCGTTCCACTGCACATCACAAGACCCTGAGAAGTGAAGTTCAAGTTCAAAATATTTGGCAAATACTACCAAAATGAAAGCTATCTCCAGTGTTCAAGTTCATGCTTTAACTTAGTTTTAAGTGTTCTTACTTTCTTGCTATTTCGCTGAAGCATTTAAGCCCAAGTTTCTTATTTTAAAAATATAGGATATTTAGGGTTTTTTTGTTAGTTTGTTTTATAGTGGGAGCGTCAGTCTGGGTATTAAGTTCATCATGCTGCCAGATATGAAAGTCCTTTTTATGTGTCTTCTCTGGTGCTACTCCCACTGGCTGGAAGGCTCTCTTTCCACACTGTGCTGGTTATCAATTTACTGTCTCAGGCCAGGCACAGTGGCTCAAGCCTGTAATCCTAGCTCTTTGGGAGGCCAAGATGGGAGGACCGATTGAGTCCAGGAGTTCGAGACCAGCCTGGTCAACATAGTGAGTTTCCATCTCTATTAAAAAAAAATTAAATAAATAAATTACTGTCTCAGTTCCAAATTCACACTTAATTACCTGCTGTGTAAAAATGCAACTGGCCTTTAAATAGTTTTTATTTGCCAGTGGACATAATGCTAAACTTTGTCAATAGAGGGTGGTGGGAAGATACTGCAGGAGGAAGGGATTTTCCTTCTTGTTCCCAGTGTGCTCCTGCAGCAAGCTTCTGCAGCATGTGCAGCTTTTCCAGCACCAGGCTTCTCCTGGGCACATGGCTTCCCAGGCACCCACCTCCTGCACTGTGGGCAGCCTCTCCCACACCAGGTACTGGCAGCTCAGGCAGCTTCTCCAACACAGGGCAGCCAGCACAAGGAGCAGCCAGCATCTTCCTCTAGCACGGGCTTGGGTTATTTCCTAGCAGAGTGCATTCAGCAAGATACCTCCCTGTGAACAGCTTTCCCCTGCACTCTGGAGAGTGTATTTCCAGGACTTCCATCACAGCAACTTCTCTGCAATTCATTAAGTCCTGGAGGTCTGGATAGCAGACCTGGGGCAGAGGGCAGAAACAGCTCTTCCTTGGGTGTTCTGTGTCAGTGCTAGGTTTGAGTAGTGGCTGATTATTACATCTATTTCTATATTTTTAGAGTTCTCTTTACTTCCTACAATCCCTCATTAATCAGATCCCCTGTTGTAGTTAATCATTCTTCATATTAAACTCTCTATGTTCAATTTATTGCATTTCTTTTTTTTTGTCTCCTGATTTGAACCTGACTCATGAACATACCTTCGTCTGGTATATCCTCCTTCCTCAGCAAGATTCATCTCAACTATTACTACCATTCTGATTTAGGTGTATCAGAATGAATTACATAAAAGTGCCATTTTTGTAGGTCAAAAATAGTTGACTATTGACAATTTCAAGTGGTTCAAACTAGTATTTTCTCTGTAGTTTCCAATGCATACCTCTACCAGCACTTCTCTCACTAATTGAAAATATCAATTTTTGAAATAATGTCACCTACTATAAGGTTGCACATTCTTGGCAACAATTTTTAATCTTTCATCCTTAATGCCTAAATGCCTAATCTAATTCACAGTAATTACTATATGCTCCAAAAAATAAAATACACTGTTGAACTAACTGAATACTGGCAAATCATGTAGTCTCTCTAATCTTCAATTTCTTTCTCCTCTAACTGGGATCATTAACACCTGCTCTATCTAATTCTAAAGTTCTTAAAACAGACTAAATGAATATTTGCTCCTACTTCCTTAGTACAGTTGAAGAAGGCAGATAATGCTACTAAATGTGTTATTTCATGTGGGAAAAATAACTGAAGAATTACTCTTTTAATAACAAGATTTGATTTTCCAAATATTATAATTAATTGTAGCATTATTTGAAGAACACAAAAAGCATTTTAAAAATAAAAATTATTCAAAATCCTATTAGCCAGAGATAAAACTATTAATATTTTCATATAATTATTTTCAGCACTTTTCCTGTAAACATTGTAAAAACTGCAATAGAAAAAAAACTATATATGTAGCTTTTTATCCTGTTGTTTCCATCAATGTAATGTTGTGAGTATTTTCCTATTAAATACTCTTTGCAAAACATGTTTTTATTGGCTGAATAATATTCTATGAATAAACATCAATAATTTATCAAATTATTTGAACATTTATGTTTTAAATTTTTGCAATTAAAATATTATTAAAATAAACATTCTTACAAATACTTATTCATACCTTTTACTGTTTCCTTAAAAGAAATTTGTGGGAGGACATATTGGATCAAAGCATATAAGTATTTCTATGGTTTTTTTAAACTACTGCCAAATTTCCTTCCAGAAACCATGTACCAATTTGTACTCCAACATGAGAATAGCATTTCAATGCATACTCAACAACAAAATAGTTTGGGGGAAAATTGCCAATTTAGTTGTTGAAAATACTATTTACTTCCATCTGTATTTATTTTTAGTAACTGTTGTGTATGTTTCCATAGTTCTCTGTATTCCTTTTGATATTAAGCATCTATTTATTTTGTACATACTCTGTTTTATAAAAACTGGGATCAACAGATTTTAATTTTTAAGTGTTGTTTATATATTATGGCTATTAACCAATTTTCATGTATTTTGAAAAATTTTTTAAATTTTCATTTTAGTTTTATGATAGGTTTGTAAAGTTTTTATTTATTTATTTATTTTTTGAAATGGAGTTTTGCTTTTGTCGCCCAAGCTGGTGTGCAATGGCATGATCTCGACTCGCTGCAACATCCATCTCCTGGGTTCAAGCAATTCTCCTGCCTCAGCCTCCTGAGTAGCTGGGATTACAGGTGTGCACCACCATGCCCAGCTACTTTTTGTATTTGTAGTATAAACGGGGTTTCACCATGTTAGCCAGGCTGGTCTTGAACTCCTGACCTCAGGTGATCCACCTGCCTCGGCCTCCCAAAGTGCTGGGATTACAGGCATGAGCCACCGTGCCTGGCCAAGTTTTATATTTTTATATAGTCAAGTATCTTGATTATGTATTGATTACATAATTAGTCCTTTCCTTAGAGTTTCTTACATTGATTTTATGTTAAGCAAGTTCCTCCTCATCCTGACATCAGAGTCACCTCTATTTTACCTTTTTAAATTCACTCCTGGGTATTTTGTTATCTCAGCTCTAGTGTACCACATGATAGAGTAGGACTATTTTTTTCTAAAAATGTAATAATGTACTAACTATAATCTGAAAGTTAACCTTAATATATTTGCAAGATCTTTAAAAATACCAGGCATTTTTGGAGGGATGGAAATTTGGAGAAACTGAGTCATGTGACTTTTTAAAACAACTTAATGATAAATATGGTTTTGCTTTATTTGTTTTATGATTGCCTGATGAAGTGTATAGTATCTATAATGGCCTAGCCTTTATAAGTATATTATTATTTATGATTTTCATTAAAGAAATTATTCTTGTCAACATGTGAGTAAATTCTGTCTGCTAAAATGAATTTTTCTAGCTTGGTAGGAAAATTTCGTGGGCATGTAATAGTCTTTTGAATTTTAAATACTGTCTTTGTTGAAGGTGTAGGAGTGTGTGTGTGCATGTACGTGTGTGTTTTATGCTTGTGAAATATCTGGCAGCAATTCCAGGGGAGTTGTAGGAAATGGTAACTTTACAAAGTGCCCCTTCCTACCCCATTCTTCTGGCTTGCAATGCATTTTCCTTTTCTTGCTTATCACAAAAGATGGCCATCTTGCACTTTTGTCCTCTCAGCCAATACCTCACACATCCAGAGTCCTTGGGGTGGGTTATATGAGGATGAAGGAGGTTCCTGAAGTGTTCTCCTTGGGTATGACACATGCCTTCATGGGCTGTATTAGAAATCTTCAGGAGATTTTGGGTCTTCCCCTCCCTCTCTGGGAGCTTGCTATACATTTCCAGCCAGCGACTCAAAATAATTGCCCTCAAGACTCTTTGAAAATATGAAATATAGACCCGATCATAGTATTGGAAAAAACTGCCACCCTAGCTAAATTACTTAGAAAAAAAAAACCCTTAATTAGTCGGGTGTGGTGGCAGCCACCTGTAATCCCAGTTACTCGGGAGACTGAGGCAGGAGAATCACTGGAACCTGGGAGGTGGAGGTTGCAGTGAGCCAAGACTGTGCCATGGCACTCCAGCTGGGTGACAAGAGTGAAACTCGGTCTCAAACAAACAAACAAAAAACCTTAATTTTTAATTTTAAAAACTGTCCACATGACACGGCTACCACTGCAACTGCCACCACCCCAGGATGGATTCTGAGTGGTCCCTGCTTTTTCGCATCCTTACTTTGACTCAGGGTCCAAAGCAGGTAGATATGAATGGTAGACTTTATGACAGCTGCAGGGGAGACTCAGAAATTGAGCTGCTGGTATTTTCAGTGTTAAGATAAGGGTTACTCATCTTATGAGTAAGGGGTCCGGATGCTGGGTAGACATAAAGAATGTCAAATGTCCATTCCCTAAACTCATGCAGATGAACATTACCTTCAGTGCTTTTACAATAATCTGGGTGTCAGGTGACCAGAATTCTCAAAGGGATTGATACTACCTCTACAGCTGCTTATTTTACAAATACTTTCTATTAATAATGGAAATTTGTCATGGGCAAAACAGTACTCTAGGTACTAGTGGGGATGATACAATGTATAAAAAACTCTTGCTATCCTTCGCAGACCACAATCTAGTTGTCCAAGCAAGACACACACAAATAAGGCTTTAAATATTGACTTAGCAAAATTACAAGAGCAATGCAAAGCAGTCCATAACCATTGTGTTTGGATTTCTCCCAAGGCAGAACCTGAGACAAAGACTTGAGTCAGTCAATCTATTTTGGAGGTGGACCCAGGAGGCAGGAGTGAGAGAATAGGGAGAATGCATGAGGAAAAGCCAATATGCGAGTGTCTGTCATGGGTCAGTACTGTGGGCACTCGGGGCTACTTTCTACAAAGCATTCAGAACAGAAGTACCCACCTGAAAAACAGAAAGTGAAAGCATTTATCCACTGGTTCCCATACCCCACTGATGAAGAGTTTTCCACAGGGATGATAAATCACCCACAATTCCAGGCTGAGCTTGTTCATAGATCCTTCAAGTTCCCTGATATTGGAGAAAGCCCCTTGAGCAAATGCAATTGAAGAGGGTGAGGTGGGCTGCCCACTGAGTGAGGTGAGTCTGAACGTACATGGACCCTTCCACCACAGCTGCATTTGAAATCAGAGGTGGGTCAAGGGGATGTGACAAGGGCCTGTTATTATACAACTGTCAACCTACAGACACACTTTATAGGAGTGATACATTCAAATGAGCACAAAGTCACTACAGGCTGAAGTGTTTGGGTCTGCGGAGGGCAGGTTCCTTGAGGAGGCTGAACTCCAGCTGAGCTTGGAGAGAACTGATAGAATTTCTCATGCCAAAAATTTTGCAGCAGATCAGAATCTGGAGCTTTCCAAACTCTGGCTGTGCTGAAGGCAGAGGTTATATATTCCAGTGCACTGTGCTTCTGTGTTTCAGTCTATATTCTATTTCACTTCTGGCAATAACATTACATTGAGGTTATGGCATTCAGGCATCTTTCAAATGCTTGCCAGGGTTTGACACTGAAAAACATTCCTTCAATCCAAGTGGTTTCAGAGTACTAAAAATTCTGATAAAGATAGCAGTGGTTATTTAAAAAGTCCTATGTACAAAAAATATAATCCATAATAATTTAACTTAATGATGATTCTGATAAAATAAGCAATTATTGTTGGGTAAAATAGGTGATATGTTTTTCCCTCTGTATGTTCATAACCTTGCTTATAAGGTACCTGTAACATAAAAATAAAGAAATGTATTTACATTTAGGAGCCAACAATTATGTCAAAGTATGTATATTAAATAAAGTGTTTATAATATTAAAGTAAAATATGGGTCCGTCAGGAATTTTTTTTTTCATTCACCTCATGTTACTGCTGTCAATATGATCTAGTCATTATACTGGAAGAAATAAATTCCATTTCTCTTAAAATTATATGATATATATTTTACCTAAACCAGTCTCACATACTCCCCTATTATTTCAAAGCGAGGTGTCTTCAGAGTGACAAATAACTGATTGACAAACGCCCCAGGCATAAGGCCACATACTGCATTTAGTGGTTTCCTTTGTTCCCTCACACGCACTCACTCACTCTGAAAGGGGATTCTTTACTCCTCACTGCTCTTCTTCCTCCTTTGAATGATGCCTCCACAGACAACCACTAACCTGAGCTGATAACACTAAAGAAAGACAAAGAAATATCATGCATAGAAGTCGCATGCCCAGAAACCCCCTTCTTTCTTTCTCAGGTTAGTGATAGCCCTGTGGAATTTTTCTGTGCTCTTCTCATTCTCAATGCCCTTGTGCTTTCATCAACTGAGGCTACAGTTCTTTTCCACCAGAGATAACTGCTTACATGCAGAGATTCTCTTAGACGCCCTTCTGATTTCCTTAGCTTCCTCAACTTTTGACAATTGCCGCTGTAAAATCTCCACCTCTTTGCTTGGTTAAATGAGACAATATTCTTGAATGAAATTTGTAGACTGTAAAGCAATGTATGAATGCAGCTTATTGTCATCATTTATGATCTCCCCAAATCACCCAAGTCAGGCCTGATAAACAGTGTTCATAATATATGTTTCCAGAAAAGGAGAAAAACCAAAGTTTCATAAATAAAGCTTTTTTCCCCTCATTCTAAAAGTACACATTCTAGTTGAAGAGTGAAATAATATACAAAAATTGGCTGAGTGCACTGGCTCACACTTGTAATCCCAGTACTTTAGGAGGCCATGGAGGGTGGATCGCTTGAGGTCAGGAGTTCAAGACCAGCCTGGGCAACATGGCAACATGGCGAAACCCCATCTCTACTAAAAATACAAAAATTAGCTGGGCATGGTGGTACATGCCTGTAGTCCCAGCTACTTGGGAGGCTGAAGCAGGAGAACCGCTTGAGCCCGGGAGGCAGAGGTTGCAATGACCTGTGATGCACCACTGTGCTCCACTCTGAGTGACAGCGTAAGGCCTTCTCTCCAAAATAAATAAATAAATAAATAATGAATAATAAAAGTTACCCTAAGTCTGACCATCCAAATTGAGCCATTTTTTCTTCCTGTTTTTTAATCTGCATATTTTTTATAGGCATGGTCATTTTCTTTTTCTTTCTTTTTTTTTTTTTGAGACAGGGTCTGACTCTATCGCCCAGACTGAAGTGCAGTGGCCTGATCTGGGCTCACCACAACCTCCGCCTCTCAGGCTCAAGGGATTCTCCTGCCTCAGCCTCTCAAGTAGCTGGGATTACAGGCGTATGCCACTACCACCCAGCTAATTTTTATATTTTTAGTAAAGACAGGGTTTCACCATGTTGGCCAGGCTGGTCTCGAACTCCTGACCTCAAATGATCCATGCACCTTGGCCTCCAGAAGTACTGGGATTACAAGTGTGAGCCACCACACCTGGCTGGTATGGTCATATTTTATCTACAATTTTGTAGCCTGCTCTTTTTAATTAACATTATAGTATAAAAACTTTTTGTGCCATTATATGCCCTATAACATCCTATAACATAAAATATTTTATTGAAATTTTATATAACAAAAATGCCAGCACCATTAACCTCCTAAATCTTTGAAGGTATTCAGAAGTCCCCTTTAAAACATCCATAAATTTCTCCAGCTATCCCCTCTAATTAAACTTGCCTTTATTCAAACTCTATTAAAAATAAACACATGCACATTAAACAGGTTAATTGTATGGTAAAGAAATTCTATCTCAATAAAGCTGTTATTTTAAACATTACAATATAAATAAACATAAATAATGCATTTCCCCTTAAACATGATTACATTTTTAATTAGTTGCTAGTGTGGCAGAAGAATTTATTAAAATATTAATTTGTGTTTTGGTCTGTGCTCAATCCCAGATGTTAGCCTCAAGATTTTATATTTCCTTTCTTCGGAGGTATTTGCATGGCCAAGTAGAGGCTATGTGAAACAAATTTTCTTCTCAACTTGGATACAAATCTAAACTTACCGAAGAGTTTATGCAAGCTATCCCACAGAGTGAGGAGAGAAAAGAAAGACCCTTTGAAGTTTTAAAGAGGGAAAAATAAGGGCTGTTCTCTTGCCTAGGGAGAGGTCAGGGGTAGAAGGAAAACATAACTCTGGGGCAGGTGGCCCTAGATTGGAGTACATGGCAGGGATGAGTTCCAGACACAGACTTGTCTTGCCCCGGCAGTGCCACCAAATCATCAGAACTCCTGAGACAGCAGGTGCTCAGGGGCTGGCATAGGTTCTAGTGGAAACTAGGGTTGCTCCTAGCGTAATCAGATTGGCTTCCCAGGAGCTCTGTGATTTCAAGAGAATCTGGCAATTTCGTGTGAACCCTTTCAGGAATAGTGAGTCCTAATGATCACAGACTAAATCTTTCACGAGTCTGGAGGCACAATGCCTCAGGCTCAAGTCTAAACTGGTTTACAGTAGTTCCACCATTGTGGAAGACAGTGTGGCGATTCCTCAAGGATCTAGAACTAGAAATACCATTTGACCCAGCAATCCCATTACTGGGTATATACCCAAAGGATTATAAATCATGCTGGTATAAAGACACATGCACACATATGTTCATTGCAGCACTATTCACAATAGCAAAGACTTGGAACCAACCCAAATGTCTATCAATGATAGATTGGATTAAGAAAAATGTGGCACATATACACCATGGAATACTACGCAGCCATAAAAAGGATGAGATCATGTCCTTTGTAGGGACATGGATGAAGCTGGAAACCATCATTCTCAGCAAACTATCGCAAGGACAAAAAACCAAACATCGCATGTTCTCACTCATAGGTGGGAACTGAACAATGAGAACACTTGGACACAGGAAGGGGAACATCACACACCAGGGCCTGTCGTGGGGTGGGGGGAGGGGGGAGGGATAGCATTAGGAGATATACCTAATGTAAATGACGAGTTAATGGGTGCAGCACACCGACATGGCACATGTATACATATATAACAAACCTGCGCATTGTGCACATGTACCCTAGAACTTAAAGTATAATAAAAAAAAAAAAAACTGGTTTACAGGACAGAAGGAAATGCAATCGTTTTTACTAAGAACATTCATATTCATGATACTTGTACTGCAACCATATAGATTGTGACTATTTTCTAAATATCACTTCACGTATGATGTTACTAATCAATTTTTATTTATTTTTATTATTTTTTTAGAGACAGGGTTTCGCTCTGTCATCCAAGCTGGAGTACAGTGGCACAATCATAGCTCACTATAACCTCGAACTCCTGGGCTCAACCTGTTCTGTAGTAGCTAGGACTACAGGTGTGTGCCACCATGCCCGGCTAATAATTTTTTATTTTTTTGTAGAGATAGGGTCTCACTGTGCTGCCAAGTCTGGTCTCAAACTCCTGGCCTTAAGCTATCCTCCTACCTCAGCCTCCCCAGTTGCTGGAATTACAGACACGAGCCACGCATGTGGGTCCTAACCAATTTTAAAAAGGAAAGTTACTCCTCTGTTCCACCCTCCAATGGAGTAGAACTGCAGTATTTTAAATCTGGAAGGGATCTTGTACATCTAGTCCAACTCCCCCATTTTATGGATTAAAAATTCGAACCTTCAGAAGGAGGGATGAATTCTCCAGAGTCACAGAGTTAAACCTGGAGTAGAATCCAGTAGTATCTTCATTCAAGGGAGTGTTCCTTCACTTTCTTGAGATAGGATTTGTAGTTGCCACATTAAAGTGCTAATAGATGGATGTGTCATCAAGCCCTGCTGGTCCACCCTATGGATACAGATATTGAGTTGGATAATCACTAATATTTACTTGTGATAAAGCTTGGCTTTATTGTAATTCAGTTGAGAATGGTGGACTTTCAAGTTTGTATAGTTCAATAGAAGAATGTCATTGTCACCAAAACCACATATCTACTATGGCACTTCTCCAAAGACCAGCAGTGATCAACCATCATCATTACTATATACTGTATAAAAATATAAAAAACACATTATCCCTTCATTGTTTCTTCTAGTGTTCCTACAGTGATTTCGCAAAGATACACTTTGACCTATGTTTTTATTCCTTCTATAATGTGAGGATGTAATTCAGAAGTGAAGAACCAGCAGAAATGACAATATAAGATAAAAAGGGACAGAAATAATGTGAAACAAAAGAAATGACATATTGTGCAAGGGTTAGTTTTACAAAAAGATATGTAATATCATGAAAGATTAAGATGAAGTAGATGCTTTTGCTCGTACACTGATTGGAAAAATAGGATGCTTTTGCTTGTTGCACACTGCTTGGGAAAGTATGGAGTGGCATAAGCTGCATGGTTTATTGTGACACATGCAGAACTGGTCTTTTCTTTGTCATCCTTTGTATGCTGGTTAAACATTTGTTACGCATTTTATCACCATTTAAGCACTTTTCCTATTCACTAACTTAGAAGCAATTGAAGCAATTTTAAATTCTCACTCTGGGAAAATAAAACTGCCATTAGAAGAAAACACATTTACTGTGATTTATTCCTATCAATACATTTTAATTCAAAAATATCTTTTTCTGATTATATCTTCGTTCAATAATTGCAATTACACAGTATGGTTGTTGTTGAAGGAATCAAATATACTTTTTATCTGGTAAACTCACTAAATTTTGTGTCTAAGGTATGGGTTTTATTTATGAGAGTGGTTTCTTTCATTATAAAAATGCAAATTTGCTAATAGTACTCTCTGGTAAACAGATTAGTTTATGAAATTATTGGGTCACCAATGTTGAAGTTAAAATTCAGAAACAGGAATGTCAGAGGGAGGTGGCCAGCAACTGCCTTGGCAAGACCTCATAGGGTCAAATGACCTTCGAGGAGTTTCTCTAGGTCAGTAGCAGGTCCTGAACTATCGTGAGACCAATAATTTGATTTTGTTGATACATCCAGATTTGACCATTTCAAGGAAGTAATTCGTGTTTATTTAAATTCTCAAGGGACTGACCTATAAACCTAGATGCAAATTTATTCCTTTATAATGGTAGACAGAACTTGGGCTATGATGTCAACAGAGCTGGATTCTGATCCACCGTCACCGTTACTTACTATGAGGGAAAATTACTAAATTTCTCTAAGACTCACTACTTGCATCTATAAAATGCAACTGCCATGAATATTAAAAGACATAAATAAAGTACAAAGCCTGGTAGTTAGTGAATGGTGACTATAAGGACGAACTTGATGGTGGTGATGAAAACAAAGAAGGAGAAGGAGGAAAAGGAGAAAAAGCAGGTTGCTGGAATCACGGGGATTAGAAAGCTTACGCTGGAATCAGCATATTTTCTTCCTGAGATCTAAGACAGTCCAAGAGTGAATTAGAAGACACTCAGCTAGCAGAGAATCAGAGCAAAGTTAATTACATGGAATGCTATAAAAACTTGGGCCTTCACACTATGAGGATCTGGTAGGTCCATCTCTATCTTATGGATACATCTGCCTGGCAGAGAGGATAAGTTGTTTTATTCCACCACCAAGAACAGTGCCTGGCAAATGGCAGGCCATTAGTAAATAGTTAATGGATGGACAGGTGGAGTACCCCAATTCATAGGCAGTGCTGCAAATAGTGATAATTTTTTTATCTTTGGTTCACCTATTTCTAGACTCAATAGATGTGTTATTCCCTCCATTTCTCCTCAATCCTCATACGATATGAACACAGAATTCCTTCAGTAACGTAATGAAGTGGTTCATATTTCTTTGTTATATCAATTACATTTAGACATTGTCTAATTAAACTCAAATCATTTTATCATTTACTTCAATCATACTGCCAAATTCTGTAGCTAGATTATATTTATCTTGATCAACTCAGTTTTGGTCACATGATTGAGTTCTAACCAATAGGATGTGTGCACAAATGCTGTACATTTCTTCTAAGCATGGCCATCTTCCTATTTCTGATCTCAAATTTAAGCCCAGAAGGAAGTAAAGCATCCAGTGGTCCTAGGAGACAGTGTACCCAATAAAAGGAAAAGGCCGTGATCTCTGAAGAATCACATGGGGCAGAGAGGGAAAATGGAGCAGGTTCACATTTCTCTTGTTACATCAATTACATTTAGAAATTGTCTAATTAAACTCAAATAATTTTATGATTCACTTCAATCATACTGCCAAATTCTGTAGCTAGATTATAGTTCTCTTGATCATCTCAGTTGTGGCCACATGATTGAGTTCTAACCAGTTAGAATGTGTGCACAAGTGTTGTACATTTCTTCTAAGCATGGCCATCCTCCTATTTCAGATCTCTAATTTCAGTCCAGAAGAATGAAGAGAATCCAGTGGACCAAGGACATGGTGAAGCCAATAAAAAGGAAAAGCCAGGATCTCTGAATAATCACATGGAGCAGATTTTGCCTCCCTCCTCACCATCACCTCTGCACACATAGACCCTTCACTGGACTATGATGAGAATGAAATATACGCCTTCGTTCTGTATTCTGAAAAGAGTTCTATAATCTGTAAGTAGCCCATGTATTATTTGTTGACTGAACAAATGATATAGTTTGAGTACATACACATTACTACCAAAGGACTTAATATATATAATGCATATAGCATATGTGAGCTATTGTTATCACTACCATTTTCTAAATGTATATATTTGTGATTGTGATTAACAAAGTAAAATTTTATCTGAATGTAATTGTTTGCAATATATTTCTCAACTACAGGCTGCTACAATATAACTACTATCATATGCATCGGAGGCTCAACATTTTGATATTAAGAAGGGATCCATACTTAAATATCTAGAGACTACTGCTCAACATTCCAAACTATTTGCAATTCCTTGAATGGACAGTGACATTGATTTTGTATATGTGACAAATTCTTTGGCTTGGCTTGCCCAACCTCTACTCCACATTACTTCATGGGTGCCTTCCTGGGCTGCAGAAGGTAGAAAGCTATCTTTCCCAACTTTTGCGCAAGGGTTCCAGATGCACAAAATAGATGCATTCTTCTAAGACACAGAAATTGAAAATGGGGTTGAGGCCATCTACCTGCCTTTTTCTAGTTGTTTTTTTTTCTACTGGTAAGCAATTTTGCACAGACTGTTTTCTATAACAGAGTTTCTGTGTCCATTTTCTAGCCTGAGTGTTAAGAGGCAGTTGCAGTGGCAGCATCTAGGATGGCTTCCTGATTCTTCATTGGTGGATGGCAAGATATTCTTGGGCTGAATAATTCCAGGACAGTACTATGGTCTTCTGGGAATCATTCCTGGTGGGCCAGTCTATAGCCCATTCTTTTGGCCCTTTCATGATTTTTTTCCTAATTACTTATGGCTTTTAGCCTATTCTTTCTGTCTTAAGATGACTACATTGGTTTCTGTTTTCTGCACTGAACCTTGACTGATACGGGCCTTGGAAAATATTGCTGGGACATGGAATGCATATCCCCTTCTCCCCCGGTCCCTATCCTCTTCTTCTCCTCAGCTCAAGTATCTACTTTTCCCAGACACCTTCACAAACCCCTTCAGCTGAGTCAAATACCTTTCCTTTCTGTTCTAGTCATAATCCTTGATAGCACTTCTCCCTATAGTAATGGTCAGTTATTTGTCTATACAAGTTAACTGGATAAAGCTACATTTTATTAGTCACTTGTCCCCAGGTATGTACACCATAAGAACTTGTGGAATAAATGAATGGATGAACAAATAACAATTAAAAACAAGTAACCAGCCCACAAAGGAGAAAATGAAGAAGCAAGAGAGATGTGTAGTTTTCTTACAAAATGGTACCATGTGCCAGTATATGTAAAATAAGGCAGAGCCGAAATGCCATGAGTCTAGGTATGTTCTCCTTAGTCTCCTAACAAAGAGATCCATATGGTCTAGACCATATGGCAATTTTTTTTCTGTAAAGGAACAGATAGTAAATATTATAGGCTTTGTGACTCACACAATCTCTGTTGCAATTACTCAATTCTACCATCTTCTTAAGAAAGCAGCCATATATAAGGAGGAGAAGAGAAAGCAGATTTAGCCTGCAGGCAGCAGTTTGCCATTCCTTGGTTTAGAAGATTAAGGAAAGGCCTGGGTTTACAGTGTAGACTGACTGATTTTTTTGACTGGATCTTGTATGCATTTCGATTTTTCCCATATGAAATGAAGATGAAAACATTTTACTTATAACATATTTCTGATACTAAACTAATAATGTTTAAAAGCCTTTGAGAGGCGTGCATCATTTGTAAATCTCTTTAAGTTCACAAATAGTGGAATATTTTAAGTATGTGATAGCCAACATTTGATGACAAGGCCTTGAATTTCTACATACACGGCAAAATTGTGGTGAGCAGTATGTGGTAAGAATAAATTATCTCCTTCATTTACAACATAAAAAGTAAAGAGGCCCAAATAATATGTAGATGAATACCATTCCATTTTTGTTCCTATCCAAAAATGGACAAATCACATTAATTGCAATTTTCAATAAAGCAATTGTCAAGAGATTAGTCTTAAACATTATACCTGCTTTAGCTTCTAGAAGAAAACTTTCCTTGGAGTTTTTCAAAGACATGTGGAATTACACAGGGAGAAGGGACACTTTCTCCCACTCCCAATTTACAGATGAGAAAGTCTTGGGCACAGAACTGTCAAAGGACAACTGGTGGCAGGGCTAGAGCAGCTCCTGGTCTTTGAATCCCATTGCAGTGCTCTTCCTACTTTACTAGGCTAACAAAAAATTGTGCTGCTGTTTTAATAAAATTTGCCAAACATTAAACCTAATCATAAATTTATAGTTAAATTGTATGTATCCCTGAGTTGCAAAGGATTTAACTTTGTTATATAAAACATAGTTTTATGTTATATAAACTCTACATTACAGAAAACGTAGAGATATAGCATAAGAAGCTCTAATTTCTCAATTTTAATGATAACATTATCCATCTCTCAAGATCCTGAGAGGTGAAACTGAGGGGGTTGAAGGATGAAGAGTCTGTAACCTTGGAGAATAGAGGGGAGTGAGATCAGAAACGGAAAACAAACAGAAAATGGGTACTACCCAATGGGCAAGTACCACCAAGCTTCCTTATGCTAATTTTCTGTTGCATTTGAGAAATTAAGGCATGACTTCCCAGTTGATTTAGGCATTCTAGCCCCTTACTTTTGCCTAAAATTTCCCAAGTATACTGAGCTCTGCATAATTTCACAAAAAAAGGTATTTCCCATTCCCTCTATGTTTAAGCAACTCAGTGAGGCCTATCCTGACCATTACATTTGAAACTGGATGAAACCTCCACCGCCACACTCAGTCTCCATGTATAATCCTACTCTACTTTTTTTCCCACAATACTAATCCCATTTAGCATACTATGTAACTTATTTGCTATGTTTCTTATCTGTTGTATTTCTCCCGCTAACTAGGGTGTAAACTCCATGATGACAAGGATTTTTGTCTGTTTTGTTCTGTGACTTAAGTAGGCAGAATAGTGTCTTGCACATAATAGGTGTTCAGGAAATATTTGTTGACTTAATAATGAATTTGAGAAAATGAAGAATAGGGAATTAGGAACATCTTGACATGTTACATGGTTACATTTGGAAAGATTTGGACAAGGTGCGCAAAAAGAGTGGGACAATAGAATCATAAGAAGACAACAAAGGTGAACAATTGAGTACCGCTACATGCTAGGGAAAATACTACAGGCTTTATGCCCATTACCTTATTTTTCTCACACAGCTATTATTATTCTCATTTTACAGTTTATGAAACTGAGAGTAGATAACTTGTCTAAGTTCACTTAACTGGTGAGCAGTGAAGCCAGGATTCAAAACCCACATTTATTTGACTTCAAAGGCTATGTGTATAACTACTGCTCTGTAACAGACTATAAGGCCACCCCTGTGGCCCAGACAGTACTAGTGGGAGCCATCTCAGCATATGGGCCTGATTTTATTAAAGTTTATAAATGGACAGGTATCTTTCATCGGACAGGTGTCATCTTTCATTGTAGATTCATGCTGAAGAGATTTTGCTTTCCTGAATTGCAATCTCCAAATTTACCATATAAAGAATGTTACTTCCATTAAAGCTAGAAGGATTTCCTAAAAACATCTTTAATCAAAAGGCAATTAGCATTGTTTTCCCCACCTATCAATCCTCTAAACCAGGGAACTTCAAATATCAAAATGTGTCAAGTTGCCTCAGCAGTAGAAAATGGCTTAGCAGGCTACATACTTGCAGATTCAACATGCTGAGGCAGCATCAGATGTACCTCCGTGGCTCACCTGTCTTTGCCTGTAACTACCTAAGGGTCAGGCAATATAAAGGTAGAGATTATTTCCCTGAATTCATAGGCATTTTTCCCTTTCTCCTCCTTGCCCTCGACTCACACTGGCACTTCTACACATATATTTCTTCTCCATTTATAAACTGGAACTTATTAAAATATGTTTTACCACTTTCATGGTTAACAAATTTCTAGAAACAGAATCAGATAGCAATCAGAGATCAAAATGGATCTGGAGCAGTGAACAGGACAGGAAGGGTCAGGGACATAAGGCTTGGTATGCCAGGGATGTATGAGACTTTAGGGACAGGGATGGGGGAGAGAAAGACCAGCTTTAACAAGTTCAACCATGAAGAGGCTGGAATAAGCCACGGGTTCTCTATGGATACCAATCACACAACTATTAACTTTTGCTTCATCCCCAGCCCTATTCTTCTTATTTTTGGTATGGGGGGTGTTGGGGGGACAGAGTCTTGCTCTGTCACAGAGGCTGGAGTGCAGCGGCGTGATTTTGGCGAATTGCAGCCTTGACCTCCTGGGTTCAAGCTATCCTCCTGTCTCAGCCTCCCAAGTAGCTAAGACTACAGGTGCACACCACCACGCCTGGCTAATTGTACTGTATTTTTTGTAGAGATGAAGTTCCATCATGTTGCCCAGGATAGTCTTGAACCCCTGAGCTCAAGTGATTCTCCCACTTCAGCCTCCCAAATTATTGGGATTACAGGTGTGAGCCACTGCACTCGGCCGTCCAGCCCTACTGTATTTGTTTGTTTGTTTGTTTGTTTGTTTTTGTTTTGTTTTTGAACAGAATCTTGCTCTGTTGCCCAGGCTGAAGTGACTTGACCTCCCAAAGTGCTGTGATTATAGGCGTGAGCCAGGTGCACAGCCGAGTCCTGCTCTTTAGTAAAAAGGATAAGCTTAACAATTTAGCTGTTACCAGAAAAAGCAGAGAAAGACAATTGTTTCTCAAGGCTAGAAGAGAAAGTTAATCATTATTAATCAAGTGATTTGGAAGGGGTTGTTAAGGCATAAAGTACAAAAAAGTTTATGTTCTGTGAAGGTGTCAGGGTATGCCACATAAATATATCACCCAAGTTACTATTTAAGTAATAAGCACAACCTGACCGAGCTTCAGGAGTATAGCTTATTTGTGGAACACCATAATTTGTGTGGTCTAGTCATTCTGAAGCTTAGATGTTCATAAAAATCAGCTGGATTGGGCATTTATTTAAAATTCAGATACTTGCCACATCACGGCCAGGAATTAGAGCTTTTAACAAGTCACCTCCATGATTCTAGTGAACCACACTTTGAAAAATGCTATCATAAGGCTATATGATACTAAGGATGCAATGAAAATTTGGAGCTAAAAATGAGATCTTCTTCTACTAGACACATATTAAGAAAGCTAAATAAGCCCAGGCATGTTGGCTCACGCCTGTAATCCCATCACTTTGGGAGTCTGAGGTGGGCAGATCACTTGAGCCCAGGCATTCCAGACTAGCCTAGGCAACATGGTGAAACCCAGACCATACAATTTTTTTTTTTTAATTAGCTGAGCATGGTGGTACATGCCTGTAGTCCCAGCTACTTGGGAGGCTGAGGTAGGAGGATTGCTTGAGCCCAGGAGGTTGAGGCTGTATGAGCCAAGATCATGCCACTGCAATCTAGCCTGGGCAGCAGAGTGAGACCCTGTCTCAAAACAAAAAAACAAACAAAAAGCTAAATAAGTCAAGTAAAAAATACATAAATACTCTGGATTTCTCCAGTGTTACCTAAATAATTGGGAATACCACTATCTTTTGTAAAGAAAACATAAGTAAATATTTAGTTCATCTCATCCATTGTATAATACTCTGCCACCATATTAAATTTTTAGCAATCTTCAAAGAATGGCCCTCCCAAATCTCTCAAGCATTTTAATTATTATAATTAGAAGATAAAATTTCTATTTATTATCCAGGGCTCCCTATCACTGGGCACTAAACATCACTCTATATCACAAGCCACACTTAACAGCTATTATTTATTGTCAGTGACTGTTTTTATATGCATCATCTTATTTCTCATAATAACCCTTAAGGGTAGGAACCGTTAAAATTCCCATTTTACAGTTTAGGAAACTGAGGCCAAAGCCTTGGCAGAATTAAGAAGCTTGGTCAAGGTCATGTCAGTAGTATGACAGAGCTGGTGTTTGAATCCAGATCTTTCTGACTCCAGAAGCACCAGCTTTTAAGCTCTAAGTAATTCTGCCTCCACTGGGAGCCTTAGTTCATACACACCCTATGAACATGTACAGATAAAGCAAATATCAATACAAATTGCATAGCTTACTGAGGATACACAATCCCAGTAGAATAACAGGTCTATTCCACAAGAAATGACATAAAATCAAAATGTAATTATGCCTCTCCAAAATATAAATAAAAACTAAAATCTACATCAATATCTAGTGTTTGCCATTCTTACCAGACATGCTTTAACTATGGAAATAGTCATTCCTGTTGCCAGCACATGAACTATTTTTTGTTCTGTGTAGCTGCCACCTGAAACCTCCAATGTGTAGTATTTTCTGACATATTTTCTTATAACCACTAACACTTACATTTTTTTGCTGAATATTCCTAATACATTTAGCCTCCTACAGAAATTTCTGAGGCAAGCAAAATAATCTCTCCCAACCACTTACTACTACACACAAACCAAAGAGTTTAAAAAGAATAACAGTGACCACACAAATCAAAAAGGACACATCCCAACATGGAATTTTCTTTCACTTAGAATATAAAGCCAAACTAAAAACCTAAAGATCCTATAATCCAGCTTTTTTTTTTTCCTTAGCTGACTAAAGAAAACCACTTTACTCTTTAAAACAAACCTTAGCACCCTCAGGTCCTGAGGTTTGCTCTTCCACTTTCATATTCCTCTAGCATTGCAAGCTGGTCTGCTCTGCCTCCATCCCTGATTCTGAGGAGTATTTTGTGTTATTTTGGATATTACAGCTGCCTCTGCTACTAGACCATAAGCTCCATTAGCACAGGGATCTGTTTGTTGTCTCTTACAATAATCATAGTACCTGGCACAGGGAAGCCAGGTCATAAATGTTGTTGAATGAATTAATAAGTAAACGACCCATACAATTTAGTGACTTCTAGAGCTTGGTTCTTTCTTCTATGCTCACCATAATAATAGTTCGAGAATTATTGGGTGCCTCTTTCTTCTTTACTTCACTCAGGATTGAAGAGTCACTGTTTTCTCAGATGATCACCAAGTCCTTAGACCAGCTCTTCTCCATTCACACTTTGGAGAGCCCTTCTGAATTGCTAGCTCTCCTCCTGCTGGAGTGATAGAGGTAATTTCCAGTCAATGAAGGCTGGGAGAGCAGATATAGCCTCCAAATTAGGAAGGGAAGCCTAGATGGGGTGGAGGTGCTTTCTGCTGCTTGCCTTTCTCCTCTGAACAAAGTATGACTGGAGAGGAGAAGGAATGGGACTCTACTCAGCAATTAAGGTTTAGAAGGAAGACACACACTAAGTCAGGATGGCCACAGGGGGCCTTGACTCTGCTGCAGCTATGGACTTGGTCATGTCTAGAGTAGATGGGGGTCTGGGCACGGTGGCTCTCATCTGTAATCTTAGCACTTTGGGAGGCTGAGGTGGTGGATCACTTGAGAACAGGAGTTCAGGACCAGCCTGGCCAACACAGGGAAACCTCATCTCTACCCCCCGCCAAAAAAAATTGGCTGGGCGTGGTGGTACATGCCTGTAGTCCCAGCTACTGAGGAGGATGAGGCACAAGAATTGCTTGAACCTGGGAGGTGGAGGTTGCAGTGAGCTAAGATCACATCACTGCACTCCAGCCTGGGCAACAGAGTGAGAACATGTCTCAATAAATAAATAAGATTAAAATAGAGGAGATGGGAACTTAGCGGGCATGAAGACCCCTATTTCTCCACCTGGTGATATGTCCCAGCTGTTGCTGCAGGGGCCTCAGGAGATCTCTTGCTTCTCTTAATTCAGAGTTGTATATTCAGCAAAAGGTTTCCTTAATATTACTTAATATTATTTCCTCTCCCTCTTCTCCTACTCAGGTCACAGTCCTCTTTATTTACTTCTTTCTTCCTTTCCTCCTTCCTTCTATATTGTGACAGGCAAAATTATTCATTTTATTTTTCCTCTGTTCAATGGCACTGGCCATAGGTCAGCACTTTAACAAATTTGTATCAATCTGATAGTTGGAAAGAGAACTTTAGCAATCCAACAGGTTAGTTTTGTTTTTGAAGGAAGAAGATGGTGTTTAAAGAAAAGTGTCAGATGATGGAAAAGGAAAATATCTCTTTCCAAATAGCTCAGTACTTCTAAGTCCTGGAGTCCATTCTTCCATTGTAAAGGGACTTCAGCCTAATTTCAGGAATAGTATTTAATGCCTCCTTTTGGAGCACTGTCACATTGTTCTTTTTAAAGCTTGTCCTTGGCTGGTGTTATGGCTCACACCTGTAATCCCGTACTCTGAAAGGCTGAGGCGGATCACTTGAGCCCAGGAGTTCGAGATCAGCCTGATCAGTGAGACCTCATCACTACAAAATATTTAAAAATTAGCGGAGTGTGGTGGTGTGCACTTGTGGTCTCAGCTACTTAGGAGGCTGAGGTGGGAGGATCACAGATCACTTGAGTCTGGGAGGTTGAGACTGCAGTGAGCTATGATGACACCACTGTACTACAGCCTGGGTGACAGCGTAAGACCCTCTCTTAAAAAAAAAAAGAAAAAAAGAAAAAATAAGGCTTGTTCTTTCTGGTAGGCCACTTGCAACACATTTGCTTTTTGTCAGTAACTCATATAGGTGGGGGTGAGCATAGAGGGGAATTCATACAATAACATCATTTAACTCCCCCCCCTTAGTTTTAGCCCCTTTACCTCAAAACATCATTGTTTTAGTTAACTTCTCAATTGTATGTCCCATCCTACTGCAGGAAAAAGCAGACTTTCTCGCCAACTGTACTTCCTGTATTGCAACTGCACCTTCAGACAATGCTCCTGGCCTATCGCCTATCTCCTGTCTCCAAGCCCTGAAAATCTCACTTCATTTGGGGTTTCAGTTATAGCTTTCAATTACTTGTTTCTTGCTGTAACCTTACCTGTATAATGATTCTAATAAATCCTCCTTTTTCTTCAGCTAGTTTGAGTAGATGACTGTGGAATATAATAGGAAGTTAAAGCGTTTAAAAATTTTTGAGACCACCTAGACACTCAAAATGAGTTCAGATTTCCTACACTCTTGAATGATACCTGAGGGTCTTAAGAAAATATGCAGTTAAGATTGAACTGTTGAACTCCAACAAAAATCCTTTCCAGAACAAGTCAATGAATATAACAAATAAATAAACATATTAAGAAATAATTTATTTCTGAATATTTGCAGATGTAAGTTCAGACCATAAACATTCTGAGTAATTCTAGTTAAATGTCTTGGGGTTGAGGGGGAAAAGGTGAATTCTGGAAATCATAGGACGGTAAAAGAGACATTGAGCCTAGATAAGATTCTAGAAAGTGATATGTAGTAGAATGCCCATTACATCCTCCCATTCCCATGATCACTTTAGAAGACTGTTTCTGCCTACAAACACCAAAAGAGCAGCCCTCCATTACAGGTGAATCCTTGCCCTTCACCTGATGACACTGACACCTAGTGACATAGAGGTGTGTGCTTTTGTTTCCATGCTTAGTTATCTTTAAAGCTCTTGAATTCTGTGAGAAACCCCCAAGAGCTGTACAATTAATTTCCCCCTTTTTAAGGCTTATCTGAGTAGCTTTGTGGCCCTTGAAATTAAATGAAATCTGATAGGCAAGTGAAGGAAAGACCTGTGCATACTTAGAAAAGGATGACATAATCTCTAGAAGCCAGCACAGTGTCACCAAGACTAGCCTAAATTTATATTTCTTTTGTAACAGGGTTAATAAACGATAGCTCAGTTGCATGGTGGCTGTTGGGGATGTTATAGATTTCTCGTTTCCACCTGTCTGGTATCTATTTGCCTTCCTGTCTTACTAGTTCTCTACTTTTACACCGGTAACCAAAAAACCTTCTTTGCATGCAATGTTTTTTTTTTCTATTGTTTTGTTAAAGTTTATTTTTAAAAATATTTGATACATATCACAAAAATAATCTAACATTTATATTCCTTATAAAATGAACATCTGTGAATCCACCAATAACCATAATGTTACCAATACATTGTATCCCTCTAAATATTTCTGTCCTAACTCGACTTCTTGCCTCCTCCCTCACCGCACCTCCTCCCCACACCAGGTAAGCAAGCAAAGTGTCCTCTACTACCCTAGCCAAAGGGTAAGCACCAAACATGGCGAAGCCACTCTCCCACTCTCTTTAGTGGCATGATAAATGCATGGAACAAAGTTTGAGCAAATTCATCATAATGAAGATATTCTAACCTAAAATGATGTCAATACCTGGAGGTGACACTGTTTTTGGGCTTTCTGAGATCTCATTCTCTAGCTTCTTCTTTATTTCTAGGAGCTACCCCATATCCTTCTATAATTTCTTTTTTTTATTTTAATTAACCAGCATTATTAAATACCCCACTTATCAAAGAACTCTCTGATAATATTAGTAAATGCAAATTTCATAAACCCTTTTTGATAAAGCTACATCAAGTATTTTTATAAATGAACTGCAAAAAATATGGATAGGATGAGAGTGAAATTATACAATAATGGTCACCTCTGGGGAAAAGTGGAAGAGGACTGGACCAGGGAAGGTGATTTCAACTGAATGTGCAATGTTTTACCTCTTATAAATAAATCTGAGGCAGTATAATAACATGTTAAGTAGTAATAAAGCTCCTAGGTGGCCGCTACATTATATTATTCTCTATAAATTTCTTTAGGTTTAAATAATAAAAATTTAGGTGAAAATAGGCGACTCTATCATGGCTCAACAACTGTGGCCATGGGAGTGCTGGTTAATAAATCAATGTTAACCAATATATTGGGAGGTGGGTGCTTTTTGGTTCTGCCTTGGACAATGCTTTTAAAAACAACTTGGAAAAACGTAAAGAAGCCATGAAATTTGTGAATGAACCAAGATGCTGAGATCAATAGCAAATGTGTTGAATAAAATGATCGCATACAAAAAGATGTTGGCAAAGTGGAATTATGGGCTGAATCTCACCGGCTTAAAAAAAAAAAAAAGAGAAAGGAAAACTCTACTTTGTGTACTTCGTACATGACAAGCACTGTTTTAAGTATTTTACATATATTACTTAATTATTGTAATAACCTTATAAGGTACATTATTATTACCTCTTTTTTACATGAGGAACTGAAGCAAAGGGAAGTTATATAATTTGTCCAAGTTTACAAAGTTAGTAAGTATTGGATCCAAATACTGACCCATCTTGGTATAACTCCAAAAACTCAGCTCTTAATCACTGTACAATACCAAGGTTAAAAAGGCGTATGCCTCAATATGTCCCAAATAAATGATACAATACACAATGGAGAAGACACGGCTTAACAGCCCACGTTTTAAAAACGTTTTTTGTTTTTGAGAATAAGCACAATATGGGTCAGCAGAGTGATTTGTAACAAAGTGACTGCCAAAAAAACATGCTCTATCTCAAGCTGCATTAATAGAAATATTGTATCAAGGAGCCATGGTCATGCTGTTCTGCACACTGCCTCAGCTCCCACCTGCTCTGTATATCACACATCAAGGAGCACATCCACAAAGACAATAGGCAGGGTTTGAGAGACCAAGAATCAACAATGGTTCCTAGGAAGAAAGTTTTAAGGACTTGGGACTATTAGCTTGGAAAATGGACAACTCAATTCAGGGGGCAGTCATGATAGCTGTCTTCATATATATATATCAAGTGCCACATGGAAGAGGGATTAGATTTTTTTTTGTGGTCTCAAGGGGGTAGAAAAAGAAACAATGTGAAACTTAAAAGGAGAGAAATGATGTTAAAATACCAAAAAGAACTTTGTAGTGGTCAAAACTGTCAGAAGATGAAATAGACTGTCTTGGCAAGAAGAGAGTTCCCAGGATATGGATGTGTCACAGCAGAAGTTCCTTGCTGGGGATGTTGTTGAAGCTTCTAATGGGACCATGGCTAGAAAGACCTCTCTGCTAACGCTAAAGCATACTGATTTGATGATCAACTCCATTAGTGTAAAATCATTGTCCACTTAGAGACCTATTTTTATGGTATGATTCTTAAGTGTCTCCCTGGTCAGTCCCCTCTCCCTTCCTCCAAAAAAAAAGTAGACAGCTTCCAGAATGAGAAGTCTAGGACCTTTGTATTAACCCAACTCTGTTACTAGCTTTATAATATTAAAGGAATAATTTAACATTTCCTCGCTTTAATTGTTTTCATTTATAAAGAAGGTCCCTCTATCTGTCTCACCTACCTCATCTGGATTTTAGTGAGTATGCTAGGCTGTCTCATGTAAAAGTGCTTTAGAAAATTACAACAATATGCAAGTATAATTTATAATGCCTACAATGTAAGTTCTGTTTACCATATATCTGGGACCCCCCCAACCTTTTCTGACACTTCTCTTATCCTTGGATTCTCTCTGAGCTTCCTTAGAATTTATGGCATTTTTGTTTGTTTTTGCTTGTCTTCTTCATTAATTTTACAAATCTTTGTTGTTATTGTTACATGTCAGTCATGTATTAGTTACTGTTCTAGCCACTGTTGGAAAATAAAACCTTGAAGGAGACAACATTTTCCTCAAGGTGTTTGCCATCAAATAAAGATCTCTACCAATACATACATAACATAATGCAAGGCAAGATATTTGAATGCCTTAAGAATAACATAGATAAAATGCTATAAAAGATCACAGGAGAGTGGGAATTCAAAGATGTTTGGCCCCAAGAATCACCCTAGGAAAGCAGGATATTCTCCTCTTTCTTTCTTATCCCCAAGTCTTCTGGGACACCATAGAAGCTGGTTCTCTTCAAGATTATGAATTTCTGCATTGGTGCTAACAAGTGGTCCAACTATCCAAGCTCTAATTTTTACTGCCTTTGCATTGGCTTGAGGAGAAAGGTATGGTTTTCTCTATTTATTTTCCTGTAGAAAGAGAAAAAACACTTTTTCCTATAGAAAGAGAAAAAACGCTGAAGCTCAGCAAGGTCAAGTACAAGTCATAAATTGTTATGTAAGGCAGACCCTCATCATTGTAACTATCTAGAGTTTCAGTGCACAAAACAAGGCCTGTTTCAAAGAGTGATTTATTACAAGTTTGCTTTTTTAGGTGCTTAATAATGCCCACCCAATAAGATGTTTGCTTTATCCTGGGATCAGGCTGACATCTCTTTTATGTGCAGAGATGGTGGAGCTGGTAGAGTGTAGGCTAAAAGGAAATTGCAAACACTGGGCAAGTAAGTTGTAACAGGTTCCATAAACTCCATTTGATATGATAGTTAAGTCCTAGAACACTTTCTGTAAAGCATCTGTCATTGGTTTGTCTGTGTGGAAAGATAAACACGAATAATACTGATTGAACCTTTAGTATATTCCAGGCTGATGCGTTTTATATGTATTGTTTCAATTATGATTATTCCCATTTAATAAACAAGGAAACTGAGTCAAAGTGATTGGGGAATTTTTCCAAAGTTACTCAGCTAGAAAGTGGCACAATCAGGGCCCGGCGCGGTGGCTCACACCTGTAATCCCAGCACTTTGGGAGGCCGAGGCGGGCAGATCACGAGGTCAAGAGATGGAGACCATCCTGGCCAACATGGTGAAATCCCGTCTCTACTAAAAATACAAAAATTAGCCGGGCATGGTGGCGTGCACCTGTAATCCCAGCTACTTGGGAGGCTGAGGCAGGAGAATCGCCTGAACCGGGGAGGCAGAAGGTGCAGTGAGCGGAGATTGTGCCACTGCACTCCAGCCTGGAGACAGAGCAAGACTCTGTCTCAAAAAAAAAAAAAAAGAAAGTGGCAAAATCAGGATTTGTATTAGGATTGTATAAAGAAGTCATATATGAATAAAGAAATAAATTATGTGTAGGCATACATTTAAACAATATATACATTTGTTTATACACATCTAAACACACACTTAAATTTACTTTCCCAAAATTATTTTATGTCACAAAAAATGGCCCATATAAAATAAAATTCAGAAAACAGACAAAGCCATGAGAAGGAGAAGTACGATAATCATGTAAGTTTAGTCTGTGATTGGTCATCAAATGTGAAAACAAAAAGGGAAAAGGGTCGTCCCTTTTTAATGCCATTTTGCCCAAGTAACCAACCATTGTTTTTATTTTCATAACCCTACATTATAAAAATTAAGTAAACTCCATGAAAGCTATGATTTTTTCTGATCATATTTTAAGTTTCGAGCATAACTAGCATTTAAAATTTCTTGGTATTTATTCTCAAATGAGGTAATAAACATTTTAAAAGTATTTCCAAAATGGTAAAATACTACATTAAAGTTAGCTCTAAGCCTCTTTTCCTTACTTAGCAGTGAGGCCCTACGGACCACACAGTAGAATGGAATTCTATTCTATCCCTTCTCCTAGGAGCAGGTAGTTTTCCTTTTCTGGCATCTGACATGCACAAGAGCACATGGAACCCTCTCAATAAATATTCTGCCAAAGAATATTGAAAAATGGCTTATGCTGGAACATGACGCCCAATGGAAATACGGTACCAATATATAATATGTGTTTAAAAAGGTGTCATTCTCTCAATCCGAAGGCCTGTGGACCTAACAATTTTCTAGTAGCAGTAATGACTCATAGGAAGTCACTGCAATACACTTTATGTTCTTCTGCATCAGTCTTGGTCAGTTAGCACCTTGCACTCTCAGAGGTGTCCAAACTGGAATGCAAAGTCCTGGGGCATGTGCTAAGACTCTATCATAGGAATCCACACTTCTATGGACTATAGAAGAAATTAAACTCTTATTTATTTTTTATCTCATGCTTTTAAATTTTGTTTTTGTAAATATATGATTTATAATAATAAATAATAATCTATGCAATGGTGCATTTTTTTTTTCTTTTTTGGTAGAGACAGTGTCTCTCTATCTTGATCAGGCTGGTCTCAAACTGTTGGTCTTGAACTCCTGGCCTCAAGCAGTCCTCCTGCCTTGGCCTTCCAAAGCACTGGGATTACAGGTGTGAGCCACGATGCCTGGTCCAGTGGTGAATTTTTAATGTGTACATGAATATACATATTGAGACTACATGCTCAAACATTTTACTGATAGCA
This sequence comes from Homo sapiens, assembly GCF_000001405.40. Classification (NCBI taxonomy): domain Eukaryota; kingdom Metazoa; phylum Chordata; class Mammalia; order Primates; family Hominidae; genus Homo; species Homo sapiens. Next base: position 107,520,237 of record NC_000003.12, read on the forward strand.
ATGTGTGATCTAAAAGTTTGAAGACCGTACCTCTAAATAATTCTGCTAAGCTAAGTGTAATTCAACAAAAATATCTTGTGACCATAAAAATATGAAGAATGTTTTCCTATGGTTGGAGGTTGGGGATAAGAGTGGGGAGTAGGATAGGCTTTTCTATTTTTCACAACATAGTTCTACTAGCAAATAATGCACAACACTTCACTCTGCAATTAAATGTAGCAACTCCTGTCGACTTTTTTTCCTTTTCAAAAAGGAGCACAGTGAAATTCTAAGAAAGTTTTTTTGGTTTTCCCTCCAATTCCCTCTTGCCTCTGAAGTTCATGATTTGGAGGGAAGGGTTGTCAAATTACTCAAAACCTGTGCTGGGTATTAAAAGTCCTCGGTTTAAGTTCCTTCTTCATTATCATTCTGTGCAATATGGAGCAGGCTATATAACTTGTCCCTGACTCATTTCTCCTATGGGTAAACTAGAGGTGATAATACTTAGCACTGACCTCAGAGCAGTGTAGTGTGGATAAAGAACATTTTGTTCCTTGTGTCAACTAAATGAAACTGCCATTAATAGACTTTTTTTTTTTTTTTGAGACGGAGTCTCGCCCTGTCCCCCAGGCAGGAGTGCAATGGTGCAGTCTGTACTCACTGCAACCTCCACCTCCTGGGTTCTAGTGATTCTCCTGCCTCAGCTTCCCGAATAGCTGGGATTACAGGTGCCACCACTACGTTCAGCTAATTTTTGTATTTTTAGTAGAGACGGGGGTTTCACCGTGTTGGACAGGCTGGTCTCGAACTCCTGACCTCAGGTCATCCACCCGCCTCCATCTCACAAAGTGCTGGGATTACAGATGTGAGCCACCGCGCCCACCCCTAATACAAACTTTGATATTATCTGTTTAAAATGCTGTGATTGGCTGGGCGCTGTGGCTCATGCCTGTAATCTCAACACTTTGGGAGGCCGAGGCAGGTGGACCACCTGAGGTCAGGAGTTCGAGACCAGCCTGACTAACATGGTGAAACTCTGTCTCTACAAAAATACAAAAATTAGCCAGGCATGATGGCAGGTGCCTGTAGTCCCAGCTTACTCGGGAGGCTGAGGTGGGAGAATCTCTTGAACCCGGGAGGCGGAGGTTGCAGTGAGCTGAGATCACGCCATTGAACTCCAGCCTGGGCTACAGGGTTAGACTCCATCTCAAAAATAAAATAAAATAAAATGCTGTGATTTTTTATATACTTTTCCTTTTAAAAATGATTTTTCTAAAAAAATAAACATCACATTTCTAAATACCACTTTGTTTTCTGAACTTTTTAAACTTTTCTGATTTTGTTTCTCTTTCTCCCTCTTACACAGGAGTGCTCACATGCACACATACACTCTTTTAACAACTTTATGGATGCGAGAGAAAAACCTTAAGACAGCATCAAGGAAATAAAAGGGGAACTGAAATAAGTTGCCCTAGTTGGGTTTTCTTTAAGTTTTAAAGCTACTTACCTAGGCCATAAAATCGTAGTGTTTATGTAATCTCCAAAATGTTTGTATTTGAGAATAATTCACCAACTCTTAAAACGGAAGGAACCCTAAGAAAACATCTAGGCCTAAGATAATGCCTGACACATAGTAGATGCTGAATAAACATTTAATTGAGGGAATCTGGAAAAGCTTCTTATTTTAATCTTAAAAATCAAAACCAAGTCTGAGCATTGGAGAGGTTAAGTAACTTGCTCAAGATTGCTCAGCTGGTTAAAGAGTTTAATCTACAATTTATTCCTTCTAATTTCCAGCTTTGACTTCTTTCCACCAACCTGTTGACTTATGTGTATTGAACTGTCTCATATAATCTTCTGAAGTTGCATTGTTGAAAAACAATCAGAAAGACCAGTCCTGAGGTTCATCATCTCCAAAAGTCATGCAACATATGATGTTCACATGAGATGTGAAATATGTAAAGAGTCATATATTTTTATATATAATATGCAAAATATAAATCATGTATATATTGAATCAAAGGTCTGTTTTGAAGGCTAAGGGTCAATAGCCAATCTTCCATGACTTATTTTACCTAACAGCACAGTTTGCATGTCCACACAGGTGATGGCAGTCCACTGACCAGTTAAAAGTTGTTTGGCTATTTCAGCAAAATGTTTATCTTTGTGTGTTGTTATATTGATTTTTTTGAATCTACCTACGAATGAGGCACTAACAACCTCAATGCATTAGAGTCCTGATAAACTTATCTTGCACTATTTTGGCCTATGTGATAGCTAACCCATTGACAAAAGAAATCCAAGGTGATAAAAGCCTTTCTTGGCCACTTGTTAGCCGGGTCAGGCTGTAAAATCGTAACACAATGCAGGCCTCTTCCATGGGGCACCAAAAGGCAGCGATGAAAAACCCCCCTCACTTCCATATCCAGTGGAGTTGTAGTTTATTACCATAACCCTCCCAAGTCAAAAGGACACCAGTTTCAAGCCTTGCAACTTGGTGCAGACAGGGGTTTTCCCCTTTACCCCACTCTGCTGGGCCTCTTTACCTGTCCTCTCCTACTGTCTACAGGTCCCGAACATTAGAAAATAGAAAATGTGATGATCTTTGTGTGTCTCTGTAAAATGTGTGTATGTGTGCGTGTGTTTGGGTGTAACGGGCCTCTTGTTTGGCTGCGCGGCCTGTCCGTCACTGCGCGGGCCAATGGCAGGCTGCCTTATATAAAATGAGTGTTTTCAGTCTCTCCGGGTTGCATGTACTGTATGTGGAGCAGTGTACAGTGAAGCGGAGGCAGAGCGGCTCCGCGAGCTTCTCTCCACTTTCCCATAGAGAAACCCTGACTGGCCGCTGAGGGCTAGCTACACACACGCCCTCACGCCCGGCGAGCCCGCGAGGTAGGCGCCCCCCATCCCCAGCCCTCCCTGGGCGCACTCCCCTCACTTTCTGTTTTCCTACTCACTTGCGAGCCGCCGGGCTGCAGCCCCAAGGACTCCGCGGCAGGAGCAGCGGCGGCGGCGGCGGCGGCGGCGGCGGCAGCCGGTAGGGTGGACTTGAGGAAGACGGAGGGAACCCCGCGCGTCCGGAGCCGCCGCCAGCCGGCCCGCTCCCTGGGCACTTTCCCCCTCCGCCAAAACTTTGGGTCGGGAGAGGTCGGGGGCGAGGGTCGCGGCGGCCGCGCCGGCTGGGGCCGGGGGGCGGGGGGCGCTGAGGCAGTGCCCTGCGAGCGGGAGGCTGGGGGCCGGGCTGGGGAGTAGTAGGCCAGCCGGTGCCAGGCTGCGTTTGCAACCAGCACCTCTCGGCACACAGGCAGCGCCGCCTGAGAGGGGCACGGGCGCCGGGGCGCGGGCTGGAGCGGCCCCAGGAAAACAACAACAGAGCCCTCACGCCGGCGGGCGGCTCGTGGCCGCCCGGGGAGCCCCAAACTTCATCTCGGCGAAAGTACGTGGAGCCCTGCCTGGTCTCGGCTGCCGGGGAGGTGGGGCCTGGGGAGCAGGGGCAGTGGAGGAAGGTACGAGGAGCCAGCCTTCGGTGGATTTATTGAACGTTTCGTCTGCGTTGGTGACCGGGAACAGCAGCCCAGTTGCTCGTTCATCTGGAGAGTTGGGATTTGGGTGTTCCGGCCCCGCAGATCAGTGCCCTCTCACCCCCCACCCCTACCCAAATGCGCGGCGAGTAGAGAAAGTGCTGTTTTAGTGCCAGAGTAGCCTGGAGGAAGAATAGGGGGAGAGGGGGAAGAGGGCGAGGGAGAAGGGGAGAGAGAAGAGGGAGGGAAGGGGGGGGAGAGAGGGAGACAGAGAGAGAGGGAGAGAGAGAACGGGAGGGAAGAGAGGAGGGGGAAGAGGAGGAGGGAGGCTGTGTCAGGATTTTGCTTGAATGTGGGATTATGTTGTGTCAATAAGTTTAAGGTGGAGAGAGCGAGGCTGAGGGTGGTGGTGGAGGGGAGGAGGAAGGCCTTGGCCGTTTAAAGTCTTATTTCTGAAGGTAAGTTACGGCTTTGCCTGGTCGCGATGACAGAAAACTTGCAGATCCTTTATCCGGGGATGGGGTCGATGCCTCTAGAAAGAGCTCCCTAGCCCTCTTAAGCCACACTCGTGTTACACTGTTATTTGCTGCGATCCGGGTCGCTAGTAAATTACAGAAATCAGACTCGAGGTTTCTTTTCCTCCTCCACCTCGTCTCGCTCACTCACCCTCTGAAATTTATTATCATATTTTATTTATTTTTTGGTATTGTATGAAACTTAACATAACTGAGACCGAACCCGAGTCCTGTAATTTACAAGGACCCTGAATCCCAGAATCTGGAACACGTTTATGTGTGAAATAGCCGCGATCATTTCTGCTAAATGAGGAAGGTAAAACGAAACGATGCAAAAAGCTAAGACACAACATGTACGACAGAGGGGGGGGGGGGGAGAGGGAGAGACAGAGAGAGAAGCTATTTTTTGCTTTCCTTTCTGTAGGAAGGAAAATAAAGCGTGCATTCCCCTTCCTTCCCAGTGTGTAGGGTCTAGTCAATATTTTAACTGTCTGTGGACAAATTAGTCCAGGTGGATCTTGTTGAAAAGTTTCGCGAGGTGGGGTGGAGGTGGGGGGGGGGGCGAAGGGGAAGGTGGGTGGAGGTTGTGGGGGATGGGGACGGAGCGAGCTCTGCCTCTGCTAATGGTCATTGGCCTGGGGCTTTGAAACCATTGCCTGTCCTGCTAATGACACGTCCAGTTCTCTTCTCCCGGCCGCGGACGCCGGGCTGCCGTTCCCGGGGTGGCTGACTGGGACTGGGGTACTTTCCCCGCGCGGGGAGGGGCGTTCTTCGCCATCTCCTGGGGTTGCCCACTGGCGGCGTGGGGGCCCCCACGCGGCCCCCCGCCCCTGCGCGCCGCCGCCACCTCTGCTCGCGCGACTTTTGTAGGCAGCCAGCGGCCCAGGGGCGCCGGGGGTCCCCGGCGCCGACGTCCCCGCGCGGCCACCCCGGGTCCGGCCCCACGCGCTCTGCGCCGCGCGGTCCAAGCCCGGAATGGCAGCGCCGGGCCGGGCGCCGGCGGTGCCTCCCTGGGGGGCAGCGGAGGCAGAGGCAGTGGCGGCGGGATCTTCGCCGGGGCCCGCGGGAGGAGGAGGAGGAGAGGGAGAAGGAGGAGGGGAAGAAGGAGGAAGAGGAGGAGAGGGAGGCGTTTTCTGCCCAGACCGCCGCCAGTTCGAGCAGGCACGGGCACGGGGACACCCCACTCGTTGCTCCTCCGTTATGGAAAGGTGTTTAGCAGACTTTTACGCCCGGAGTGTGGTATTTGCACTTCATTTTTTCTTCCCCCCTCTTTCCCAAAGCAAGATGGACTCTATTCCCTTTCTCTTTCTCCCACTGCCTCTGCCTCTGTCTTGTCAGCCTTTAAGATCGACATTTTGTACTAAGATGCAAACTTGATGGTGACCAGCAACAAAGCCGGGGTGGGATCCCTCGCTCTCTTCCTCCCTCCTTGTTTCCTAGCTCCCCCCACCCCGACCTCGCAGACCTGGTGGCCCTGCACTTGCCGCTGTGGGCTTTGGCGAATGTGTTTTCCCTGGTCGGTTCCTATCTCCAATCTGGGGATTGTGACCCGGGCTGGGTGTTTGGGAGACGGCAGTGGCCGCCCAGGTCTGAAAGGCTGAGGGCTTCGATACCTGGACCCGCTGCCGCCGCGGTGGCACCTCCCGCCGTCTCCTGGGCAAGGCGAGGCTCGGGCTGCCTATCGATCCCTATGATTTGGTTACTGGTGTGTTTGTCCTGGGGGCGGTGATCACTTGTGCAAGTTGATGAATGATCGCGGTGTGGTTTTTGCGTTTGCAGAATGGATCAACTTTCTGCTTTGTACATGTGGGGAGTAGGAAGCGAGGGTACGGGAGATACCCTAGAATGCCAGTTGGGTTGCCCCCCAGCCTCTGCCCTTTCAATACGGGGAGCTTCTTTGCCTTCTGTTCCCACAGTTCTCCAGTGTCGGGGGGTGGTAGAGAAAGGGGAGGGGTTAGTGGGAGCTGGACTCCTGGGTTTTGGTACCTTCTCTTCATAGATGTTACAGGACTTGGGACTGTACTATTGTAAAGCCCTACTATACTGATGATGTACCTTTATTTGATACTTTATAGGTCACTATCATATGACAAAGGCTTTGCCGCAGTTCATCTTCCTCCCTGTGTACTTTCCATTTGCCTTCCTGGGTAAGTATGCAAACTGTTCGTACAGGGAAGCAGGATGACAATTAGTAATGACATAAGGGTCTTTATTGTTCACAGAGGAAGATGCTTTATTGGGGTTACAGCACCCCAGAAACCTTGTCTCACTGAGTTTCCCACAGCATAAGTCAGTTTATGATTCTTAGTGTTTAGAATTCAGCTGTGGGTTATTATTAAGATAGTAAATATTCATTTTGTGTTTATCTACAAGTAATTGTCGTTTCAAAACTTATTCTCAAATAGACATTTTAATTTATAATGAAATTTTACATGGCATTGAAGGTCTAGTAAATTTAATGCTAGACAATACTATAGGAAGAGTGCAGTGTATGAGTGGAGAGAATTATTAAAAACCCAAGGAAGCATTGTGCAGAAGTCCTCTAATTATAGTGACTGACATTTGCTTACTCTCTCTCAAGTTCTCTTTCTTGAGTAACCTGTGGTGTTTGTAACAGTTACTTTTGGGGTGGGGAAAGGTGGGATTGGCAGTGTGGTAAATCTAGCGTTTAGTGCACTAATTTGATTCAAAATTGATCATAATTTCTTTTAAAACTTACATGTTTGGAGAAATTAGGAACAATTCGGTAGCCTGTAAATTTAATAAACAAAGACTTTGAGATCTGTTGTTAAGTGCCTTTTTCAGATATATGACTCCCAAGTGGAAAAATCTGCAAAATATGTGTGGGACAGTAAGTGTGTGGAAAATTTGTGAGAGGTAACAGTGTGGGTAAGAACTGAGGGTTTACAGAGCATTTGAAAGCAGCACAGTGAGCCTAATCTGCAGAAAACCACCTTGTAAGTTTGCCCCTCCATTGTAAAGGAACACCCCAGGTACTCTTGAGTTGTTGATGTTTGGAAACTAGTACTAAATTGTGTAAATCAGCTGTAGTGCTTTGTAATATTACCATAGTGAATTTAGAGATTGTATTTTGTGAATGAAAATGAACTTGAACTTACTTTTCTGTGAAAGAAAATTTAGAGACCTCATCTGTGGTGTTTCCTGGATTGCTGACATAATGTGTACATTAACAAAATTATTGTCTTTGTATTAAGAATATAAAACTGTTGTCTTAGTATTGAGTTAGAGGACTAGACCTTTCTGGTAGTGTCCATTTGGTAACAAAATATACTTTCATGTTATTGAAGACTTTAGATAATCTATGTAAGTTTTGCATTGAACATTTAGAAAATCTAGAGAACTTTAGATAATCTGTATATGTTTTGCATCGAACATTTTCTATGGAATATAAATATTGCATTACTGCTGATAATTAGGTGGTTTGTTCACTAAGAGCTCAGAATACATCACATACATAGCAGGCCAATCGGAGTGTCAAAATGAGAAGGTTCTATAAGTTGAATTTAGTGCACACTAAAATACATGGATTTCATTGTCTTTGAGTTTTTTTAAAGCTTGTTTGAAAAGTTTCATTTTGGGCAAGAGTATTCAAAATGCATTCTTGATTACTAAAGAACACCACATTTATACTGTTAGGCACATTATTTTGTTCATTGCAACAAACTGTTAATATTCCTTCCCCATGGAAATGTGTTTGACCAATTCAGAAATTAATATGATAGGTTAGTAATGTTGAGAATAAAAGTCTGATAAGTGCTTGTATTTCTTTGAGATATCAAGTGACTGCTTCATTAAAACAATATTTTCAAGAACAGTCTTGGACTTTGAAGTCAGTGAAGTAGTTCTGATAGTGTAAATCTTGTAATAGTGATCTAAAAAAAGTCATTTTGACAATGAATTGCCAGTTATTGGCATCTAAAATGTATCTATTAGATTTGAGGCTTACTTATCAAAATAAGAATTTAAAGACGTTTTTGCTTCTCCATTTCCAAGTGTTTCCAAACTTCCCATTTTATTATTCTGCATGTCTCTGTTAGGTTCTGAAACTGAAGCCCTAGTTTGCATTTCACATTTAATGCTAGCTATTGAAAAGGTGGCTCATCTATATTGTTTCCTAGTGTTACCTCTTTGGAGGTACTGTGGCAGTTTTAGGAAAAATCTTTCTCTAGAGACATAGATGTTTTTTAAAATTTGCAATTTTTGAAACATTAAGAAAATGTATCTTGATCTTCGTATCCATTTTTTTGTTCAAGGTATATGAGTTTTTGAGATAGCTGTGCTTTTAACATACTTTGAAAATGGTATATATAGCACTTTTGACCTTATAGATCTGATTTTTATACTTAATCCATTAAAACAGATTCATGTAGACATTGAATTTAGAACATATCTTTGAATGAAAATGAGGTTGCACATATGATTACGATTGGCCTGTGCCGTAAGTAACTACGTAGTTGATAAGTTTTCTGTATGTTGTAAAAATAAATAGGTCTGAAGATGTTGTGCAACTCATGAAAATCTAACTCAGTAGCTAAAATATTTATAAAGCCACACTTTTCAGTAAAATCACAGGCAATTTTTAATTACTAGTCAATAGTCAGCCTACTAACAGTATATGTTTTCTTACATTTCATAAAGAACATGGGTAAAAGCAAGGGGTATATTTTTAAGTAGATCTTGTCATGAATTTCAATTACTTTTATATTAGAAATCTTTAATAGAAATGGTAAAGGCTTCACAGCTCTATACTACTAAAAAAAGAACTTTTTGAAAACAGTTCCATTACAGATGTGCCTTTTTGCTGTACTACAGGAAGTCCCTGAAGTTATTATTAGTGTCTTAAAAAAGTATATAAAATGTTGACAATTGTTACATCAAATGCTCCAAATTACTAAATATAGGCATTAATTTTAACATATTACATTACCACCAACGTGGCATACCTGTGCTTTAAGATTTAACCTTAAGCAGGTGCTTAACTTAAGAGGAAGATGCTTTTCTTGAACTTGTACCTTGAAGTCCATCTCATTGTTTAACATTTCACCACTGAGGGTACCTTTTGAAATGGGCCTGAGTGGTATCTCTCCTGTATTTTTTGTCAGATTCCTTCTTGTCACTATGAAATGAAAACAAACTCAACTTTACTAAGGACATTGTAATCTTACTGCTTTGTTTTTATCGTGTGTCCCAGGGAAATCAGATGCAGGCAGTCCTCAGTACACTGAGCAACACTGCTATGAAGGGAATAGGTAAAGAGAAAGACTGAGACTGAATGGAGGCTCTTCCAGCTTGAAGATTCTGTGACTGTCATTCAGTCACTGGGTGTTGTACTACCTCAAGGGTAGTCATCACATACTGTGTCTAATTGTCAGTATTTCTGTATTTTAAGTCATACCTGTGGAAAGCACTTTTTGATTACAACTTCGCTCAATGTTCATATGTGATATTATCCTTTAGAAGGCAGTTATATTTCCTTGAAATGCCAGTACATCATTTTAAAACTGTACAGATATACCCAGAAAATCCTCATGTATTAATGGGGATTGTCTTCATTTTTTTTTTTTTGCTTTCAAGGAAACAGGTAAGAATTGAAATAAGTGCCAGTTATGTGAGAGAATACAAAAGAAGCAAGCCAGTAAAGAATTTCATCTAAAAGTATATATAAATAGAAGATGAGAGAATGAAAGACTTAAAAGATTAAATGTAGACCATGAAGCATTGATATTACCAAATGTACCAAAATGTAAACTTAATAAGTTAAAATATGTAAGTTCGAGAATCTAGATAGTGAAATGACTTCAGATAATGAGAAGGTTTGTATAAAATGCAAAGTGACAGGCTAGGTTTGGTGGCTCACACCTGTAATCCCAGCACTTCGGGAGGCGGAAGCAAGTGGATCACCTGAGGTCAGAAGTTTGAGACCAGCCTGGCCAACATGGTGAAACCTTGTCTTTACTAAAAATACAAAAATTAGTCAGGTGTATTGGTGGGCACCTGTAATCCCAGCTACTTGGGAGGCTGAGGCAGGAGAATCCCTTGAACCTGGAGGTTTCAATGAGCTGAGATTGTGCCACAGCACTCCAGCCTGGGCGACAGAGCAAGACTCTGTCTCCAAAACAAAACAAAACAAAACAAAACAAAACAAAACAGAAAAACACAAAGTAACAATGAGAATGAATTGGATTTTATGAAATCTTAAAAAATTAAAAATATTTTAAAATGTTGATTAAATAATTAAGCCAATGGTTAAACATGGTCCTCGGATGAAAAGTTCAGGGAATAAAACAAACTCCTGGAACAGAATAACTGAACTCTTAAAAGGAACATACAAGGTTGCATTTTTTGTAATAGGAATAATTAAATAAAAGGCCAATAACCTACTTTAGAGGAGAAATAAGAATGGGGTAAAAATTATTCAAAACAGCTGTATTTCTCAAATACTTTTGACTGAGGTATATTATAAAAAATACCTTTAACATCCCAATCCACATAAAAGAACTGAAACAAGTTTCCTGAAACAGGACAAAGTGCAGTGCCCTCTGATATTTTCTATTCCTAACTAATCTTTATAAATCCAATCTGTTTCAAGCCATTTTATTAAACAAAAAATACTAGGTATTATCTATCAAATTGATTTCATGACTTATAGTTTGAAAAACACTGGCCTAGAGTGCCTGCTTGCCTTCTTAGAAATGGAGGTCTCTAGGCCTCATCCTTTGATATTCTCATTCAGTGTTTCTGGGGTGGGGCCATGGAATTTAGATTTTAGCACATGTAGCAGGTGATTCTAAAGCAAGTAGGAGGTCCTCCAATTGACTTTGAGAAACCTCAGTACAAAGGACAGATGGCCTAAGATTGGATGTTCTGAATGTGGGGCTGAAGTTCATTGACTTTATGAGGTGTCTTGCATCTTCACCATTCTTTGGCTGTATTTCAGTCAGTATGTTTGCAATACTGAGGAAGGTCCTCATCACCCTCTGTAGGTGCTCCTGTAGTAGAAGGTGTAGTACAAGGAACAGAGGCCGTACCACCAAAGAGCTCTAGGTTCCACTCCTGCTGCCTCTATTGCTTATTAGTTGCGGGACTCTGAGCATGTTACCTCACATCCCTTAAACTTTTATTCTCATATGTGCACAATGGGTATGGTAATGTTTACCATGCAATAATATGGGGATTACACAAGACAGTAATGAATGTAGGACCCTTATTCACAGTTAGCGCTCAATATATAGTCTCTGTTTTTGTAATTACATCTCATCTCACCCTACCCTCCACTGTTTGAAATTTCTGAAAGCCTTTTAGTTTTTTTTTTTTCTCTAAAGTGATTCTCACCTCTAGTTATCATGAAACATGGGTATGTTTTTAACTAGACATGAGGTGCTGGACAAGTAATTTGTTAGGGAAGGAAATAATAAGAGTAACCAGAAGGAGAAAAGCCAAGCACAGCTGAGGCACGCCACAGTAAAGTACAGTCCTCCTTCAGGTTTGGGGAATGATTTTCCCACCTCTTTAAAAAAGTAGAGTATGGGATGAGAGAACAGCTCTTTTCATATTTCACGGTAGTTCTCCCTTGTCAGCACAGGGCATTCTCTCTGGTGACTTATAGATATTAGAATGTCTTAGAGTATCAGTTCTCAAACTTTCTTCCGTCAAGACACATGTGTAATCCCAGCCCTTTGGGAGGCTGAGGAAGGAGGATTGCTTGAGCTTAGGAGTTTAAGACTAGCCCGGGCAACATAGTGAGACCTTGCCTGTACTAAAAATAAAAACAAATTAGCTGGGGGTGGTGGTGTGTGCCTGTAGGCCCAGCTACTCGGAGGCTGAGGTGGGAGGATCACTTGAGCCCGCACGGTTGAGGCTGCGGTGAGCCATGATCGTGTCACCGCACTCCAGCCTGGGTGAAAGAGCAAGGTCCTGTCTCAAAAAAAAAACCAAAACAAAAACATGTGACCAATGTTTACATATGGGACATTATGATTTCCCCTGGTTAACAGACAGATAAATTATGCTGTGAGTTTTATAGGTAGTTCACAGTGTGATAAAGCCACTCCTTTTTTAAAAAAAGTCAAGAAAGGCATATCAAATTGCAAGTGAGAATGGTGCTATAATGAAAACTTCGAATATACTTAATAAACACATGGAAAATTGTAAATTATGGTACTTTAATTGTTCTAATTGGGGTGTTCCTCATAAACAAAACCCATCCTTGTGTCAAGGCATGGAGATTGAGAAGTGTTACATATGTAGTGCTTAACAAATTACATTGCACAAAATAGGCACTTGAAAAGAGGGGCAAGCTAAGGAGAAGATAAATGGGGAATACATTAAATCCCTGAAATCTCAAAACAATGTGAAAACCAAAAGCTGGGGAAATGTACAGAAAATACAGAAGACTACAGGTATCAGGGTTTTCAAATGGTACTGTCGTACTCAAATACACATTGACACAAAAATTTAAGTAGTCTCAACAATCATTAAATTTATGTGAATAAATCAAAATTAAGTGACTTTGGCATTTCCTAATTTTTAAGGTTATATTTGCCAGGAACGTCTTCCCACTTTGCTAAATTTTAATTTGCCATACGTTTTTGATCTCCGGTAAATTAATAAGCTCTCTATATTTTGAAAACGCCTCAGTACTTTGATGTAGTAGTATTGGAAATAGATTCACAATCTTTTATCTAAAAAGCTCTGAAAAACTAAAAGTTTTTTTTTTCCTTCAGAAGTGTGGTATCAAAACTCATTTGGTAGCAAAACCTAACCCATACTGTCATGGGATTGTTTAAAGTAGTTTTCAAGCCTGCTTAGAATATTCACATATTTTGCTGGAAATAATAATATTGATTAATTGTGAGGTATTATCCTAGATATAGCTAGGAATGTTATGTAATATGTGCTATAGGTACCATTTTGCCTTTTTAAACCCCACAAAAATCTGAATCCTGAAGCATATCAGGACCTAAGGGTTTTAAATAAGGGATTGTGATCCTATTGCATTAACTTCCTTGGTTGGTAGAGTGAAATTCTCTGATATGCCTAACCACTTAACCCAATGAAAAATTATTTTGCTAACTTTGATCACTGATCATTGAACAATTTAAGTTCCTTGCCAGCTAACAAATGATGAAAGATTTTTTAACATTATATATTACCTCAATCAGACTGTCTGCTGAAACCCTGTGGCTCCAAATGTACAGGTGTAAGGCATAAGGATATAAAGTCAGGTAAGCAAAATGGTAGTCATTGACATCATTTGTACCATCTAAGTTGAGCCAAGTTAAAGGCTTCTGGGTAAGGAAAGCTTAAACTCAGGCAGAACCTGGTTAGTTCACATTTCACTGAACCTCTTATATTCCATTTTGACGTGATGATTCCTTTGTTGTTGTTTTTAGTTTTATTAAACACACACTAAAATCTGCATAACATTTGAAACCTGTACCATGTTGAAAAATGTTTCTTATGTTTCTTATGTAATTATGAAAGGCTACTTTCATTAATGGTTTATTGTTATTAGAGGTTATATTTCCTTTATTATACTGCTACCTGCACATTTTTTTTTCCATCTATCAGGAAAATAAAAATAGACAGTGTTTTCTGTAATTTAGTCTGTTCTCAGATGAGAATGTTTTCAGGTTATATTGTTTTGTAGAGGTTCTAGATACCTTTATTTTCAATAATTAATTATGAAATGTTCAGATCTTGCCTTTTAATTTCCTATAAAACTACTTTAGAAAAATGAAAAATATGTCATGGGGAAGAGTCTATATGGCAATCTAGGAATAAAGTAATAGCTTTATCTGATTTGTTATGGTAAGACTTAAGTCAGTCTTCATTTGATATAGACTGGAACTGTTAATGCTAAGGAATTGTTTATTGATAGGGCTTTCATTATTTATTTACATGACTACATTCCTTGGTGTAGGAAAGCCACAGATTAAGTAATTCAGAGGGACTCTTATTAGCAATGCTGATTCTTTTAATATTAAAAATGCTGGCTTGTTTTTCAGCTTTTGGTGCACCTCTCAAAACTCACCCAAGTGTAGAGTTCTCATGGACTGCAGAGGGAATGTGGTGGAGCATGGAACAAAATGAGAAAATAATTCTTTACATCCAGCTGTCAGACTTTGATTATCTTTTGAGTTATTGAAATTATCATTTTCTTTCTTCCCTCCTAGGGTTTCCCTCCCTTCTTTTCCCTCCCTCCTTCTCTTCTTCTTCCTCTCTCTCATCTCTTTTTTTCTCTCCCAGTCTATTATGTTTGGTAATGTGCATCTGTGATACTGCATAAAAATATTTTAGAATGGGAATAGGGAGTTGAGCTTTCCTTTTTTAAAACACCTTTGTTTGAGTTTAAAGATCGATTTGTAGTTTTTGAGTCCTTTTGGTATTTATCACTGCCTATATAAAAAATTGTTGATAAATGAGCTTGAGACTTATACACATCCCTACATATGAAAGTGTCAGTTAGGAAGGGATTATAAGGAACCTTTATCAGGGCTCTGTGAAATTAAGGCACCTGTTGTTTTTATGAAATAATGGAAATAAACTCCTTATCCAAACATTTTCAGTTTTAGGTTGATAGAATGACTACACAGTTTCATTTAAACTTCAGGAAAGTTGAATGCAGTTTTTAGAAGTTTCCCAAAGAGTATTTTACACTAGGAGGAAGGGAGAAAGATAATCTGGACTAAGGGCTGCCTTATGAGGCCCAGTTTTGTTTTTATTACTTTATTTTTCACAACAACTTTCTGATGATAAATACTCGATTTTAATGACAAGGAAACTAAATCTCAGGTTGAATAACTTGTCTGAAGTCGCACAGCTGGTAAGTGATCATGCCAGGTTTAGACTGCCTGTCTGCAGTGCCACAATCTCCTGAGGCTTTTTCTCTATTTACCTGCCATTAGGGCCACATTCCAAGAAGTTAAAAATGAAAGGTTTGGGACAACTTTTAGCTAAGAATTCTCCCCAATTTTTTTTTTCTCCTAGAAGAGAGGTCTTCATTTTCAAGTAATAAGGTTGAAACTCTGTACTTTATCACTTGTAAGGAAAGTTACGTGAAAAAGTCTCTGACCTGGGGCTTGTAAATTTTCATCTGTAAGATCATTGTCAAAGACTAAGCCTTTGTTTATAAACTTAGTATATAATTGATGTTTAGTCAGCTTTCTTTCTAGTTGGTATATCTAGTATAGAAATGTCTATGGCAGCTGTTATTTTTAATATTTATTAATTCCTCTGGTATATCAGTAGAAATTATTTATTCTTTCATGAGAAGTTGAGTTTTCCTAGCTGAATATTCTATATCGTTTGTGCTCTGTTCCTTTTTTTTTTTTTTTTTGAGGCAGAGTCTCACTCTGTCGCCTAGGCTGGAGTGCAGTGGCACAATCTCTGCTCACTGCAACCTCTGCCTTCTGGGTTCAAGCGATTCTTGTGCCTCAGCATCCCAAGTAGCTGGGATTACAGGTGCGGGTCACCACGCCCGTCTACTTTTTGTATTAATGTTTTTAGGAGAGACAAGGTTTTGCCATGTTGGCCAGGCAGGTCTTCAACTCCTGGCCTCAAGTGATCCACCTGCCTCAGTCTCCCAAAGTGCTGGGATTATAGGCGTGAGCCACCACACCCAGCCTGTACTTTGTACTTTTAAATACTTAATCAGTGAATATATTTTACTAAAGGAATTAACAGTATAACATGCATAATGTTATAAAACGTTTACTTCTGACATTAGCTTTGAAAGGCAGTTCCATATTAGTGGAAAAATTAATAAGCGGATTCATGGCCTTCACTTCAGAGTGCCTGATCAAACATGAATCAGATATAGGGTCAGTCAGCAGTTCTAATTCATCAGTTTAGGAAGTGATTTAAGTGTGCTTTTAATTTTACCTGAGGAACTTATTTCTGCTGTGCTAAGTGGAAGAGATTTCATAAATTACACTTTTGTATGCGAGTAGCCAAACATTTCGAAAATACAGCATAACATGTTGCTTTTTGGTACTAAGAGCCCTATTCATCTGAAATTAAAATCTTTTATCTTTGCAAATTCAGCAAAGTCAGAGCCTAATTCAGATATGGAAGATTAAAAGTTTGTCTTTTTTTTAAAACTGGCTTTTCTTTTACCCTGATCCATGAAACATGGAAATAGGGTATCTGTCTATTTTAGCAAAGTAGCTTTTGTGGATATGATCTTACTAAGAGTGTGCTCTTCTTGCCTTGTTTTAGCCGAACAATGGTTTTCCGAAGGCGCTCGTCTTTTGTTTGTTGTGTTTCATTCCCCACCTCCAAAAAACACCATTCACATTGGTTGGTAAACGGAAATAAGTTTAAACTTTATGTCATTTGACACCTTTCTTTCTGCTTGTTTTCTTGGGTAATATTCGAAGAACTTTTTCCAAATTAAATAATTAGGTCAAGTGTTGGTGAGGCTAGGGTAGCAGAAACTATACCAATTTTTTCAACATTCATTGATTGAGTGCCTACAGAATGTTGGTGCTTGACCTAGACTTTGGAGATATGAAGATGAATATGGAACAACCCTTGTCCTCAAAGCAAACATGTTCTACTGGCTGGAAAAGGCTAGTCAATGTAAATATCTATCATATAAATTAATCTGTGCTAATTGTTTTAATAGATATGGTATGAAATAGTGCTGAGTAAATATCTGAAAAACTGGCCAGTTCCAGCATAGGCGCTAGACCTTGAAATATGGGACGAGTTTCTTACTGTGGCCCTGTGTTTGCCCGTTAAGTCTGTAGAACTAATTTGGCCTAAGCATTATAGCGAATTTTTAAAAATCAGACTTCTAACAATAATTTCATTTTTATTTAAATAGTAGTTCATCCTTTTGGCTTCTGGTATTTTAAAAGGCCACTGACATTTTTTGGATAAAGATTTAAACATATTAAAATTATATTTCAGTCAGGTGTTTTGGACTTCCATTTTATTTATTGCTATTAACGTCACCATATGTAAAGACAACATGACTGATTGAACCAAAGAGAATTGTTCAGCTATGTAACATATCTGAAAGAGCATTCTACATATACCAAATAATGTTAAAAGCGCACTTAATAGATAGTAAGTTTGAGCTAGATGTACAGGGGTCCAAACATATGCCAATAAAAATACTACAAACCACTGTAGCTGATACTTTTAGTTAAATAAATTATACTAACTGGGAGTATATTAATAAGAGTTCTAGCCCAATATGGGATTCCGAAAAGGGGAAAATGTGTTTTCCTATCTTGAGGACTAATAGATTACAAATTATGCTCAAAGCTTCCATCAGGCAGTTTTTAGGTTTTCCAGGATGTCTTCAATCTGTGCTTACAGTTGTGTTTTCTCTTGTGGTTTAGTAAGCCATGGCCTGGAGAACACCCGTGAGCTTGGTCAGTCTTCTCTTTTATGCATAGTGATCTAGGTCTGGTCTTTCATTCATGACTTTTGTGTTTGTTATACCTCA
This sequence comes from Homo sapiens, assembly GCF_000001405.40. Classification (NCBI taxonomy): domain Eukaryota; kingdom Metazoa; phylum Chordata; class Mammalia; order Primates; family Hominidae; genus Homo; species Homo sapiens. The sequence continues at coordinate 107,537,732 of NC_000003.12, forward strand.
GAATGTATGTGTTTTCACTCAGTTTTATTTGTGGCCCTTATTTGACTGGTCACTTCTGGACATCAGCCCAGTTTAGATTAAAACTTTGTTTCTGAAATATTGTGCTCAGTGTTCCAGATGCCAGTGTACTTTAATAACAAATACATTCATATGTGAAATCATAAAGAAGAAGCTGACCTGGGAAGAATTTGTTCAAAGCTCACATCAGTAATAACCCCAATGTTTACATTAAAGCAGCAAAGAGAAACAGACACATGGAATAGTAACTGTGAGTCTTTCTTCCATTCTTTGTCTTGGGGCTGTTTGACATCATGGAAGCATAACCACTTGGATCTTGTTATGTACCAGTCTTCATGGTAATAAGAACTTCTTTTTAGGTTTCGTATGTGGACATGCATTCTTATCTCATTGGGTGCAATACATACTTAGACCCAGAGAACATGTTCAGATTGTCATAAGACTAGGGTTTTTTTTATGTTAATAATTTTCTACAGATAATCTCTGCATGAGCGATGCAAATTCATACAAGTTATTTGTAGTTTTCTGAAAAGTCTTGAGGAATGGGATCACACATGAGCACAGAATTATACGTTTGAGGACCTGGTCTCACGTATATGGTGATGTATTTACTGCATAAGGAACTGTGATCATGAATCAGTTGTTGTTTCTTTTTCTTTAATTTTTAAAAAATATGACCTTATATGGTCATTTCTGATCTATATATTTCAAAAACAGCTAGATGGCTTTTAAGTCTAGTATATCCTTAAGAATTAGGATGATCGATACTTTTCTTCATTAAATAGATATTTTTCCGAAAAGTTTTGACTTAGTTTTTCAAATAGAACTATATATATATTTTTTGATATACTATAATTTCAGAATGCCTCATATTTATTTTTAATTGATCTTCAATTAGCAGTGGCTGTTGGTTTTACAGATGGAAGCTTTAATATTCCCAGGTCTCTATATTAACTAATCAATGGTCTATAAAGTATACATAAGGGAGCTTTGAAAAGGATCAGAGGAACACAGTACTAATCATTGTGTGAAGAGGAATCATCTTTTTTTTTTTAGGCAAGGTCTTACTCTGTTGCCCCAGCTAGGGTGCAGTGGTGTAATCATAGCCCAGTGTAGCCTCAAACTCCTGAGCTCAAGTGATCCTCTCGCCTTAGCTTCCAAGCTGGGACCACAGGAACATGCCACCACACCCAGCCAATTTTTATTATTTATTATTTTTTAGTAGAGATGGGGTCTCACCATGTTGCTCAGGCTGGTCTTCAACTCCTGGGCTCAAGTGATCCTCCTTCCTCGGCCTCTCAAAGTGCTGAGATTACAGGTGTGAGGCACTGCACCTGTCCAGAACAATGTTTAGTAAAGCAATAATGTTGCTTTATCATAATAATGTCCTTTATCATAACTATTTGGTAATTCTGGGTTCAATGTATTGAATTATCTTTATTTTTTGCAACATATAATTATTGAGGACCCATAATGTATAAAGCTGGGTTAGGAATTCTGGAGCTTGCAGAATAAAAAGGCAGCAGCTCTGGTCTCAGGATATTTCTAGTATAGTAGTGACATACATATACCAAATGTGAAATAGAAGGTAAACATGCCATAATATCCATGTGTTGCAGGGATGGTGAGTACAGGGTGATGGGTGATTAGGGAGGGAAAATTGGGATGGAATTGAACTTCAAGCTTTGGTTGTATAGCTGGATGTCTAGGAATCCTTGCAAAATGCTTACTTAATCTATCAGAGAGAAAGTGGACCCAGTGGAGGGCCCAGGCTAACCCCACCTGGGCCAAACAACTCACCCCAAATGTGTGATTATCCAAGTCAATGACCTTCCAGACTTTTAAAATGCTATTCCCCTCAGTATAAGAATTTGAGCATGTGTTCCTTGATATGTATACATTTCTTTATAAATTATATATACTAGGCTATTAATATGGTATGTGTATATCGAAATATAAATAGCTTAGAAATTGAAAAAGATAAGATAAATTGAATATAAATAAAAATTTAATATTTTCCTGTCACTCACTCCAAGTGGACTATCCTGTTCATGTTTTTGGTGTTTGAGAATCTCACTTTGGAGACCACTGGTCATTATTGAGCAGTGTCACACAAAGTTTAGGTAAGTTTCATGAGACCTGGGACTTTGTTTTGTTCACTGCTTTATCTCTAGCACCTAGGACATGGTAAAAGCTCAACAGATACTATTAAATGAGTATGTAGAATTAGGCTGGTTGATAGGGATGAGAACAGTCTAGCTCAGCATGGGGATCTGGTAAGAATTGGGACAATTTTTGTTCACTGTTTTATCTCCTATGCCTATAAAAGTACCTGCCAAATAGTAGGGATTCAGGATATATTAGTTGGACAGTGTTTATGTAGTTCAGCACGAGGGATCTGGCAGAGGCCATAGATTTATAGACATGAAAAGTTAAGTTCTAGAAGCTCCCCTGAAGCAGTACAGCATATAGAGATAGGCCAACTATGGGTAGGCAGAAAGATGCAGCCCATGGGGGTCAAAGTGTTAGCAAGAACATTTCTGAGGAATGGCTTTGGTAACCTCATATCTTAAAGCAAAAATTGTGACCATCTTAAGCAGTAAGATCTGGATCTTATCTTTGTTTCCCGAGTCCTAGGATGCAGTATGGTAGGTGTCTAATAAATTTTTTGTTGAATCGAATTACTCCGTTTTATATTAATACTATGTACTGGGTGTAGGAGGCCCTGAGCCTGCTGGAGTGGATCAGCATCAAGATCAGAGGCCTGTAAATGAATCCTGCTTCGAATGAAGCAAAGCCAGTGATTCTGGAATTATGTCATATGTAGATAATGATTTTAAGCCCTGGCAGTGTTGCCTGTATAGAGGTACTCTAGTGACCAAAACTGCCAAATCACATTATGTGTATATTTATTTAAAGGTTGCTATTAACATACTTTTATTAACATATTACCCATCAAGAATGTGGAGTTTATGATTGAATTATTTCATATATGCTGCTATCCTGTTCCTTCTTCCCTCATCACTAAAGTTGGGATATGTCCTGGATCACCCCAACCTATACTATTACAATTAGTACTGAATTTATTTATAAATACATAAAACAAGGTAGTTTATGTATTCACTCCTCTTTTTGGAATTTTTTTTTACTGAGACTTCCTTTTTAAAATGATGGTTAAAAATTCTTATTTTATGGTCATAAAATAAATCTGTCATGCATATACTTGAGCATCATCAGAGTTGGGGAGAACAAACATTTCCTCCCTGAGAAGCATCTTTCTCCTTTAGTGGCTGGCCACATGAAAGCATGCCTCGTTGGCTCTCTTATACTTGTTATTGCAACTTAGACTTTACATTGTGATTTCACTGACGTTGCTTTGTTTGCTCTGTATAACCATGCTCTTAGGTAGGTGTCCTTATTCCCATTTTACAGATGAAGGAACAGGCTCAAAGTTGTTAAGTGTCTTGACCTAGGATATTGAGTTTGCAGTGGCTCCCCTGCGACCAGCACTCATATATTCTGGCCATTTGTCTAGAGAGCAGTGCAAAATTTATCTTTTTGAGCTAAAATTTTTTTTTCTTGTACTTAATTTCAACCTGATAAGTTATTATAAATATTTGGAGTAGCAGTGGTGAAGAAAATCCGGTGCTAATTTTGTTCATGCCCTGTGAGCTACAAAATATCAGTTAAGGCCCATGTAGGGCCTTAAATTTTGGGTGTACTTAAATTTATTTGTGCATTTAAATAAGTGTACTAAAATTATGTAGAAAGACTGTCCATTTGACTTAACTTTTTTCACAACTTGTGATGGCAAATTAAATGTATAGTGACCACATACTGACAAACAATGAACTTTTAGGTGTATGTTGGGATTTGTAAGTGAGATTTGGATTATATTTAGATTATGTTAATCCCCCCCCCATGAGACATATTTCTGAAGTTACAATGAAAATTAATTAGAGAATATGATTTGATATTCAGATACCTGAGCTACTCCTATTTCTGTAACATGTTCATATTGTAACTTGATATTAACTGATGTTTTTAAAGAAGTATAAGCAAATTCTATAATTTTTTTTTTTTTTAAGAGATGGAGTCTGGCTCTGTTACCCAGGCTAGAGTGCATCGGTGTGATTATAGCTCACCACAGCCTCAAACTCCTGGGCTCAAGTGATCCTTCTGCCTCAGCCTCCCAAGCAGTTGGGCTACAGGTGTTTGTCACCACGACTGGATAGTTTTTCTTTTTAAACTTAAAATGCTTTTTAGTTTGGCACTCCGTAGTAAAGGAGGTTCCAGAAGCCAGTAAGAGAACCTCTGCCAACTATGAAAGAGAAGATATTTCTATCTACAAGTTATTTCAGGATCAATTATTCAATTAATATTTTATATAATAGAAAGGTTTTATTTGTTAGGACTTTATCTTTAAGTTCCCCAAGAGTAAAAAGGTCTAGTCATTATTATACTGTGGGAGAATGATAGAAGATTGATTACATTAGAACTCCAGAACTTCTATTTATTTAAAAGATTTAAGATTTGACACAAAAGCGGTTTATTTTAGAATGTTTATTTCTATAGATTGTCATTACTTCAACTCAGTTTTCATAATTTGTATTTGAGTATACTAACTTTGGAACATAGTGTAATATTAATGGCTACAGAAGAGGTTTGTTGAAGAATTGTAATTTGAAAGAACAGCATATGTTTATTGAAGAGAGCATATAGAGATGGAAGTGGTTAGAAACTATGAACTTTCTTTAGTTTGGCTTTTCATGTAAAGTGGAATATGAAAACAAAAGTCCTAAAGACAGTTCAGCAGAGTTCCTCTTCACCCTGTTTTTAAGCAGTGATGTAAACCATGAATTTAGTGTTTCCACCCTCTTTTATACCATGCAACAACCTGTGAAGTAGGAACTATTATCTCCACTTTGAATGAGGTACTGAGTTTCAGAGGCTCAGCAACTTGCCCAAGGTCATTCTTCTGGTAAATGGTGTTGCTGGCATTCCATCCCAGTTCATTCTGTCTACTGGAGGCCATATTTATAATCACTCACTCCCCTATCGTGCCTCCTAGGCTTCCCACGTGGCATTCATACCACTCCACAATGCATGGACCAGTCTAGGCTCCCACTGAATTTCTTATGCCTATGGCAATAAGGCATGGCTTTCCAGCCCAGGGTAAAAGAGCTTTTTCTCTATTTGTGTTTCTGCATTGTTAAGCCTGTTGTCATACACACAGTTGCTCCTCAGTAGCTTATTTCTTGACTCATTCTAAACATATGGTAAACTTCTAAAGTTAAAAAAAGTTAGTGTTATATTGAGATGAAATATCTGTGATTAAAAAAATGAACATCATGTCACAATATAAAAAAGAAAATAGGTTTGGATTCAGATAACTTAAATCCAAAGAGAATTATATTTTAGCTTTAAAAGGGATTCTACAGATGATCTTGGAGCATTATAATCTATCATTATAAATTTGAAGAAAGGAAGGCCTAGATTAAGAAACTAGGACCCAGGCCATTTGAGTGGCAGAGGTGGAACTGAGATATAAGACTTCTGGTTTGGTGTTTTGCTGTAGAAATCTGTTTAGCTCCAAAATGATGTAAAACACATTTTTAGCCAATTCACGACACCATCTTTACAGCAGGAATAGGTGAACAATTTGTTTTTATTGTTTATAAATGGTTAAAAAATTAAACCAAAATGTTATGTATTGTTAGAATGAAACTATAGGTAATACATTATGCATGTCAACTTTGAAGTTATGTTACTAGTTCTACTTTATTTAGTGGCACAACATGATTTTAGTAGTTAACGGATAATAAACTGTACGTGGCTTCAGTTTAGTTCCCTGTGTCCTGTGAAAACAGAGCAAGAATTTGCAAAACAATAACACATTGTTAAATGGCATACCAGTTTATCAAATGCCCTAAGTTTATTACAGTCTGATTTTAGGAAAAACCATTCCAGCTTCACAACAGCTCATCCTAATCTTAAGCAAAAGAGTCTTTAAAAGCCATTTCAAAGCTGTTAGATTTTGTTCTGTCCATGAAAGCATAAATTGCTCATAGCTGTTGATGAGGAGAAAAGAAGTTTGTAAAGCCATAACAGATTTAGTTGTGAAAGGGTCATTTAACTGATTTGTGTACTGCGACGCCTCATGGTGGCTGTATTAAGAAACTACTGTAGTGAAATATTGCGACCACATACCTTGTCACTCGGACTGAATCCATTTACATGTATGCAGGCTAAACATTAGTAAGTTAAAATTCCAAATAATATTTTTAAGGTTAGTATATTTGTAAGTTTTATTTGGGAGAAAATATCTTTTGTCCTGCAGTTCAGGGAGGAAACTTCATATGCCTTATCAGAGTTCTGCTCCTGGGAGTTCACCTGGGAAATGACCATCATTCAGCCCTGAACTTCCAGAAAATACTAGCCAGGTAATCTGGGCAGCTGCGACTCTATTCTGCTCCTTTGTGTAAATGAGAAAAAAGTTACCTCTTTTTGTGATACTTTATTTCTAAGTGTTGGAAAATTGTCATAATAGATTGATTTTGTTAGAACACAACACTTTACTGCATTTTGAAATGTCGTCACAGAGATACAGATCTGTGCTTGCTGATGTGAATGGCATCTCTTAGGGTTCTAGAACATAGCATGACTTCCACAGATGTATACAGAGACCCTGCAGGCAGTTATATCCTAGGAAATCATGTCTTTAGACATGAGATGTTAAAACATCACATCTGGAAACCTGTACATATTATATATTTATTGAATGTAAAATGCTAGTTATTTGTAAAATCGTTACTTTAAAAGTTATAAATATAATAGAAGCCTGGCACAGTGGCTCACACCTATAATCCCAGCACTTTGGGAAGGCCAAGGCGGGCAGATCACTTGAGGCCAGGAGTTCAAGACCAGCCTGGCCAACATAGCGAAACCCCATCTCTATAAGAAATAAAAAATTTGACTGGGCATGGTGGCTCACGTCTGTAGTCCCAGCACTTTGGGCGGCCAAGGCGGGCGGATCACGAGGTCAGGAGATGGAGACCATCCTGGCTAACACAGTGAAACCCTGTCTCTACTAAAAAAAAAAAAAAAAAAGAAAAAAAGTAGCCGGACATGGTGGCGGGCACCTGTAGTCCCAGCTACTCAGGAGGCTGAGGCAGGAGAATGGCATGAACCCGGGAGGTGGAGCTTGCAATGAGCCGAGATCCGCCATTGTACTCGAGCCTGGGCAACAGAGCGAGACTCCGTCTCAAAAAAAAAAAAATTTTTTAAAAAGTAATAGAAATTAAGAGAATACATTATAGAGACGTTTCTTTACCTCTGCGGTTTATTGACAAAAGTCTTTACATTCTGTTACATATCTCTTGGCCCAACCAATTTAATGTATTTTCCAAGTTAGTGTGTCTTTTAGAGTTTGATTAAAGAAGAAAATTTTCTGACCTTTATTAAAAAGCTTTTCTTTATTAGATGGGTACAGTAATAGAATGCAAAATGACTTTAAGCATCTATCCCCTTTATCCATCATTAAAAGCTAATTGTCACATAATATAAGTGCAACTTGATGGGATTTTTAACGTACCAAAAATTGGCAATCTGTGATGAGGAAAGTGGGCTCTGTGAGGACTCAAGTTAAGAGAATGAAAGAAAAAATGAAGCTTTTATAAATCTTAAGTGGTAGCTAAATGGAAATAAAAGCTTTTAATTTTTGTAGGAGAGTAGTGATAGCAGATCAGTACCTTATGTTTTGCTGGAAACCGAAGTTTTCAGAATGTGCTTGTATGACTGCTAGGGTGGTGGTTTGGGCCACTGAAGACTGTACAGGGTTAATTCCTTATGTTTGGAAAAATGGTAATGCCTTCTTTATCTTTGTGCTATCCATGGAGTTATTTTCTTAACAAGAGCAATAATGACCTTTCTTGCTCCTCTTTAGGGAATGGCAATTGGTGGGATATTCAGTAGGAAATCCATTACCCTGTCTGTGTCTTGGGTAGTTTGTGGTGCTCCCCTGGTCCAGTTTGGGTCTTGCTCAGTAGGTAGTGATGATGCATTAAGTGGATAAAACCACAGTCATGCTGGGGCTTTCATTTGGCTCAGTGACATGGTTGTAAAACACAGGGTTTCAAACAAAGATTTTTGAAATGGTGCTCTCTTACTAATCCTCCTCACAGTTTGGTAGAAAGGGCACTAAAATGTTGCTGGTTTGTAAAAAGTAGAGTGCTTGTTTATCGTAGCTCAAAGGTGCTAATTGTTTCTAGCAGGAGTATTACACATGAAACCTCAAGGTCATGCTTAACCCACTGGCTACTGAACAGTTTGACTGCACTGTAATACACAACCTGTCCCAAGCTTTCATGCAGCTTCCTAGCTCGGACTCATTAGATAACGTTAGTTTGTTTGAATCAGCACACTCTTCTGTGCCTTCTGAAGATCTAAGACCTGGGAGCTACTGACCATCCATATTTTCATTCCTTAACTCCTAAGACTGTGCCAAGATGTTACGTCTTCTCTAGTCATTCCTGCCTATAAATTATTTGCAATTTTGTTTTACCTTTACTACTGTCATAAATCTAGGAAATTTTAGTTTGGGCAACTTAAGGACCATAGTTTTTATAGCCCATTGTCAGAACACTAGTTATTTACTTACTTTTTGTGACATAAAACCCAGATTTTTTAGATTCCATGATACACAGAACCATATGATTAAATCAGTTGTTATTATGTGCTTTTAGTGACAAATCTTTTTAGGGCTACATCATCTTATCTTACATGAGACAGATAATTTCTGTAAGAAACTTGTATCAGAAACATGTAGCCTGTCGTGAATTTTTATTACTTTCTTTGTTGTTTATTGAAAGGGTTGGGACTTCTGAGTTAAATAATTTAAAAAGTTACATTTTACTGTTATAAAAATCCATGTTAATCCAAGAAGAAAATTTCTGTTAAATGCCTTTTTGATTTAAAGTGTGTGAATTAGATATTTGATCATGATTTGGGACCTGAAAAACTATCTTATTTCTTTATAAATGTAATATAGTTACTGTATCTGAAAGTAATATATGGTTCCTTTATCCTCTCTACTACTGCTGTATTTTCAGAAGGAGAAGCAATTATATTGATTTGCTGAGTAACTTCTTACTCAACCAGTTTCTGTTATAGTATATTAACATAACTGTTCTGTTAGTTTATTTATTCTGACTTGTGGGCATGAATATTTTAGGTAAACTTTATAATGTTCAAGATAGTTTGAAAGATTAATCAATGCTTATTTCCTTGCTTTACAAATGTATAAGAGCTATTCAAGTAACAGTTATCTAAACAAGTTGTTTTATAATGAGGTAGTATAAGAGAAGTATTTCCCTAGACAACATGAAATAAAGCTCAAACATCCTCAATTTTTTTTGTTTGTGAATATTTATAGCTTTGAATCTCAGCTGTAGTCGGGATGATGGCATAAATTGTAATTATACTGCAGAACTGAAAGAAAAATTTGAAAGAACTGATAATGGCTCTAAAACAGTATCTTTAATAAGCTAATGGTATTGGTGACCATTCAGTAAGTATCTGCTCAGTCAATGAAATCATTGAACTTCATCTTATTTGTGTAAGTGATGATTGTGCCCTCCATGACTTCACAGTACCTAGTTCAATACCTACTAAGTAAATGAGCATTCATGAATGAATGAAATGTAAGGCTGAATTTTGAATTTTGCAAGCTTTTTTGACATACGACTTTAAGATCTGATCAGATCTCTCACAGATTCCCATGAAACCTATCCCAGTTGGTTTTCTTTTCGTTTTATATTTGTTCTACCCTTCAATAAATGAATAAAATATGATATTAAATATAATATGTACTTACTGCCTGTGGTGTACCCGGCACTCTTCTGTGTACTTTCAGATATCTCACTTTGAAGATCATAACAAATATTACTGGTAGATGTAATTTATCCAACCCCCAATTTCTTGTTTCCTCCACTCCCCCACCTCACTCTGCTCTCCTTCCTTCCCCTCCCCTTCTTCTTTCCCTTCTATTGATCTTATTCTTCATTTCTCTGTTATTTGACAAATTTTGAGACTGAGACTTTGAGAGGTTGAGTAACTTAGGTGGAATCACACAGGAGGGCCAAAGCCAACTCCTTTTCTACTTTCATCACATATCTAGGGACTCTGACACCTAGATTCTAATTGCTGATTCCTGGAATGGTTGCTTGTCTTTGTCATTTTTATGGCTTCTTTCTCATGATATAAAATGCAATTCTGGGCTCAGCCACACTCTCAGAGCCTAATTAAGTTGGTGTTTTAAATACTTACCTGGGAGGCATCGAGGTTTGGACGTATGATTGTGTGTCAGACAACTCCTGTTTGAATGTCATTTGTACCACTTCTTAACTGTGTCAGTATGAACAAGGCACTTAACCTCTTGGATTCTAGTTTCCTCATCCATAAACGAGGAAAATAATAGTTACCTTTTGAAGTCATTTTGAAAATTAAAAAGATACTACCTATATAAAGCTACTTACTAGTCATAAATTTATACTCTTGCTAAAAACACTTTTGCCTTTTTCGTTAGACGTGTTTAGCGTATCTGTGTTTATGTGTGTGTTCCATTTGTCTATTTATAAGCATACTATGTGGTCTGATAATTTATGAATGAGAAAAACAGATGCAGAAAACATCTGGGAGAGATGTTTTTGGGAGATGTTTTGGGAGATGTTTGGGAGATGTTTTGGGAGAGATCTTAATAATGGTTAGTAGTATACATTTAAAGACAAAGCAGAATATTATTTAAATAGTTCCACTGTGGAAAGCAGTTAGGAGATTTCTCAAAGAACTTAAAATAGGACTACCATTTGACCCAGCAGTCTACTACTGGGTATACACACAAAGAAAAGTAATTTGTTTTGTCAAAAAGACACATGGGCTGTTATGTTCATTCCAGTGCTGTTTACCATAGCAAAGACGTGGAATCAACCTAGGTGCCCATCAACAGTGGATTGGATACAGCAAATGTAGTACATATTCACTGTGGAATACTATGCAGCCATAAAAAAGGAACAAAATCATGTCCTTTGCAGCAACATTGATGCAACTGGAGACCATCATCCTAAGCAAATTAACGTAAGAACAGAAAACCAAATACCACATTCTCTCAGTTATAAGTGGGAGCTAAACATTGAATACACCATAGACATAAAGATGGGAACAACAAACCCTGGGGACTATTAGATGGGGAAGGGAAGGAGGGGAGCATGGGCTGAAAAACTAACCATTGGGTATGCTCACCACCTGGGTGACAGGACCATCCGTATCTCAAACCTCAGCATCATGCAATATACCCATGTAACAACCCTACACTTGTATTCCCTGAATCAAAAAGTTTTAAAAATAGAATATGAAAAATAAATAGTAAAATAATTGTATTTATTCAACAAACATTTATCAAGCTTTTACTCAATAAATGGGGTAGGCTCCATTCTAGTTCCTGGGACTATAGTAATAAGACCATTAAAAATACTGCCTTTATGAAGTATACTTTCTAGTGGGGGAAAACAGAAAATAAATAAAATAAGTAAGCTGTATGGTGCATATTAGATGGCTATATGTTATAGGAAAAATAAAGCAAGGGAAGGAGAGAGAGGGGAGGTTGCTCTAGAGTGTGGTTTGTGATGAGATAGGGATCATACTCTCAGGAATTATGCAAGTCCAGGATAGGTGTGTGCAAAGATAGCGAACAGTGTGCTGACCTTAGGGATGTCCGTCCTCTTCCAAGACATGCACGTCTTTTTCTGCACCATTTTTAGAGTAGCTCTGGCAGACTTGGAGACATTCCTGTTCAGCATGAAAAGTTGTACAGAAGTTTGTACCTGGTGGCAGACTTTTGGGAATCTACTATTATGCTTGGAAGAGGATGCCTGGTACTCTGGATGGCTTTCTCCATAGTTGGCAGAATTAGGGGCAAGCCATGTGCATTCCTTGCAGCTGAAGTGCTGATTGATACTTCTCTTAAGACTTTTCCTTGAAATTCCTAATAGCAGTCAGGTGAGCTATTAAGTGGGTGTTTTGGACTGAGAAAAAGTGTCTTAAGTAAGCGTGCTTGTTCTTACCTTTTTTTTTTTTTTTTTTAATACTGAATGGAAGGAAAGGTGCATTTAAATTTTAAAATAACTCTCAAGGAGCCAGGACAAGGGAGAAGAGCTAATATTAATTTTTCAAAAATTCTTATGGGAATAAATACTTTCTTTTCCTCCTTATTCATTCATTTATACATTCATTTATAGATATTAATTTTTTCAGCATGTATTTATTGAGCATCTCCTGTATTCTAGGCACTGTGAATGTTACAAAGTAGATAAGGATAGGTAAGATACATGCTCACAAGGAGTGTATACAACAGGAAGAGAGAGGAAGAAGTACAGAAACAACTTTCCTATGAGACCTTAATGAGATAACACAAGGGGAATAATCTAGCACATACCTGGGCATAGTAGATGCTCAATACCAAGAGTCAACTGTTGACTCTTGGATAAAGTGATTAGTCACTCTGGAGAGGTACAGACAATATGGTCAGATGAGGGATCGGTAACTTTTGACGCTATTGTTGGGGAAGTCCTCATGGAAACTTGAAATGGGCCTTGGAGTTGAATGGGATTTGGGCACATCCCCCTGAGCGTGGGGAGATCACCTTATTTGGCTTTGTATTTTTAGCAGGTGGTACAGCATAGGTTGGAAATAATTTTTTTAGATGAATAAATGAGGGGAAAGGACAGTTTTGGTGAGGGGTAAACCGCAAGCAATGGCATGCCAGAGATTGGGAAGTACAACAGAGTTTAGGGGCTCCAGCAGTGATTCAGTTCAGCTGAAGAAAGAGTAACTACAAGGGAAATGTATCTTCTAAGTAAGATCAGGGTCAGATCCTGGGGAGGTCATAGTTGCCAGGCCAACCATGTAGGATCTAAAGCAGGCTTGGTAGCCAACACTGGTGACATTGGAGCAGGGTATGGGTGGCAGGAGCCTCAGATGAGGAGACTATTACAGCATCAGAGCTGGAAGTAATTACTCATCTAGGGTGGCCATAGGGACTATAGAGACCTGGATAGAGGTAAGTGATATTTTAGAGGCGGAATTGACAGCACACTAAAGTAAGTACTTCAACTGTAGCTCAGTGGAATGATTTTGAATGCCTCCTTTTGCTATAGGAACTCTTTTTGAGAAAATGAAAACCTCAAATCAAATTTCCTGGAACAACTTTTTTGGAGAGTTTAGCGCTATCTAAGTCATTCTCCTAGGAGCTCTTATAAAACATTATGAAGGCAAAAAAAATGTTAAATAAAGTTATTATATCAACAGGTAATTTACAGCACAGTTCAATATTTATACACTGTAAATATATTTTTATAGTTCTTTTGGACCCTTTGTATATTCTGTGTTATACATACTCACATACAAACACACACATACCAGGAAAGGAGAGAGGAAATACAGAAGTAGCCACGTGTTAGTTAATTATTTGATGCTGCATCTTCGATTACTAATGAGCCCAGTGACAACACTTTGTTGATTTTTATGTGAAAATTCTTTATGATCATCAGTGTTATGAAGTGGTTTCCACGAAAGCATTTCACCCATCTTTTTCTTCTTTTAAAGAAACATTTACAATAGTGATGCTGTTTAAGTTTTGTTAATACAATGCATTTTTGTTGGGGGAAGCATTCTTCGGAAAAACCGTATCAGCTTTTGCTTTCACATCTAGCATAAATGTATAAGACTGTAAGAAGAGGCAATATAAAAATGTAATATGCATGATCCTTTCTTTCTGGCATCACCGACCTCATTAATAGATTTGTGTGTAAGGGAATATAGTCCTGAAAATTGTTAAACCAGATCTCAACCCTGGTTTTTACACTGATGTGAGTATCCTGTGCCAGACACTTTATTTCAACAGGCCTTAGTTTTCTCATTTATAAATAAGAGCCTGCCCTGGAATGATCAGGAACATCCTTCTGGGAGTAATTCCCTGTGACTCTGTGCCCTGTTAGGGCCACATGGGGAAGAGCTGCTCATAAACATTGACAAATTGAAATATTTTAAAATTCAGATTATTTGTATTCTTCACAAGTTCCAGACTATTATCCTTTTTCATGTAAGAGGCTGAAGAAAGCCCTATGTTTACTTTAGTTGCAGAACATTGAGCTTTTCTGAACAGGGTACATGGCACATGGAAGATTCCCCAATAAATAATTGCTGGGTTTGTTTCAGCTGTGAGAGTTTAGTACAGCGTTAAAGGATTGCTCCTGGGGCTGGGCGCACTGGTTCACCCCTGTATTCCCAGCACTTTGGGAGGCTGCGGCAGGCGGATCTCTTGAGCCCAGGAGTTCAAGACCAACCTGGACAACATGTCAAAACCTTGTCTATACTAAAAAATACAAAAAGTTAGCCAGGCATGGTGGCCCACACCTGTACTCCCAGCTACCTGGGAGGCTGAGGTAGGAGAATCACTTGAGCCCAGGAGGTCAAGGCTGCAGTGAGCCATGATCATGCCACACTGCACTCCAGCCTGGGCAACAGAAGAAACCCTGTTTCATTAAAAAAAAAAAAAAAAAAAAAAAAAAGGGATTGCTCTTGGACTTGGTCTGATCCTCTGCTCATGTTAGAGAAGCAACTGAAACAATTCTTAATGTATTCAAAGGTAAACTCTTAAATGGATAACCACAGAAACCTAGGCATGGTATTAAGGCCTGGGAATATGAAGTAAATAAAAATAGGTACCCCCACGAGCTTTCGCTATGGTAGGGAAAATAGACATTAGGGACTTGGGACATATAGGATTTATTCCATTGTTACAGATAGAAAAGTGTGAAATCAAGTGACTTCTCTAAATCATTGTTGAAAGTAAAATTGTATTTTAAAAATCAGTAAAAGTGCTTAAAAATTAATCACAATTGGATTCATCCCCATTTTTCCTGCCCCAACTAAAGGTTATTTCTTTTGAAGTAACATGACAAATTCTAATATGGTTTCTTCATAATTTCCTTTTTCAGGTCTGAAGCACAGATATATTTCAGCTAGTCTCAACATCCATGTTGAGAGGCAAGGAGATACGCAATCTCTAAGGACATTGCATTTCCAAATATATAGGGATTTATAGATCAAAGCCATTTTTAGTCATTTTTGCTGAGGTAGTGAAGACCTAATTTTACCCACCCTTTAAATGCTATACGTCTTTTGACTTCATAAAGAAAAATGTTGATTTCAAAAATTTTATTTTGGTGTTAACAGTGATCTCAGGGTGCTAAGGATCTGCTAAATTTGCTGAGTTTGAATGGTTTGGTCAGTAGTGAAAAATTTGGCTTATTTGGTATTTAGGCATCCCATTAAAATGAGTGTTGAACATTCTCATTGCATTATACTGTTTTCATAAAATCCTCTGTATTCACAATAATAATTACTACTGATTATGGAACATTATGTATCAGACAATGTGATAGATATTTTAAACCATCTTATTTAATCTTTACAAATAAGACTAAGAGATAGACATTATTGTTTACCATTTTATCTATGAAGAACCTAAGACTCCAGGTGGTTAAATATCTATCCATGTAGCTATTTCTATGCTTCAGGATTTGAGTTCTGGTCATTCTAACTCTAGAGGCTAAGTCAGTTACCATATTGCTACTTTCTCCCGTGCTCCCAAGTAATTATTGCTAAAATCTAAGTCCTGGCTTTTTAACGTATGGGCTAAAGGACAGATTGGATGTATGAGAACTGTGTCTATGAGGGCAGTTTGTGGGAGGAGGGACCTGGGGCCTAATAGGAGAGGTAGATTTTAGAAACTGAGTTAAGGACAAGAAAACCGTAGCTGGCAGGAGAATCCAAGTCAACAACTGAAAGATACTGTATCATTCACTAAAGAGGAAGGGTAGATGAAGAAGTCACTGAGAACTTGAGGTCTAGCTGTGATTTCTGATTACTATCTCACTTGTTTTTTGAAACAGTATTAATTTTACACAAAAGGTATGGTTACTTACCCAGTTCAACT
This sequence comes from Homo sapiens, assembly GCF_000001405.40. Classification (NCBI taxonomy): domain Eukaryota; kingdom Metazoa; phylum Chordata; class Mammalia; order Primates; family Hominidae; genus Homo; species Homo sapiens. Next base: position 107,553,804 of record NC_000003.12, read on the forward strand.
TATGCATATTTTATTAATTCTTTAATTTATTCTATCTAGTGTTATTAGATCTTTAATTCCTGAGTACTTATTTTCTAGATTTCTAACAATGGTGGACTATGTTCTTTCAGGAAGATGGTAGTATTTTAGGTTTGTTATGTGTTTTTTTTTCTTCTGGATTCTCCAGATAAGCAGTTAATTACCCTATTTGTCTATTCCTGAACAAATAAGAAACTGAGAGTGGGATCCAAGAATGTATGTTTTTCACAATTCCTGAAGTTGATTATGATATGCATCAAATGTTGATAGGAAATTGAATACGCGTGTAGAGAAGGTAAAGGGATTTGGGATCTAAACCCAGGAGTGCCGGGTATGGGGAAGGCTGTTCCTTTACTGGAGAACAGAAGCTGAACATGAAGGAATAAAACAGACAGTGGTGAGGGATTATTGATTACGGATTTAGAGAATTAGTCATTCTTAATTTAAAAACCCCTTTTGGCTGTTACTTGTGGAAAATAAATTGGTCTTTTTTCACTCACATTTTCTATGTGTAGAATGGTCTGTTTTTAGTGACCTGGTATCCAAGAAATTGTAAATAGACTGATGTCATTTCACTTACTTTTGAAACACAATATAGAACAGTTGGAATACTTTTCTTGTGTTGATTCCTTGGTTTAAGATTTTATATGTATCTAGCTCACAAAGGAATTTGTGGATTTCCAAGGGCATTTTGGCAAAGAGAAGGTAATATACAAATTTTAATATACAAAGTAACCAAAAGGTATGGTTACTTGCGGAGTTTAACTTATGCATTTTTTATTCTTTAATTTATTCTGTCTAGTTTCTGTAGCTCTTTGATTCGTGAGTACTTATTTTCTAGATTTCTAGAAAGATCATGCAATTGCACTCCAGCCTGGGCAACAGGGTGAGACCCTGTCTCAAAAGAAAAGGAGAATTCTTAATTGTGTCCTGAGTCCAATGACATTTTAAAAGATTGATAAAGTAGCTGGGCGTGGTGGCTCATGCCTGTAATCCCAGCACTATGGGAGGCTGAGGCGGGCAGATCACTTGAGGTCGGGAGTTCAAGACCAGCCTGACCAACATGGAGAAACCCCATCTCTACTAAAAATACAAAATTAGCCGGGCATGGTGACGCATGCCTGTAATTCCAGCTACTCGGGAGGCTGAGGCAGGAGAATCGCTTGAACCTGGGAGGCGGAGGTTGCAATGAGCCGAGATCGTGGCATTGCACTCCAGCCTGGGCAACAAGAGCGAAACTCCGTCTCAAAACAACAACAACAACAACAACAACAACAACAAAATACATATGTTTCTACTTTATTTTCATAGTATTGATATTTGTTTCTGCTAAACCAAAGCTCCTATTTGAGGTGTAGTTGCTCAGTTTCCCACCTCCTATCTTCTCTCTATTTGCATGTACTTTTGAGTAGATGGGGTGAGAACAGGATTATTTGGCTAAACAATATAGAACAGTTGGAATACGTTTCTTGTGTTGGTTCCTTGATTTAAGATTTTCTATATACCTAGCTCACAAAGGAATTTATAGATTTCCAAGGGCATTTTAGCAAAGGGAAGGTAATATGCAAAGGGCTAAGTAATTCACCAATTGGGTCATTAAGACCCAGAAAAAGCTTGGAGAGTGCTTGTTAACTTTTCAAGAAGACATTGACTGCTGTGATCACATCACTGTTATGATCATGAAGATCAAACAAAAAAGTTACTCATCAAAAAGCAGAACCGGAACCAAAACTACTATCCCACTCATGTTTAAGAATGTGGTGTTCATGTTCTGAAAATACAATTATGTATCCCTCGGTTAGAAAGATGTGAGTTAAAGAAGCCCCAAGGAAAGGCATCTGTAACACTGCTGGGATGGAAAGCTGCCACTGAAGAAGATTCTCTTCTTGAATGCTGAAAGCGTCTCTGGTTTCATCCTGTGAAATCATGGATGAAGCATCAAAGGATTAATCACTCAAATTCTGGTGAATCTGAACAAGTAGTAATTTCTTAGAGTCCTAAAAATTTCTGTATGAATAGTCCTCCCCTTGGGATTCATGGCTGTCTTAAACATTAGGGCAGAACTGTTATAAACTGTTGTCCTCAGAAAAGATAATAGAAAATACATATTTCTGCAAAAATATAATTTAAATAAATTTGTTTGTGATAGAAACATAATGGGGCATTATGGCAAGTAGGAGGCTTTGAAGTTTATCCCTGATCTTGTGAGGTTGATGTCAGGGTTGAGAAAGCCATGTTCTTCCACACCAAGTCCTTCTGTCCACTGTCAGATCAAGTACTGGCCGTGGCTCAGGGATCTGCTCAACTCTTTTGGTTCACGGGCTCTGATATTATATCACTCTTTGCTGCTGTCCTGTCAGGTTCTTCCAAGACACTAGGACTTTGCCTTTCATTTTAGAAAATTACTGGTTAATAGACTCCACTGCCTATTTAACACTGTGATTCAATAGATGTTTATTGAACAGGTTTATCTATTTATTAGTATATATAAAAATGGTTCATATTAGATTCATAATTTTGGTATGTGTGTATTTTGTTTATTTAATTTTTTTTGAATTAGATGCTGTTTAGATGCTGGCCTTGAGTCAGAACCATTTTGCCAAGCAAACTTTCAGAGCCCTTCTCCCTGCAGGGAAGTATTACATGTAAATGCTGGGTGTTATACAGCTTTATAAGTACCTGGTACCTTTCTGCAGTTATTCCTTTGATTAACAGAACCAATGAGGCTGGGGTCACTGTGGTTGTGCCGATTTTCTGGTATTTATTTTTTATGAAGAGATTGCTTTAGGAAATGCGTGTTAAGGCACAGACTACCTTAAGTAGTAATCCTAGCAGGTTACCCATTATAAATTTCCAGAAAAGGCTCAATTTACATAAAATTACCAAAGAAGATGTTGGGAAACTTTCAGGAACCGAGCATTTTTGGATAGATTCTGGAGCTACCTCTTAAATTAACCCGGAAGCTAGAATCAGAGGGATCTTTGGGTTTCTTAGTATTCTACTTCATGCATTTTTCTACTAAAGTACCTGAGTGGCAGAGGGAAGTAAACTATTATATTCTTATGAAGTCAGGGGTCATAGCCCAAATTTTGTTGCCAGAGCTCAGGTTTGTTGAAGTTTCTAGAATGCTTTATCTTAAAAGTCCATGTGAATATTATATTGTATTCCATAAGGTATACCTTCTTTTGATTTTTGATTTTTTAAAAAATTGAGGTAAAATTGACATACAGTGAAATGCATAGGTCTTAAGTTCTGTATACAGTTTGAGTATTAACAAAAGCGTACACTGGTGTAATTCACATACCTATTGAGAATATACTACATGTTTTAACATAGAAGTAGCATTTGAAATTATTTTCCATCAAGAAAATGGATGTCTTAGGAATATTTTCTCTTTTTCATTTTGTGGCTTCTACTTGATATACCACTCTGTATTCTTCAGGGATGATGGCAGTGGACAATGGCATGATTATTCCATTTTGAGAAGTGTGGCCTTCATCACCAAGATAGCTGTGCAAAATGATTAGACATCATAATGGACTTTCGTTAGCTAAAGCCTAACATTAGTTAGAGAAATTGGCTAATGACCATTATTCACTGAAACACCAAAAATTCCTGTTTCTCTAATTGCAAACAGTTTATCAAATCAAACCCTAGATCTATGATCAGGAAATTAAAGAGTCAGTCACATTCATTGTTTTTGCTGGTAATCTATTTTATAGTAAGGTCTTACTCATATACATGTGAACATTTGATACTTTCCAGTACTTACCCTCCAGGAACTCCACTGATGACCTATTCCCGGCTTTCATTCCTATTTCTTGAATTATTTCTTGAACATTGCCTGCAGCAGCTCTTAGTGTTTGTACCTTCTTTTCCTCCAGAATCTTTCAGGGAGTAGATATTAAAGCTCTATTTCAGTAGGGACCAAGTTTTAGTTATTGTATGTAGTACAGTGCATACCTTAAGCTCAGTAGATTGATTTCAGTTGTTAGTGTTAGGTAATAAAGGAGACACAAAGTTGGCTAAGGGATAGATAGACTCCTATGGTCAAGGAATGTTTAGTAATATTAGCAAGGGGGGAAAGCAGGATGAGGAGGGCAGTGGCCCCTGGACTAGCTGGGTCAGCATCACCTGGTAGAAATACCTATACCCAGGTCTCCAGAATCCTGAATCAGAAACTCAGCGGGGCTTGGCAGCAGTCTGTGGTTTAATAAGTCTTCCAGGTGCTTCTAATGGTGCTAAAATTTGAGATCTACTGGGTTAGAGGAAGAAGCCAGGCAAAGATGTGGGTTCTGCTAAAATCGAGCTTCAGCAGGATACTTCAGGGAGCTTTGGAGTGTGAATGGCACCTTAGAGTTGTCACTAAGAAAGGGGGCTATCTTGGCCGGGCGCAGTGGCTCATGCCTGTAATCCCCACTTTGGGAGGCCAAGGCAGGCGGATCACCTGAGGTCAGGAGTTCGAGACCAACCTGGCCAATGTGGAGAAACCCCGTTTCTACTAAGAAATACAATAATTAGCCGGTTGTGGTGGCTTGCATCTGTAATCTCAGCTACATGGGAGGTTGAGGCAGGAGAATCGCTTGTGCCTGGGAGGTGGAGGTTGCAGTGAGCCAAGATCACACCACCATACTTCAGCCTGGGGGACAGAGCGAGACTCTGTCTCAAAAACAACAAAAAACAGGGGGCTATCTTCATACTCCATATTAATCAGGTATGGGCTGTCAGGGGCTGTCCTAGTTGACAGACAGTGAGAGAGGAGCATAATTTCCCAGATTCTTTGGGCAAGTTGGCTCTCAAGCAGCTGTGAGCTGATAGCATCCAACAATCACAGCATCTGGGCAGTGGGTATGCCAATTAGGTAAAGGGGGTCTAGATGGGACATTACACTGAGTTACAGGAAGTTATTTAACTAGCTTAAAGTTCCACAGCTAGTAGTGGGATTTGAATTCAAGCAGCCTAGCACCGGAGTCCATCTTTCTAACCATTAGCTATACCATGTGCAGTAGTCAGAACAACAGTAGCAATAATAGCAGGGGCATAACTGAACAAGGGATGATTCAGAGAAAGGAGTTGCTTCTGACCGGGGGGAAAACAAAGAAATTATCATGGAAGAGATGTCATTTGATTTTGCTTTGAAGTAGTAGTTCATGTAAAAATTTATGTGAGAGGCTTTTTAGGCAGAAGGAATAGCCTGAGAAAAGGCATAGTGGCATGCAAATGTGGTTTGTGTGTAAGAAAGTTGGTTATTCTGTTTGGCTTCGATTTGGCTTATCAAAGAGAGTTCTGGGAGAAAAGTTGTTCAACATTGGTTTGAGGCCAAATAATGGATATCCCTAGATGCCAGACAAGTGAAGATTTTTAAACTGGGAAATGACGTAATCAGAGTATACTTTAGAAATATTAATGTGACAACAGATGAATAGGGGAAATTTTAGGAAAAGAAACTGGATCAGATAAGTAGGAGGGAGACAAGTCTGGAAGCAATCAATGTGTAGGATAAACTGGGACCTGCTCTCAGCTGAGGCAATTAAACTGGAAAAGAAATAGATTGAAAAGATACTACAGAAGAAGCAGTACAGAAGTTGGGGGACTGAAGGAGAGGGAGCCACTGCAGGTGCTAGCTGCTTAAGGGGATACCAGTCCTTTTACAGATATAATAGATACAGCTTCTGAGGTGGAGGGTGATAGGAGTGTGTAGAGAAATTGCAGTTCAGAACTGGAGCATGCAGTTAGGCAAGAGGCATCCCATGTGAAGATGTCAAGCAAGTACTGGAAAATGCTGAACTAAAACTCAGGGATGGATATGTAGATTTAGAGAACTTCATTGTAGAGGCAGTCATTGAAAGCTAAAAGGGCTGATAATAAAATTGCCAAGGATGGAAATAGTAAGAGGGAGTCAGTGTTATTAGGATTAGAATTCTGTTTTGTTTTTTCTTTAAACAGATTCTCGCTCTGTCACCCTGGCTGGAGTGAAGTGGTATGATCTCAGCTCACTGCAGCCTCGACCTCCCAGGCTCAAGTTATCCTCCCAACTCTCAGCCTCCCAAGTAGCTGGGACCACAGCCATACAACACATGCCTGCCTTATGTTTGTATTTTTTGTAGAGACGAGGTTTTGCCATGTTTCCCAGGCTGGTCTCGAACTTCTGGGCTCAAGCAATCCACCCACCTTGGTCTCCCAAAATGCTGGCATTATAGGTGTGAGTTACCACACTGGGCCAGGATTAGAATTCTTGGTCTCTTAACCTCTCGTTCAGTTTTTTCCTCGTCGACTCACATGCCCTCCAAATGAATACCGAAGTTAGATTTTGCATATTAAATTGAAAGAAAGTTAAAAGCCTTACTACTTTCTAATTCAGTGTAGGGAAAATAATGGGAAACATGAAAAAAAAAAAATAACAAACCTCTGGGATGGGTGAAAGCAAACATGTGTCTTCTCAGTTCCTCCTAGGTGGTATCTTGACCTTTTATCCCGTCTTGTTTTTTTCCAAAAAAAAAGTAATTAAATGATTTCACTTTAAAAGTCTTTCTTGCTCTTACTATACTGTGGCTTAGATTTATAAATAAAAGAAACAGTGAAAATGTCAGCTGAGATACTAAGTAAAGTCAGCTAGGAAGTGAGAATAAGATTTCTTTCTGATAAGCTGTGATAGTCAGATTTAGTTGTATTTCCAGTTGTTTCAGTTTAGATAATTCACAGTTCAGAAAGAGATATTGTAAATATTCTGATTAATGGGGTTATAGAATGGTATTAGTTGTTGTAGCATTCTCCTTATTCTGAATCCAGCTGTTTGTGGTGTTAGAAAACACTTCCATTAGAGATCACTGCTTATTATCTAAGGAAATTCTAAAGATTTCCTAGGCCAAAAGTTTCTGGAATTCATATTTGGCCAAGGATTGTAAGTAAATTTGTGTTTCCAGCTTAAGCTAGTACAAACAGGTGGATAGTCTATTCTTCAAAATTTAACATTGGGGAAAGTGAGTTTTGGGTTATCGGGAATAGCTAGGAGGGAGGTATTCTGAGCAATGAGGAAGTCTAAAAGTGTAACAATCTAATTAAGAAGGAAGACCAAATTAAAAGAAGGGAGAGACTGGATCTTCCTATTGCAAGTGTACTATTGATATTTTAGTTTGGAGAGTCCTTTGTTGTGGAAGGCTGTCCTGTGCATTGTAGAATGTTTAGCAGCATCCCTGGCCTTTTAACTACTAGGTGCTAGTACCACTCTCATAGTCGTGACAATCAAAAATATCTCTAGACATTGATAAATGTCTCCTGGGGGCAGAAATCACTGGTTGAGAACCAGCATGCTAGCAAACCCAAGTGGATCAAGCAAGAATGTGAAAGTCTGCATGGTCCATATGTTAGGTGTTATATAAGATGTAGAATAAATGAATATTTGCCATTTGAGAAACTGATTTTTTAAACACTGTGCTTAGGACAGATTGTCCTGGTTATGTAGAATCCATTCCAAGTGAGGACACATTGGTCAATCACTGAGGGGAGCAATTTGCCAATATCTAGCAAAAGTTGAAAAATATATAGCAATTCTATATCGATCTATATGCCCTTGTGAAACTCTAAAACATCTGCATAAGGACTTATGTATAAGAATATTCATAGTAAAATGTTTTTGTAATAGGGAAAACTGGAAATAGCATCATTGACCACAAGTAGGGAAAGAGATACATTATGGTGTATTCACATGATGGAGTAAATATGCAGCAGATAAAATGAATGAATTATTATGGATTAATCACAACAGTGGTCATAGAAAATACGCATATTGCAGAATAATTTTTACTTTATATCATCCGTATATATTTTAGAAACACCCTCAAAATGCTATATATTATTTACTCAAAAATATGACAATATCTGCTTCTGGGGAGAAATGGATGAAGAAGAATCAGACTAGAGAGAGAAAAATGGAGGGTCTCAATTTCATTTAAATTTAAAGAAATTTTTAAAAGTCTGAAGTATATGCTACAAAATCTTAAATTTGGGTGGTAAGTTCATGCATATTTGTTATTTATCACTATTTGCACTTTCATTATTTCTTTTTCAGTTTAATTCTTTGTGCTTTCATTAATTCTTTTTCAAAAATGTAAAGGAAAAGACTTGATAGCACAAACTGATGTTCTTTATTGCATTTGGGGATACATTGAGTTGTACCTTTTTTGAAATACCTTTTAGCCATGGATTTCATTTAATCCGTGATGTGTTTGAAGAAAGTAATTGTGCTCTATGCCATTTCCTATTCACATTTCCATGCACTAAGCCATGGTTTCATGATTCATTCTTGCACAAACATGTAGATCTGGATTCTCACACGTTGAAATAAACGCAGCTGTGTTTATTTCAATGCGATTACATTCAAATAAACACACATGGGATCCCTTATGAGCGTGAACCCATAAAACACTTGTTGATTTGGTTCTGAAATTGTGTGTTCAAATAAACACACTTGTTTTAAGGGAAGTTTCGCTTTACTCAAATGTTCATGCCTTGAACATGTGTTTTATAGAGGGCAGATGTAGAGTGTCTTAAAAGAATAATAGTTCTTTAGAGGCTGAGTCATTGCTTTAGACAAATGCAGAATTTATTTAATGTGCTTTTTTTTAATATATTGGTAATTGTCTATATAAGTAATAAAAATCTTGGAATATCTCATTTTATGTAGTAATTCATTTAGTTTTGACAGGTTAACTGAATGGAATAGAATTTTAAACAAATTAATATGTAAAATATATTTGTGAGTATATTTTTAAGAAACATTAATGATAAAATAACAAGTGAAGGAGACTTTTTTAATTTTGGAAACTGCTTCTTCCTTAAGCAGGCTTACAAAACTGTTTTTTTTACACTTCATATTTTAGAATGAAAATAAAGCTCTAAACCAGGAAGGATACTATTCACATTTATATTTCTGCTGAAGTGGAAATGGATGAAGAAGAATCAGGTTACATGTGTAACCTGAAAAGAAATGAATTAACGTGCTTCAGACTTGTACAAAATATTTTAATCAAACAGAAAATAACTTTCAAAGTACTGATATTTGAGATGATCTATTTTTACCAAATGAACTGCAGAGTATAAGCCAGTGGTCTTCTTTTTCCCCTCCAAAATATGGGGGAAATTTTTATGTGTGGTGTTATGCAAATACTTAGGAAATATCCAAACTGACATCTCCTTTTGACCTGGAAGCCTGAGAATTTTTATTTTATTGTTAGGTTCTTTGGTTCAGAAGTTGTGTTAGGCTCACAGCTTTGCCTCCCATGTGGGAGGAGTGCTCAGGGTCAGCGATTTATGTGTGTGGAGGGAGGGAAGGGGTGGAGGTTGTTAATGGAGGGATCTCTTCCAAACATCTCCTTTGCCCAGTCAGGGCCTGATTGTTTGTGGCCTCAGAGGCCCTCCTCTTCCCTGCCTTCTTCTCAGGATCCATGGATCTTGTTCACATACCCCTGTGAAGCTCCTTGCAGATTTTAGGTCCATCTCACAGAGCCAGACTGAAGGCAGTACCCGCTACTTCCTACCACAAGGAGTGTACAAATATCTCTATACAAAGCCTGCATTTCTTTTTATTAAACTCATATTTTCTGGTCAGTCATTGCTGGGTTTGGCCTTTTAGGAATTTTTATCCGGGCATCACAGAAGGTTAAATATTATTATGTGCATAAATTCCCCAAATATAAAACTTCTATAGAGAAAATAAAATTGTATAAAGTTTTAAAAATTGATGTTTCTACTTCACAAGTAATACATGAATACATTTTTTTGTGTCAAAAACCAATACATTTCAGAATAAAATTGGCCTGTTTCATTTTTGTACTAATTTCTGAAATTATTTTAAAGTAAAATAGGAAACATTTTTATTGTTTGCTGTTTTACATGTTTATAGCCTGCCTCTCTAGAAAGGATGCTTCATGAAAACAGGGACCTTCATTTTACTTGCCCTTTATATCCAGTGCTTATTACAGGGCCTGACATGTATTAAACACTCAGCAAATGTTTGTGTTTGGATACTGAGTGAATAAAAGAGCACATTTTCTCGACTTTCATTCTCAATCTTAATGTTTTGCCAGCCCATATCCACCAACTCCCCAAGCTACCTACCTTGTCACTTAGGTGTGTATTCTTCAAAATCCTTTCAGTGCATTTGCGTACTTACCTGTGGTTTCACAGAGAAAGCAGAGCATAGTTGCTATTTTCCTATACCTTTGAAAAACTTAGTATTATCAGACTTTTTTTTTTTCCAGTCTGATTTGCAGAAAATAGTATCTTGTTTTAATTTGAATTTTCCATGATAACTGGGGTGATTTCATCTGTTTATTGGCCAGTGTTTTTCCCCCTGAAATGACCTGCTTATATGTCTTGCCCATTTCACTATTGGGCTCTCCTTTCTTTTCTACCTTTTCTTGATACTATTTTTGAATGAGCTTTACATATATAGTCTGTATATTATTTGACTATATGTATGTATGTGTTAGACATATATTTATATGGCAAATATTTTTTACAGTTTATTTTTTTAACTTTGTAGTGTCATGTCTCATGGGGATGTTGACAGTTTGCAGGTAGTCAACTTTATCAATTTTTCCCTTTTTATGTCTTTTTGAACTATAAGAAACTCTTTCGTATACCAGTGTCATTGATATAGGTTGATTCACACATTTAAGCCCTTTAAAAAATCTATCTGCAATTTATTGTTAATGTTGTGAGATGTAGATGAATCTTTTTGTCCCTCCCATCATCTCAATCCTCCACACAGGGGGTGGACAGTTGTTCCAGCCCCGTCTGTAGTCTAGTGGGCGTTTTCTCTTAATTTGAATGCTTTTATCACGTACAAATGTTTTTGAGATGTTTTTTTGAATTTACATGTTATATTCTATCAATTTATTATTGTATTTCTTTGGAAATAAGTGATTGACTTATAGCTTTATAATCCTCTTGCTATCAGATAGAGCAAATTCTCTTATTTCTTTTCACAATTTTTTGGCTATTCTTGAATATTCATTCTTCCAAATGAATTTAGAATCGCCTCTTGATTCTGAATGTTGCATTTGGATTTTTATCTGAATTGCATGCAACTAATAGATTCATGTGGGGAAAGTTATCATAAAATACTGATTATCCATCTGGGAACATTCACTCCATTTATTCAAGCTTTTTCTTCCATCTTTCAGGAAATGTTAGTTTTTTTCCTACAAATCTCACACATTTTTTTCTTGGGTTTATTCTCAGATACTTTATAGTTTTTGTTGCCATGATAAAGGGGATTTGTTTTCAGCAGTTGATTGTTGCTGGTGTATGGAAACTATTTGATTTTTTTAAAAAATTGATCATATATGTGGCCACCTTGTAAAACCTTTTATTAGTTTTACTAGTTTGTCAGTTGATTTTTTTGTTTTTTGTCTTACGCAAAATCAAATCGTAAAAGTTGTGTCAGCCTGTTCAATCGTTTAGTTTTCTTCTCTTTATTTTTTTTTTGGCTAGTACATTGGCTAGCACTTCTAATATGTTGATTGTTTTTAGTGATAGCATACATCCTTATTTGTACATATTTTTTACATATTTTAATTAGTCTAATATTTATTTCACTACTATTAACAATAGTTTTATTTTATTTATTTATTTATTTATTTATTTATTTATTTATGTATGTTTGAGACGGAGTCTCACTCTGTTGCCCAGGCTGGAGGGCAGTGGCGCAATCTCGGCTCACTGCAACCTCTGCCTCCCAGGTTCACACAGTTCTTTGCCTCAGCCTTCCGAGTAGCTGGGATTACAGATGCCCACCACCATGCCCGGATAATTTTTGTATTTTTAGTAGAGATGGGGTTTCACCATCTTGGTCAGACTGGTCTTGAACTCCTGCCCTCGTGATCCACTGGGATCATGCTCGGATTACAGGCATGAGCCACCGTGCCCAACCTAGTTTTTTTTTTATTTTTTATTTTTTTGAATGTGTATGTGTGTTTCTTCTAGACCTCTTTATCAGGTTAAGGAAGTTCTTTTCTTTTCTTAGCTAAGAAATTTTATTATGAATGGGTGTTAAGATAGTTTGTTGGGCTGGGCGCCGTGGCTCACACCTATAATCCTAGCACTTTGAGAGGCTGAGACAGGCGGATCACCTGAGGTGAGGAGCTCAAGACCAGCCTGGCCAACATGGTGAAACCCCATCTCTACTAAAAATACAAAAAATTAGCCAGGCATGGTGGTGGATGCCTGTAATCCCAGCCACTTGGGAGATTGTGGCAGGAGAATCGCTTGAACTCGGGAGGCGGAGGTTGCAGTGAGCCGAGATCGCGCCATTGCACTCCAGTCTGGGCAACAAGAGCGAAACTCTGTCTCAAAAAAAAAAAAAAAAAAAAAAAAAAAGATAGTTTGTTGACCTAATCATGTCATTTTCTTCTCTTAAGTGGTTAATGTAGTGAATTCCATTGATAAATTTTCTGATGTTAAACATCCTTACATTTCTGAGATTAAACTCAACCTGATCTTACTCTTTTCAAACACTATTCTATTTTTTATTTTACTAAGAAATTTTACATCTACTTTGAAGTGTGAGTGGATAATAACTTTGCTGTTCTTACAGCTTCTAGCACAGGGTTAAAGTGAACCTCAGCTAAAATAATTTTCTATAACCTCTCTGTGCTGTGGAATAAGTCACTTAGAGTGAGAATTATTTATTTGAACTTCTATGAAACTGCCTCAGGACTGGTACCTTTTTTGTTTTTTTTTTTTTTTGAGAATGTAGATCTTTGGCAACTGCTTTAGTATTTTTCCTATGGTGGTTTTGTTGTTGGGTTTTCTGTTTGTTCTTTGGTCAGTTTTTATAATTTATATTTTGTTAGCAAACTGTCCACTTCATGTAGGCTTTGAAGTTTTTGGTATAAAGTTGTTCTTACTGTTCTTTTCTAATGCTTAATCTTTTTTGTGTCTCTAGTTTTTGTTTTTCATGTATTTATTACATTCTTTTATCCTAATCAATTCTACTATTTTTGTTCTTTTTACTTTGTTCATTTTTCTAGTGCTTGTTTTGAAATAATTCATTTATTTTTAAACTCTTTTCTTCTCTGAAATGCCATTTGATGTACTGTTTCCTATGAGTACCATTTTGGTAGTATCTCACAGTTTTCTCAGGTAGTGTAGTGATTGTCATTCAATTTGATTTTAAAATTTAACCATTCATTTATTCTCAAACCAATACATTATTTTAAAATGTGGTTTAAAATTTCCCATTAATTTTTTTTGTCTGTTATTTCATTATTTCTTATGTTACTGTATTTAGGTTAGTGAGTATGATCTGCAGGTTAGCAGTATTTAGAAATTTGTTAATACTTTCTTTGTTGGCTGCTGTGCAGCCATTCTCTGTGAAGTGAGTTCTTTTTATGTGGGGTCCTGAGTACATATATTCGTATCAGGTTAATATTATGTCTCTTAGGTTGATTAGAATTTGTTATTCCTAGCCTTCATAGTATTACTTATTTTTCTTTTGATTTGTCTCTTATTTTCAGAGAGAGGTGTTCTAATCTGATTGTGATTGTCAAGTTGTGTTATGGGTTTTGTCTTTTTTTCTTTATATATTTCAAAGCTATATTGTTAAGTATATAGATAATTGGTGATTGTTATCCACTTGTGGAAGGTTATTCTTTTTGGTGGTAAAAATATTTCTTTTTCCCTTCTAAAGATTTGCTTCTTGATTACTTTTTTGTCTATTGTGATACTGCTATACCTACTTTTTAAATTTCATTTGCCTGCTGTATGGTTTCACATCCCTGAATTTTAAACCTTTACGTGTCATTTTGTTTTAGGTGTATCTTTTACGGATATGGACATAGCTGGGTTTTACTTTTTGGTTAGTCTGAACGTAACTCTGAATAGCCTGTTTATGTTTATTTTGACTTAAACCTCCTGTATTTTCTGTTATCCTTTCTCTTCATTTCCACTTTCCAGACTTTTCTTGGAATGATTAAGTTGTCTTTGTTTTACTCTTTATTTGCTCTATTGGTTTGAATAGCATACATTCCTTTCTATTTTGTGGTTGCCTTTATATTATTAACATGCGTATTTAAACATGTTTTTCTCACAACATCTACAGTTATAGGTATTTGTAGCTTCTCCCTAAGCAAGAGAACTTGAGTATTCTCTTATTCTCCTCCATTCTCTTTCTTGGACCTCTCAGGTTGATTAAAAAAAAAAAAGGAAAACATCTCCTGGATTATTGTTAAAAGGAAGTTTGGTGCTTCTTGTGTGTATAATCTTTTGTTCTTTTCCTGAGAGTTTTTAAGGTTTTCTGTTTATCCTTGCTACTCAGAATTTTTCATTGATATGTTTTAGGTGTTTTTGTTTTTAATTTATCCCAATTGGCAGCCTCCTTTCAATGTGGAGGCTGTTGGAGTCATGTTCTTCAGTTATGTCAGATTCTCTATTTTCTGCTATTTTTTTTTTTTTTTTTGAGATGGAGTCTTGCTCTGTCGCCCAGGCTGGAGTGCAGTGGCGGAATCTCGGCTCACTGCAACCTCCACCTCCCAGATTCACGCCATTCTCCTGCCTCACCCTCCTGAGTAGCTGGGACTACAGGTGCCCGCCACCACGCTTGGCTAATTTTTTGTATTTTTAGCAGAGACGGGGTTTCACCGTGTTAGCCAGGATGGTTTTGATCTCCTGACCTTGTGATCCCCTCGGCCTCCCAAAGTGCTGGGATTACAGGCATGAGCCACTGCGCCCGACCATTTTCTGCTCTTTTCTTATGTTGCCTCTTCTCCAATTTCTCTATTCTCACCTCTTGGAATTGCCAACAGATGGAAGGTAGATCTGTCCTCTATGTCTCCTAACTTTTCTTTTTTTAACCATTTATTTCTTTATTTCTTTCTTTTGCATTCTGGGGAAATCCTTGGCCCAGGTTCCACTCATAATTCTTTCTTCAACGATATTCTTTCAGTGGTGTCCTAACAGTCTGATCAGTCTTATAGTTCAATAAATAAATTTTTAATTTCCAGCTTCCCAAAGTTTCATTTCCAGGACTCAAGGTTCATTTTAGATACATCCAAATGTTTTGAAGTCTATGTAAAATATGTGTGTGATACAAGTATAGATTCCAACAATCACACAGAGCTCTGTTCAGATCTTGTTTCTCTGCCATTAACTGTGTTGTGGCTGGTTACCTGATTCCTCTGAGCTTCAATTTTCTAGCAAAATTGTGGTAAAAATGTTATACTGCCTATATTGTTGTAGGGATGAAATCCCATAATTGTAATAATATTACCTAACTTAGCTAACTACGTGCCAGGAACTGTACTAGGTTATTTTATTCACGTGTTATTTCATTTAATTGAGCAATTCCTTCATAACAATCTTAAGAATATATCCTTGATAGTTTCTTGATATCCTACTTCCTTGAAAGTAACTGAACTTGTTGAAATTAATTACAAGAGTGAGTCTTTGATCACTAGTTCTCATATTGATATCTCAAACTTACCACGTTAACAGTATTTTATGGAGGTGTGTTTGGCATATTCTTGACTGTCTTTCTTATTTAGAGTAATTCCTTTTTTATTTTTTATTTTTTTAATTTTTTTTTATTTTTATGACAACAAGGCTGTTTATTTCACCTGGGTGCAGGCGGGCTGAGTCCGAAAAGAGCCAGTAAAGGGAGATAGGGGTGGGGCCGTTTTATAGGATTTGGGTAGGTAGTGGAAAATTACTGGGGAAAAGGGCGGCAATGAGATGTGGCTATAGCCTAGGAATAGTCAGGGAAGCAGATAATGTAGTTAAAATGTCTCGACCTAATAAGGGAGCTGGGCAGGTGGGGATAACTAAAAAGGACTGTATAAAAGAATGTTGTCCAAGTTGGCATCAGAGTTGGGGAGTTTTAAGAGGTTTAGAAGCCTGGCTGTCAATGCCTACAACAGTTATGGAGGCAAGGGAAACAGGCCCTTGAAAAGAAGGTAATGTGGAGTGGGTAGCCTCCATATTGATTAAGAAGGGGACGGACTTACCCTCCACTTTATGAGTTACCCAAAGTGTCTGTGATGGTCCAGAAGGCTTCCAAGGTGATTGGGCAGCGTCAGTCTTCAGCTATTAAGCTGAGAAGATCTGGGAAGGAGTCAGTCAGAGAGCCTTGGGCCAGAGTTCCAGGGGCTCTGGGAGTGGCTGCCAGGCAAGTTGGACAGTCTGATTTCCAGTGGGGTCCCGTACAGATAGAACATGGCTTAGGAGGAATCCCGGGCTGCAGGCATTCCTTGGCCCAGTGGCCAGATTTCCAGCACTTGAAGCAAGATCCTGGGGCGGGCAGTCCTGGAGGAACCCCTGGCTGCTGCGGTTCAGGCGTTATGAAGTTCTTGTGTGCTGGAGATGTGGCTGAGGTTTCTCTCACAGTGGAGGCAAGGAATTGCAACTCAGAAATACGTTGCTACTTGGCTGCCTCTGTTCTATTATTGTACACCTTGAAGGTGAGGTTAATTAAGTCCTGTTGTGGGGTTTGAGGGCCGGAATCTAATTTTTGGAGCTTTTTCTAATGTCGGGGGCGGGTTGGGTAATAAAATGCATATTGAGAATAAGACGGCCTTCTGACCTTTTAGGGTCTAGGGCTATAAAGCATCTCAGGGTTGCTACCAAACAAGCCATGAACTGGGTTGAGTTTTTACATTTGATGAAAAAGAGCCTAAATGCTGTCTGATTTGGGAGAGGTCGGATAAAGAAAAAGGAACATTAACCCTGGCTATGCCTTCAGCTCCAGCCACCTCTTTAAGAGGAAACTGTTGGGCAGGTTGGGGAGGGCTAGTTGAGGAAAGAAACTGTAAGCCAGATAGGGTGTGAGGAGGGGAGGTGATAAAAGGATTATAGGGTGGGGGAGCGGAGGCTGAGGAAGAATTGGGACCTGGCTTGGCCTAGTGAGGAGCAGCTTGGGGAGGAGGGGAGAGGTCAGATGGGTCTGCAGAAAAGGAGGATTCAAAGGACTCAAGAGTTTGGGGTGGAGACTGAAGGAACAGACAGGAGAGAAAGAAGAAGGATTTGGGACAAGTTCGCACTGGGAGTAGAGACTAGGGAGGGACTGATGTGTAGTAAAGAATGCCTGGACGTCAGGCACCTCAGACCCATTTGCCCATTTTTTCGACAAAAATCATCCAGATAAAATGGAGAAATCAAAAGTGTTGTTTTCTGGCTATTTAGAACAATTATTGAGTTTGTATTGGGGCCAAGCGGTGTTGCAGAAGAAAATAAGACGCTTAGGTTTTAGGTCAGGCAAGAGTTAAAGAGGTTTTAAGTTTTTGAGAACACAGGCTAAGGGAGAAGAAGGGGGAATGGAGGGTGGAAGGTTGCCCATAGTGAAGGAGGTAAGTTTAAAGAGAAAGGTAGTGACACGGAGAAGGGGGTGGTGAGCAGCCCTGGGACGCAATGTGGGTGAGCAGCCAAAGCAGGTGTCCCCGCAATTGACTTGTCACCAAGGGTACGTGGGTGAATGACCAAGGCAGGCATCCCCACGGTGATCAGACACCAATGAAACATGGGTGAATAATCAGGCAGGCATCCCCGCAGTGGTTAAACACCAAGGGAAGACTGTCTTCCTGAGTCCGTGACTGGCGCCGGAGTTTTGGGTTTCCGGATAAAATGTGTCTCTGTCTCTACTAGAGGGGAGAAAGAACTGGAGTTGGAAGGACAGGGAGATTGAAGGGTAGTGAGAGAGGGAGATTGAAGGGTAGCGAGAGAGGCTGGAGAAGAGAGTGAAAAGACCACTTACCTGATTTGAAATTGGTGAGATATTCCTTGGGCTGATTGGTCTGAGGACCCGAGGTCATAGGTGGATCTCCCCACAGAGTGAGGGCGAGGACAGGGGACTGGTCTCCCGAAGGAGTCCTCCTGTCCCAGGTCTTCGGCACCAAATGTCACGCGAGTCTATGTGAAGAGACCACCAAACAGGCTTTGTGTGAGCAACAAGGCTGTTTATTTCACCTGGGTGCAGGCGGGCTGAGTCCGAAAAGAGAGTCAGCCTCCTGTTTTATTCCTTTAAAAATCTGCTCAGTGTTTGGTTCCTGTGCATGTGTATATGTGTGTATGTGTGGTACGTATGTGCATGCACATGTGGTTCACTTTAATCCACCTGTTGGGATTCCTTAGCTGAGTGAGGTACCATTGGTGCAAGTTCTGCTTGCCATTGACTGTGCAGGGCATTTACTTTTTCTGAAAGGATAATGTACCTATTTTATGAAGAAATCATTTAACAACATAATATGAAAGGGTAAATAAAGGTTATGGGAAATTATATCATGTTAGACTAAGAGGCTGAAAATACTACCCAGAAAGTACGTTACCTTCTTTAAGGTGCTTAGGATGGTACATTTATTTCTGAGCAGAACCACTGTGTGCTGGTGACCACATCGGACACTCATTGTCTCTTGAACTTTTCCCGTCTGCTATATTCACGTAATCCTTTCGTTAGTTCTCAGAATTCCCAGCGAAAGACTTTGTGACAATCATTTATTTTTTTTTAAATGTGAGCAATTAACTCTTTTTTCTTCTATTTAATATATTATCTTGAGACAACTGGTATGTGTTAAATGGCTATTTTACTGGGATTGTTATTCTTCAGAGATGCCAAAAATGCCTGAAGCTGATTGGAGATTCTCATGTATTAAAAGTAATTGCATATTAGTCTTTATATCTGAATGCTTTATAATTACAGGTAAACTCTCAGTGTGTTTCCTTTCTTCGTAACATTCTGATCGTTAGTATGTTTACAGATTCTTTTAGAAAAAGGTTAGAATTAACATCAATATGGTATAATCATTTCAGTATTTAATATAAAAATGTATAAACAGGCTGATTTTAAAAGTAACATATAAATTATCAACCCTCAAATAAAAATTATATATCTTAAAAGTATGACTAGGAAAGCTAATTTTTAAAAATATACTGATTTACCTCTATTGTTGTATTAAAAGGCTCATTTTAAAGAATGCAAAACATCCAGGAAAATTCCATGAAGAGATATTGTTAAGTGAGCCACCCTCTTTGTTAATTTTGTCTTCAAAAGAAGTCTGTGCATTTAATTTGCTACCGGTGTACCCAATATATGTGTTTCTTGGCTTATTTAAAAATTTTAAGTAAATTTCCAACTAATATAATATTTTAAATGTTATCCCAGTTTAGTAATAAATTAACCAAGTGAAAACAATGAAAATATTATATTCAATCTTACATCCTCATTATTGGAATGAGATCGTATTTACAATAATTAACCTACATCAATGCAACTATTTTTCAGTGTTTCAAAGTTATGATTCTTTAATGTGTACGTAGAATAAATCTAAACAACAATTAAAAAGAATCAAACAAGCTATGTCTAATGGAGATTAAGAAGCATTCTCCGTGAAGATTTAGTATATCATCTGGTATCTCTTTGTATAAACTCAAAATTTTTTAGGTACAAATAATAAATAAAATGTTTGTTGGCTGGGTGCGGTGGCTCACGTCTGTAATCCCAGCACTTTGGGAGGCCGATGCGGGTGGATCACAAGGTCAGGAGTTTGAGACCAGCCTGGCCAATACGGTGAAACACCGTCTCTACTAAAAATACAAAAATTAGCCGGGCTTGGCGGGCATCTGTAGTCCCAGCTGCTCGGGAGGCTGAGGCAGCAGAATCGCTTGAACCCAGGAGGCCCGGAGGTTGCAGTGAGCTGATGAGATCACGCCATTGCATTCCAGCCTGGGTGGCAGAGTGAGACTCCGTCTCAAAACAAACAAACAAACAAACAAACAGTGTTTGTTAACATGTTATGTGGGCTTTAAAAATGAAACTAAATATAGATTAAACATAGTTACAGTTTTGTTAAATATTTTCAGTACATTTTAAAGGAAATAAACAGCTTTGGTTTCCTGTGACAGTCCTAATTTAAAATCTCTCTCTCTTTTTTTTTGAGGTAAGGTTTCGCTCTTGTTGCCCAGGCTGGAGTGCAATGGCACGATCTCAGCTCACCGCAACCTCTGCCTGCTGGGTTCAAACAATTCTCCTGCCTCAGCCTCCCGAGTAGCTGGGATTACAGGCATGTGACACCACACCTGGCTAATTTTGTATTAGCCGGGAGACCGGGTTTCTCCATGTTGGTCAGGCTGCTCTCAAACTCCTGATCTCGGGTGATCCACCCGCCTCAGCCTCCCAAAGTGCTGGGATTACAGGCGTGAGCCACCACTCCCAGCAAATCTTTTTCTTTATAAGTATTCTTATGTTTGTTCAGACCATGTATCTCTATTTTTGGTTTGAAAAATATAAATAGATAGTAAAAATAGTTTAACAGCTATCATTTCTTGAATACTCACTCTGAAGCAGGCAATATGGTTAAGACCTTTGGAAGATTATATCATTTATTCTTCTGAAAAAAAAGTTAAGATTTGTAAACATCTCCATTTTATAAACGAGAAATTTGAGACCTGGAAAGGTTAGGTAGGTAATCCAATATCACACACCTAATAGGGGGCTCCAAACTTAAACCTGGCATCGTCTTACTGCAAGATTAACATTGTGTTATATTTGGGTACAGGTTATTTCACTCTTTGCAATTTAGCGACTTTAGGTTGATCTTTTGAGAAATGTAATTTCAGGGAAATATATATCTTAGATAAGTATCTATTAAAGTTTAGGCTGATCTTTGAATGTTATGAAGAAGAGGGATCATGTTATTTATATTTTGGTACTCTCAACATGTAGCTCAGTGTCACATATGATAATAAACACTCAATTCGTTGAAATGAAGTAAAGGAAATTCTTCATTGGGAGCTTAAGGAATAAAATGGGTGAAAAGGTATGGAGCAATATTGTAAAATCCACCTTTTACATCACCATTATTAAAGATATTACTAATTTTAATTACAAATTATAACTTTTAAAAAATGTAATTATGAATGAGATGCAACTGAATGCTGAAGAATATCTCTTGACCTCTTCTGTGTTGTCCTTCCACATTATAAAAATTGATTTATTTTTGAGAAGGAATGACTCAAGGCTGTAGAGGGCAGTATAAGCCAACTCAAGTGGACTTTCCTGGGTTAGTGAAGTGGTACAACTGTTGTTACTGTCCAAGTGTCCAGTTAGGTTTGATACCCCAAGTATCTGACCACTGGCCATTAGAATTGTTTCAGACTTAAAAATAAAGGAAGATAAAATGGAAAGTGTTTTAGAACCAAAGAATCACATAAACCCACAAAAAGGTGGCAATTATGCAACAGCTGTTTCCACCCTTAGAAATTCTTGTGGCAAAACCAAAGCCATTACCTGGATAATCCCAGCCTAAAAACAATTCGTCTCAGTGAACTTTATGATAAAGTTTCTTGTAAAGAATTTACTTTCTTTACTTGTCTAGTTGTATAATTTCAATTAAAAATAGTAAAATCCTCCACCGTCCTCCCCTTTTCCTCTCTCTACCTTCACCAACTTATAAAGACATGGACTGTTTAGTTGTTTACCAAATGATGAGCTATTACTAAATTTAGAAAATAATTAATATCAGTTCAGATTTTTTTGACATTCTCTTATTTTGTTGCCAGTGTTTATGGACAGTTTGATTATTCAATGTTTGCTTGATTATATCACTTTTCTAGTTAATAAGATGTTTTTGGACTATATTTTCATTGAGTTTTTTAGGTTTTCATTTAGGGAAAAAAATCCTGGCAATATTGTCACCTTTGTTGCCTACACTGATCATCTGATGGGGATGGATATCTAAAAAGAAGTAAAGTGCAGGGTAATGCTAATTATATATTTTAGTTAGATAGCATTTTATCTGCTCATTTATTTTGGCATTTAGCTTTAGAGAAGTATAGTTTCCATGGCTGAATTTTTTTTTTAATTATATCTAACAATATCTGATGATGTAATACCAGACATTCTACTCATTTCCTCGGGTAATTATGTCTAATTTAAATAATTTCAATAGGCAGTAGTATCTCAAAAGTTTTAGTAAATAGCAAGTTTTCTAAATGTAGATAAATGAAGCATGTGTGCCAGAAATGATAGTTGTGCTGTCTTCAGGTCTTTCTTGTATGTTTGACAATGTAAAATGTGTTGAGGCCAGGCGTGGTGGCTCATGCCTGTAATCCCAGCATTTTATGAGGCTGAGGCAGGAGAATCAGTTGAACCCGGCAGGTCGAGGCTGCAGTGAGCAGTGACTGTGCCATTGCCTTCCAGCTTGGGTGACACAGCAAGACTTTGTCTCAAAGTAAAGTGATGAGAAAAAGAAATGTGATAAGAACCAAGGAATATAAAATTAGTTCAGAAAAATAAAAATAAAAATGTGAAGACACCAAATGTTCCCATCATATTCTCATTTAATTTTTACCACGACCAGTGGTTGCCATTATTATCTTTGCAGATGTGGGGAAACTGGGGCTCAGTCAATACCAGTGATATGCTGAAGTTGAAGTGGTTCATAAATTATAATACTATAACTGGCATCCAGTCTTGCCTTAATATTTGCTTAGAATTAAATAGCTATTTTATGATTGTATTGGCACAAATGTGATTTTTTCAATATCTTTTTCAAAACACTACTTATATTTTGTTGAATGAATAACTGGCTTTTTTTTCTTTTAGCTGGAGAAGATGTTGTCTGAAAATTATCATCGGTTTATTGACCTCCCTAATTCCCTGACTTTGGGCAGTTTCTCATTTTCAGTTTTGCCTTAGAAGGTTTTTCTGTGTGATCTAAGGTATAGTTAAGCTTGAATGTATATTACATGTGTGTGAAAGCCAAAATTTAAAAGAATCTATAGAACTAAGAGCAGTGAGACATTAATCAGATGAAATTATAAATTCAATAAATTTGTGATGCAAATTTACTTTTTGACACTCAATATTTTTTAGATACAAGTCAAGATTCCAAATATTGATTGATCTATCTATCTAGTTATTTTTACTTTGTGATTTTTGTTTTAACATTAGGGGCTTATATCTTTGGTTACAAGGGATTGACCAAAACGCACTATTTTTCTTTCCTCCCGAAGCTCTTTATAAGCATTAAATTGCAAGAAGATATTTATTTATTTATTTATTTATTTTTTGAGATGGAGTCTCACTCTGTCTCCAGGCTGTAGTGCATTGGGGCGATCTTGGCTCACTGCAACCTCTGCCTCCTGGGTTCGAGCAATTCTTCTGCCTCAGCCTCCTGAGTAGCTGGGACTACAGGCGTGTGCCACCATGCCCAGCTAATTTTTGTATTTTTAGTAGAGATGGGGTTTCACCGTCTTGGCCAGGATGGTCTTGATCTCCTGACCTCATGATCCACCCACCTCAGCCTCCCAAAGTGCTGGGATTACAGGTGTAAGCGCTACCGTGCCTGGCTGAAGATATTTATTTTTTGTGGTATCTCTGTAAAGCACATAAAATTTGTTGCCATGAATCTCATTATTAAAACACTGAAATGGATCGCTGATATGCCTGCTCTTCTCTAAAGAGGAGGGGGTGGACTCAGTATATGGTACTGTTGGTGTGAGTGTGGATCACAATATGATTCACCCAGCTAAGAAGTAAACCCATATTTGGTTTTAAATTTGTCGAAAGAACATTTCCAAAGGGAAAACATGGCGGGAATGGAAGGAAAGATTGGAAAGTAAAGATATTCTGCTACTATCTTACTAGGAGAAGAATTTGAGGCCTACTTTAAGGGTATATGACTTGGGCAAGTTATTTAAACTTTCTAAATCTCAGTATCCTCATCTATAAAATGGGAAAGTAATAGTACCTGCCTCACTGATTATTAGGCATAAGGAATAATAGAATTATGAATAGTGAGGTAAGACATATAAATGGCTTCTGTAGTACTTGACACATGGTATTCTCTAAGCAATTGATAATAAATAGTAAAAGGTAGTTCTTATTGCTGCAGTAATCGTAAATGAAAATTAATGCCTGAAGTTCAGTGGTAGCAAAGGGACTGGAAAGAAAATATCAAATGAACAAAGGGTAGATAAGTAGACCCCATAAGTGCTTAGTGACTGATGTGGTGTGGGTATTGCAGTAAGGAGGCTCACCAAGATGACGAGCCTGGCCAAGCATAGAGGGCTATATTAGAAGTACTGTCTTATCTCAAGAAAGTAAGGTTTTCAAATATCAATAAGGCAAAGAAGTAGGGGGAAAAAAACCCTTGAGAACAACTTCTGTTTTTGTTTGACACACTTGTTTTAATGAATTTGTATCTAACATTGACCATGTTTAAGTGGTTTTAGATAAAGTGCATTTTTGCTGTTGTTCTTGTGGTTCTCCTACCTAAGCAATTCAAGTTTTCAGAACTAATTTGTTTGACTAGTCAATGTTCTCTCTTAAACAGCTTAGTGGCAAAATTCCTGCCATTGCTCTGTTGTAAAGAATCAGCTCTTCTTTAAGATAAACAGTATCTAGAAGCATGGCCAGGTGCATTCACTGCACTGTAAGAGGGAGACATGGGGGGAGTAGTCAGGAAGCATGTAGGTGGGAAGGGTTTCCTGTTTCCAGGCAACAGCAAGGAGCTACAGACGGAAAGCAACTTGAATATAAATTCATTCAAGAAAGGACATTTTACCACCTTGCCTTCTAAGCAGTGAGGACGCAGACTTGACTGAAAGATAGAGTGAGGTTGAAGCTTCATTTGTCAGTGGGTAAAGTTATTAGAAACCTATTTCTCATTAGGTTTTGTATGTATGAAAAATATCACATACTAGTGGCCAGGTTAGCATTTTTAAATATTTGAAAAATAGTAGCATCTACGCTTGCCTTCCTTCCAATTTTCCAGAAACATGGGTTTTTTTATGGCTTCATTTTCCTGTCTTTCTGCCTAAAGAGCAGAGGGGCTCGTGGCCCTGAAACAGGCTCCTTCCCTGCCTGACTCCATCTGCAGGAAGGAGAAGCACAGCACACTCAGCTCAAAGGGAGGTGCCTCCTCCCTTGAAGAAGCCCATCCAGAGGTTCACAGGGAGCAGATGAGAGAAGAGTTCTTCCTGCTCCCTGGGCCAAGGGGAATGTGGACCTGTCCCCTGCTTGTGACATTTTCCCCAACCTGTCAAATGCAAGAGTAGCAAATTTGGAAGAGTAGAAGAAGGCAGTTGCAGGCGGCAGCTACCTGATTGGGGTGAGTTATTCTTGAGGCATTTGAGATATTGAGTTGATGATTTAAATATTGGCCCACTAAAGATTTTATAAGTAATGTAGTCATTCCTTGGGCCCTGAGGGACCCTCTTGTTCTATATTCCAGCTCTTTCGTAATGAGAGGGATTACCCATACTCAGAAGAGATGCATGTCTCAAACGCCTGCATTATTTTTTCTCACTTTCACATTGTGTTTCCTCTAGTTGTTGAGGTGAGCTCCTTTTAAGATAGGCTTTATTGTTTTATTATACTGCTTATATTTAGGAGTTTTTCTTCAAAATCTATGTCAGAAGATAGGTCTCGTAAAGGGCGAGTAAGCACTTGGGCGAATCATGCACTGGAATTTATCTTTTGATTAAGTTTGAGAGTGTGCCTGGAACAGTTGGGTCTTTCATCTCTCAGTCTGGAGCCTCCTTTAGTAACTTGTCCTGAGACTATAGGCAACCCACTAGCTAGTTATAGGGCCACCAAAAGAGCTGCCCAGACACTTAAGCAAACACACAGGGTCCAAGCTTCATACTGGATCCCTTCTTGCCATGTATTCGGGGATGAATCACTGCTTGAAGGGTCTAATCTGTCTCCTTATTGTCCTGTCTGGAAGGGTCACATTATTTGAGTGTAACTCCTGAGAGCCTGGCGGGTCTTTTCACACAGATGTTGATGGATGCTTTGCAGTCCCTCCCATCCCAGCAGATTTCTTTGTGCCTCTTTTTACATAGGCACTTAACCTATGTTGAGGGAGCCTCTTTTATTACCAGAAAGAAGACGTTAAAGGAGTTTAATCCTCACTGTTGGTAATAGTTTGTTCTTCCCCAGTTTGCATACTCGGGTTTTAGTTGGATATCGAGCTGCCTCTTTTTTACCATATCGGTCTTCATTCTATTATTTGTGTTCTTAAATGTCTTGTGGGAACATTAGAAAGGTACCTATGATGGTTGAATATCTTTAGTTTTACTATCATTTTCTATAGAATTTTAAAATCTAGTTTTAAGAACACAAGTTGGCAAGCTCTGGAGTATTTTTTGTTAATTATATAAATTATATATTTATGGCGGT
The DNA here is from genome assembly GCF_000001405.40 of Homo sapiens. NCBI lineage: Eukaryota > Metazoa > Chordata > Mammalia > Primates > Hominidae > Homo > Homo sapiens. Next base: position 107,579,995 of record NC_000003.12, read on the forward strand.
GGATTTTTTTTCCCTACGTAACTTTGGATTGTACTTGAGAAGCTCATTGCAAATCAGCACAGCAGATTTTAAAAAGCCAATAATCTTTTATGTAAAATTTGACTTACTTATGGCATTATATATGCAGTTAATTGGGTCTAGTTCATTTTAATCACTTGACATCAGTTATAGAGTCCAATTTCAGACATAGGAAATTATGAAACATTAATGTAATACAAAATAGGCTCTTTATCATGCTTTTTTCATGAAAAAATAGTTTCACTTACTAGGAGTTTATGTTGGCTATTTGATTTTTAATCTTGTTTCTCTTGTGTGAGCTTTTGGACAGAATATGAATTTTAAATCCACAGGTTTTTTTTGTTGTGATTTTTAAAAATTATTTTCACTATCCTCCAACATTGTTATTCAGTATTATTATACAAGCACATTCATGTGATAATATATACTAACAATTTGTTTTATTTTACTGAAGATTCCAAAACAAAATTTCTATTAGTAAAGAACATTGTCTTTTGATGTAATTATAGTAAATTTTAGTTTAATCTTAATATTTAAATATTTACCAAAATATATGACTCATATGTAGGTAAGTTATCAGGGGAAAACATCCTATGATTTTAAAACTGTTAAGCACTCAATTTTTTTTTTTAATTGAGACAGAGTTTTGCTCTTTTTTGCCCAAGCTGGAGTGCAGTGGCACGATCTTGGCTCACTGCAACCTCCGCCTCCTGGGTTCAAGTGATTCTCTTGCCTTAGCCTCCCCAGTAGCTGGGATTACAGGCATGCACCACCATGCCTGGCTAATTTTGTATTTTTAGTAGAGATGAGGTTTCACCATGTTGGCCAGGCTGGTCTCAAACTCCTGACCTCAGGTGATCCGCCCGCCTCGGCCTCCTAAAGTGCTGGCATTGTAGGCGTGAGCCGTCACACCCAGCACAGTCAATATTTTTAATAAGAGATAATAAACTTCATGATTTTAGTCAGTCTTCTGTAACTATGCAAACAAATGTTAAAATATGGAAGACCTAAAATCTACCTAATATCTGGTCTGAGTGTAATCTTTAAATTGTTATTCATAAATGAATTCTTGAATGAGTTTTGCTTAAAGACAATCTTGTATTTAACTAGGAGCAAATTTAAACCAAGCTTTTAATTTTTCATATCCAAGCTGATGATTTTGCCTTAAAATGTCTTTGATCATATTTTTACTTACTAAACATCTGTAAAATAGTTACATTCATTATTATACACTTATATATATATTATTATTACACACTTGTTGGCAGTGTAGGGTGGATAAAAGAGAAATTTAAGACGTTTTCCCTGTGTCCTAGGAAGGAAATGGCCTTTTCCCATCTCCTTTGAATCTCTTTTGGTTATGCAGGCCAGTCTCTTTTATGATTCTTAAACTTGGAAATTCCCCTTCTGTGATCTTTCATTTGTGTCATGTTCCTACCAGGTTTGAAGTGAAGAGACTATATTTTCTTCTAGGGGCTTAGCAGTACTTTGCATATACTAGATAGCTAAAAATTGTGGAATTAAGCATAGATTTTTAAAAACTAGCTTTGATAATATAAGTATATGCCAAATTATAATTAGTGGTTTGGTAACTGGTCTTCTGTGCTGTGGGCATCAGCTGATTTATTCAGTTTTTATACACTGCTTCATACTCCGTCGTTAGTGTCCTTGAATTGGCTGTTTCTTTTACTTTGCAACCAGGAACTTAAGAATTTGAGTTACACATGAAGAATTTATTTATCAACAGCAGGGCAGAATTTATAGAATTTGTTAAATCTCATTCTTTATCATGTACTATGTCCTCTAGGGAATAGTTGGCTGATATTTTTAGAAAAGAATTATGTTATTATCATTACCATTAGAATGCTTTTTTTAAAATTAGAATCTAGATTACCTTTATCAATTTGTACACAGTATTATTACATCTGTAGTGGCATATTTGTAAAATATTTACTTTAGTATATAATGTGTATATATATGAGCCAAGGTATTTTTTAGAAAGATTCTTTAACGTTTTATTTTTAATGTTTTCCCCCAAAACTTTAGGCAGAAGCAGTTATTTCTTCTTAGCTTGCTAGGGCATCCAATTTTCATCAAATTTTCGCCAAACCTTCTTTTTAAAAAAAAATCACATTTACCTAGTAGAGGTATTGTTAAAGTACTTTCTATAGGTAGCAAATATTAAGCAAAATAATATTATATTTTTTGAAAATATTTGGAAAAATTTCTGCAGTTTTTACCTTAAACATTTTTAGCACGCATATGGCATATGTGGAAGCTTTTTTTTTTTAAACACATTTTTGTTTTAAGTCTCATTGGAGTTTTATCTCAGTATCCATACAATATTTACAAAACTAATATTTTTTAATAACTGATTTTTTGACAAAAAGATGGAAGTTATATCTTTATGGTTGAAGGATCGTCCTAGTCTGTCAGTTGTCATCTTTGAAAACCAATAGCCACCCAAAGCCAAACTATTGATACTAATTTTAAGACAGTTCCCAGGGACAAATTTCAACAAAGGAGGGTACGTTCTCCCTGTTTTTATAGTTTGCTTGTTCGTTTTTAATCATAAGTGGAGAACAGTTCTTTCCTTATTGTCATACTAATATTATCCTACCTTAAATCTGTTGGCATATAAGAAAAGTAGTACTTCCTGTGTTAATGTTGTATTGATGGGAATATAATGTAGTGGTAAGTTAGTATGCTTATGAGTTTAAGTTCCAGAACATTTAGTTTTAAAATTTTTTAATGTAACGGTTAGATTTAAACTTTTCAATAATGATCTGTTTTTCTGCTTTGCTAAATAGAATTTAACAAACATAATTTTACTTTTTTTGATAACTCAAAATCATCTTTGTTGTTGTTAGGACTAATAGAAAGGTGTAGGTATGTGCTGTGCAGTGTATTGTGCTCTTTGCTTTGCTATAAAAGTTCTACAATGCTGTTCCTTGGAGAATGACCTGTGTTTTAATACTTTTTTATATTCTCTTTTTCATGTCATTAGACGCAAGGCTGTTAGCCTCATTACATAATTTGCTACTAGATAATAAAGCAACTATGAAGTATTGCAACTATAATCAAAATAAAAATCAACATATGAAGTTTAAAGAACTGCTTTAAGTATATGGGACTTGTCGGATATCAGTAAAAACAAGTTTTGGCTATACAGAGGACCTTCAGTGTTTTTTTAAGGCTTATACTGTTTTGTATTTTGAGTAGTTAAGAGTCTTATAGTGAGCTTTCTGATTAAACTCTTTAACTTTCAAAAGGATTGGAAAGGAACTTGCAGATCAGCTGCTCAACTGCTTATATTATAAGTGAGGAAACAGAACATGAATGATTTGCCTGTTTATTACCAGTGGCACAAGATAAAAGATTTTGGAGTAATCGATACCTTATTTATCATTTTAGGAACAAACTGAGTGACTGAGTAGTTTTTTTTGCATCTCATTTTTTATTGATATATCATAGTTGTACATACTTTGGAGTTGTATGTGATATTTTGATACATGTATATAGTATGTAATGATCAAATCGGGATAATTGGAATATTTATCACCTTGAACATTTATCTTTTCTTCTCCTCTAACCATTTTGAAGTATACAATAAATTATTAACTATAATTTCTCTGATGTATTATCCAGTATTAGAAAGTATTCCTCTACCTATTTTTGTACTCATTAACCAACTTCAGGCTTAAGAAATGTTTATTCCACTGTGTTTATGGCTTTCTTCATTATAGCCTGGTTTCTGATGAGCCTGAGCAGATTAATGATTCTGCAAAATAGTCCTCAGTTTTAATTTCTGGAACTATTTTTTATAGGATTATTTTGTTATTTTAATCTTCAAGATAAATTATACTTTATATATATTATATATAAAGTATAAAGTATAAATTATACTTTATATATAATATATATATTATATATATTATTATATTATATATATTATATATATTATTATATTATTATATATTATTATATTATTATATATATTATACATATTATTATATATATTAATTATATATATTATATATATTATATATATCATATATTATATATATTATATATATCATATATTATATATATTATATATTATATATAATATATATATTATTATATATATTATATATAATATATGATATATATATTATTATATATATTATATATAATATATGATATATATATTATTATATATATTATATATAATATGTATAAAGTATAAAGTATAAATTATACTTTATATATAATATCTCTAATTTATTAGTTCTTCTGAACTTAGTTCAACTAACTTTGCAGTTGGTTTGTTTTTAACACCTGAATCAAATTGAAACAATACTATTTTTTCTTTAGTTTTGCACACATTTTAGAATTAAAAATAGTAGTTGTCAATTTAGTTTGTGAAATTTGTCCATTCAAATCTTCATGTCTGGAAAACTATATGGTGGGCACCGGGGATGATAGCCCCTAACGTTACACTGTAATGATGGTAATTATTACCAAATAATTAATAATGTCATTATTTTAATTCAGATTGTCATAAATGCTTAACACAGAACAATGGAATATCAAGAGGATTGGATGATGGGTGCAGAATTGATCAAAACTTTATGGGGTGGGGAAGGCTTCTTTAAAAAGTGATTTTTCCGTTGAAATCTTTTTTTTTTTTTTTTTTTTTTTTTTTTTTTTTTTTGAGGTGGAGTCTCACTCTTGTTGCCCAGGCTGGAGTGCAGTGGCACGATCTCAGCTCATTGCAACCTCCGCCTTCCGGGTTCAAGCAGTTCTCCTGCTTCAGCCTCTGGAGTAGCTGGGATTACAGGCATGCGCAACCACACCCAGTGGTTTTAATAGAGACAGGGTTTCACTATGTTGGCTGGGCTGGTCTCGAACTCCTGACCTCAGATGATCTGCCCACCTCGTCCTCCCAAAGTGATTACAGGTGTGAGCCACCACCCCCGGCCTCAGTTGAAATCTTAATAATTACTGGCCTTTGAGAGACAAAAATGCAGGTGAGTATATAAGAACAAAGCTTGGAGATCCAGTTCAGTGGCATGAACCATACTGGGGCTGAGAACTGGCCATGGAAGCAGGAGGGGAAACCAGGAGAATGTCCAGTCAGTAATCCACGTGGAGGAAACAATAAGGTGAGGAGGTAACCCACCACTGCATTTAGCAATGTGTAGGCCATTGCGATGATGTGGAGAGGTGTTCTGGAGGAATGGAGAAGGGTCAGAGCCATCTAACAGTGGGTTGAGGAGAGAGAAGGAAGAAAAAGGTGATAGTTACCATTGACACATATTTTTAAAGTTTTACCTGGAAACGGAGAAGAGAGAGAGGATGGTGGGGGTGAAATTGACAGTAGTCTGGTTATTTATGCTAAAATAAATGAGACGTATCTTCATACCCAAGTAGAAAAAAATAACTTTGGAAGCTAATGAAGGCTTAGCTTCTTGAATGGTCTGTACTATATATGAAAGCAAGAACAATTAAAAAGTCTTTAAATTGTTCAATTTTCTATAATTCCAATGCTCCTAAGAAGCTCCCCTCCCCGCTGCCATTATGGGGCTCTTACCTAACTCAATATACCAAAAATACTATCCTATTTCTTTATCTGTGGTTCTTTGTTTATCTTTTTTGGAAAATGTTTTATCAAAATTTATAATTTCTAATGATGCTGTATTGGCATAACCACTTGAAAAAATAAGAGAAATAGTCCTAGAATAGGAAACTTGTGATATATATGACTCTCTGGAGAACTAAAGTAAAAATTAAACTAAAAAGTGAACTTATTTTAATTATGTTATTAAAAACACAGTAGGCGGATGTAAGAAAACAAGCTATTTGGTTATATTTATTTCAGAAAAAAGGTCAGTGACCCATTAACTAAGAGGTTTCACAAACTTCAGTTTTCACTTGGCTATTACTCTTGGTTAGGGTCACATTATAATTTTTGGATATTTTTGTGAAAGAACGATACAAAATTGAGTTTTAAATATGTTTTCTGATGTTCTTTCATATAACTGTATTGTTAAATATTTTCATTTAATGTTTAGTATTCTCATTTTAAGAAAACCCAATGCAAAATCTGAAGTTAATAAAAAAAATAGACGGTGATTATTTGGCTAAGATAATTCACCCACATCATTCTCTTAACAGTAATCTGATATTCTAAAGAGGTTATTTATATATTATTAACTAACTTGTATACCAGAGAACTGTGGCTGAGTGCAGAGAAATTTAAAATTAAGAAATTTAAGACTTTTGAATATTAATCAAGAATGAACTTGTATGCAGTTTGTTGTACATACGTATTCTGGTACTACAACTATATATTCATTTCTTGAGAGATATTCGTAATTGTTTTTTTTAGATCTGGATTTCTGAAACTTGAGTCAAGTAATGGACATATCAGGGGTCACCTAGTTTTTAATGTGAATTAAACAATTTTAATGTTTCATTTAGATGATAAATATAAAAGAAATAATGTCTTCTTGGTTGCCTAATTTGATTATAACTGAGCATTCCTATTGGATTCTCATCATAAAGTTTGCATTTGTGTTTATGAGGCCATGAAATATACCTAAAATGAATGCTTAACTGTTAAGACTGTTTTCCTTAGGCTGGTTCACAGAGTTGTCTGTGGATTTATTTTCGTTACCAAGGCTAAGCAAGTTTGAGAAATAGTGTCCTTGATAATGGTCTGTAATTATTGTGATGTTGTAAGGAAGTGATTCCACACTTTTTTTTTTTTTGAGATGGAGTTTCGCTCTTTTTGCCCAGGCTAGAGTGCAATGGTGCGATCTCAGCTCACTGCAACCTCCGCCTCCGAGGTTCAAGCGATTCTCCTGCCTCAGCCTCTGGAGTAGCTGGGACTACAGACGCATGCCACCATGTCCAGCTAATTTTTGTATTTTTAGTAGAAATGGGGTTTCACTGTGCTGGCCAGCCTGATCTCGAACTCCTGACCTCAGGTGATCCATCTCTCTCGGCCTTCCAAAGTGCTGGGATTACAGGCATGAGCCACTCACTGCGCCTGGCCGATTCCACACTTTTGAGAGTTTTGCCATCTTATTTTGCTTCATTTAAAAATATATTCTACCATTTCTTATGAATGTTTTTTAAAAATTAAGCTAATATTTTAAAAGAACATCTCTACTAAACATACAAAAAAATTAGCTGTTGTGGTGGTTCATGCCAGCAATCCCAGCTACTTTGCAGCTACTTTGGTAGCTGAGGCAGAAGAATCACTTGAACCTGGGAGGCAGAGGTTGCAGTGAGCCCAGATCATACCACAGCACTCTAGCCTGGTTGACTGAGAGACCCTGTCTCCAAAAAAAAAAAAAAAAAAGGAGTGAAATTACTTTTGGTAAGCTTTTGAGAATTTAGTTACATATTGGAATGATTTGGATCTTCTTGTAATTTTAAATAATCTACCCTAGAAATTGCTGTTCTCACAATTCCTAAAGAATTAGTTGGGAATATGTTACAAAGTTTTTCCATTTGCTGGCTACTGTTAGTTATTAAATTTTGGGTTTCTGTCCTAAAGCAGATCCTGTCTGGGGGAGATGCTTAGAGGAGCCAGGCAGGAAGCATGAATATGTGAGTGGGGCCTTGAGTAATACCACAGCAAATAGTCGGGATCGTGACTTAACAGGAGATGCGGGCCCCAACTGAAATCATTCGAATTCATTTTCACCTTCACTGGGTACGCTAGACCAACACAGATTTGCAGGCTCGAGGCTCTTTTAGGAGTTAACAGTCTGGTTGAGGGAGGTAAAACATACAGATGAAATGGTTTATCTACAATCCACCCATTTATTCATTCATCCATCCATCCTCTCATTTATACATGCATTCATTTACTCATCACTGAAGTACCTATTATGTGCCAAGCTTTAGACATAACATGGAATCCCTACCTTTAGTAATTCACAGTTTTACAGCAAGTTGGCAGAAAGCCAGCCAAAAACTAGTACAAGAGTCACGATTTTTAACAATACGTATCACTGACCAGAATTATCTTTGTATTTTTTTACCTGTTTGTTTTCTGTTCTTCTTATTAGGGTAGAAGTCTTTTTTGTTTTATTATTCTCTTTTCTATCCTGGTGACTAGAGCAGTATCTGATACATAGTATGTGTTAAAAGAGTAATTATTAAATGATTTGAATGACTGAAGGTTCTGCTTGGTCAGCTAAGGCTTTATGGAGGGGAGGTGTATGAGCCAGGTCTTAGATGATGGTTAGGCCTTGAGGAGGTAGAGAAAGGAAGAAGTGACTGACAGACACTTTGAGGGCTGTGTGAACAACATGATCACAAAGTAAGGGGGGGCCTGGAGCAGGGGGTGAGGAATAATGGAGTGATGTGTGTAGGAGGATCAGTAAGGAAGCCAGCCTGGATTGAGTAACCATTTCATGCTGGAGACAAGCCAGGAGCTAACGTGTTGGAATGAGATGCAGGTGGAAGGATGAGAGGGGTGTGGCACACATTGCACTCACAGAAGCAATTTGGTTGCTAGCATGAATTCTGGAATCACATATGTTAAGATTCAGATCCCAGTTTGCCACCTATAAACTGGGTGACTTTGTTTAAGCTGCTTAACTCCTGTGTGCCTGAATTTCCCATTTCCAGTTTAAAAATATACACTTTGGCCATTAAGATTCTGTTCATTGATGTTTTTAGTAACATGGGGAAATGCTTATGCTATTTTTCCTAAAACTGAAATAAGTGAATAAAAAAGAATGGGGTAAAAATTGAACATATAACATGTTTTAAAGGCAGTATGCCTCTTTATTTGCCAGGGTTATAAAGGAAAAAGACTGGGAATAAAAAATATCAATAGTGATGTGATTACAGGCAATATTTATTTATTTTAATTTTAAAATTACGTATTTAGTCTACTAATCAACACCCATGAATATAAGAAATTAAATCTCCCAAGTTAGGTAAGAAATACCATAAATGATGTCTCCAAAGACCATCTGTGTTGTCAAAATTAAGGGGGATATGTTACACCTACTTAGATTTCTGTCATTTAACCTGCCCCATGAACCTTCCATTTGACCTTTTTTACACACCACATTAGAATCTTTGGGTATCATTTTATGCTGTTCTCCCATATTTTAACGTGAACTTGACTTTAGTGGAGGAAAAATTAAGGAACTATTTCATTGTATTACTTGAGCTTGTTATTTACACTTAGTGAGTAAGTATCTTTTGAACATCTACTATTTGACCATCATCTTGAGTTCTTAGGAAGGTCAATAAATAAGTGTATTTGGTTCTTTACCTCCGAAAGTTTATAAAAGAACTGAGAAAACAAAGCTAGTAGAAGAAAATGATTGGTAGACAGTTGAAGTCAAAGCAGTTTAATCCTAATTCTGAACTCTTTTTCTGTTTTCTGCCTTCTAGTCCAGTAGTCTTCCCCTTGCTTCCAGATTACCCTATTGATCAAGTTATTTGGTCCTCCAGATGGTTACTTGAAAATAAAAATACAGCAGAGAAATGACCACTGCTTTCAACTTAGCAGCACCGGTTTAAGTGATCACATGATTGTAGTTGGCACTGTTTGAAGAAGTTCCACCAAAGGAAGCATGAAAGCCCAAGTCTTGACTTGGTTTTTGAGCAGTGCCACAGAGTTCTTTTTCAGTTTCAGAAGTGGAATCAGACTCTTCATTGTCTCTGGGAAGATACCAAAGAAGGCAGTTAAACCTGACTATTACTCAAGCACAGAAATAAGTCAGAATTTCTCCATGCCTGTTTTGAGTATTTTGGCCTTCTTAATCACAGAAAAGTCACACAGATGTATTTAGAGAAAGAGCAAGATCTAGCAAAACAAAATTTGTTTTAAAGTGTGATTTTCACAGTTGGCTAGAGGTTTCATGCTCTATGAATTCTGATTAGTTCTTTATGCTTTTATTTTATTGCTTTCTATCATTTTGGGGTCTAATATGGTACTTTCATTTTTTTTATAGGTCTTAAGTCTTTCATTTTTTTTTACCCCAAGAATATGTGACATCACATGTGTAACATACTTTTACAGTTTCAAATATGAACTATTTCCCTTAAAGTGAACTTTTATAAACATCTCTGAAAATATTTTTATAAATAATCATTTCGTGGGACCTTTGTCAGTAGGGTTGTACCAGCTTTTAGTATAAAGATTTTATAAAATAATTACCTGTGTGCATTTATTAACATGGTTAAGCAGAAATTTATATGTATTTATGTATATAGGCATCTATTTTTTTATTGATATGTAGTGACTGTACATATATGGGATATTTGTGATATTTTGATACATCCATACAGTGTGTAATGATCAGATCAGCGTAGTTGGGATATCACCTCAAACATGTATCATTTTTGTGTGTAAAGAACATTGCAAATCTATGTATTTTGAAATACACAGTAAACTGTTGATAAGTATAGTCACCCTATTGTGCTTTCGAACCCTAGAAATTATTCCTTCTAAAATGTATTTTTGTACCCGTTAATCAACCTGCCGATCCTTCTCAGTCTCTGGTATCTACTGTTCTACTCTCTACCTCCATAAGATCCTTGTTTAGCTCCCATGTATGAGTGAGAACTATACACATCTATCTTACATTCGTTTTCTGAGTCTCCACTTCTCTTATTTTACCCATCCCTCTCTTATTTCTTTAAATTACTTTAAAGTTTGAGTACCATCAGAGCACCTCCTACCTACATTGATGGGGCCCTTTTATTTCAGTGAGTTGGGCTGCTTGTTCCTCTCTCTTACATCTTGGAGCTTATTTACTTGATATTTACTCCATTTTCAACAGCTATAGCAGTGGGCTGTGCCCAGCACTTGGGTTGGGGACAGATAGTAGGAATTAAGCTGGTTTGGAGTATGGAGTTGGGGTTCCACTCAACAGTGGCAGCACAAGTTGCATGTGGTCCCAGTGGAAGTCAGTTTGCCTGCTGCAGTATTGCCGGAAACTTAGTTACTGACCTTTCATGACCTTGCTTCCCTAACACAACTTGAAATACCTCCAGCTTCCAGGCATTACCCACCCTTGTGATTTGGCCAATTTTCTAAAGGTTAATGCCATTCTGGATAGATTTTTTTCCCCCCAGTCTTAAGTATAGTATAATAGATTAAGCAGAGAAACACATCATTCCTTTTCAAGGTTCATATCTCTTATTGGTGCTTTCAGTTCTAAAGAAGACCTTTTTAAGGATTTTTTTTTTAACTGTAATGCCCATCTGAAGAAAAAAGCAAACTTAGATAAGTTTTCCAATAAGCTCCTTAACATTCTTCATTTTTCATAGGACAGTGAAGAAAGTTACAAAACTTACCTAAGAGTAAAATGGGTCAAAAGCATGGTTGGAGAATTCAGGGGAGGAGTGTAAGTCCATTAAAAGAAGCTTATAAAGACTTGGTTTAAGATCTATAAACAGTCAGTAAACTGCTAAAAGGGGTTAGAAAGGAAAGGGGGAGATATTTTATGTTGTGTTATTTTATTTTTTTGAGACACTTCTCACTCTGTGACCCACACTGGAGTGCGGTAACGCTATCAGGGCTCACTGCAGCCTCAACCTGCCTGCCTCAACTGATCCTCCTGCCTCATACTCCCGAGTAGCTGGGACCACAGGCATGCGCCAGTACGCCTGGCTAATTTTTGTATTTTTTGTACAGATGAAGTCTTGCTTTGTTGCCTAGGCGGGTCTTGAACTCCTGGGCTTAAGCAGTCCTCCCACCTTGGCCTCCCAAGTGCTGGTATTACAGGACATGAGCTGCCCGGCCAGTAAATGTTACATCTACTAAACACTTTTAAAAGAAAGGTCCAAACCCCACACTGAAATATTTTATTGAGGCAGAGTATTATAGGTGATTGAAATGTTCTTAGTACAATTTCATGGAAGTAAAGGGAAGATATTTGAAAGTATGTGGTGAGGAGATTCTGAAACTTTCCAGTGTCTTTATGCTGGTTAGCATTTGTAATCATTAAGGTGCAAAAAATGTTATTTTTGAATATTTTTGGCATTGTATATGTAATTTGTAGTTAGCTATGACTGTGGCTTCATATTAGAGATTAACCCCATCAAGAAGTTAACAGTCTCCCAGTTTAGTATGACTTTCATATTTGAGAAAACTTGTAAGCTTGTCTGTTTACAAAATGTAATCTACTTACTGTTCCTATATTTTTCTTAATGTTTTGGGTTAAAAATGGTGTATTAAACAGCTGGGTTTAGTGGTGCGCACGTGTGGTTCCAGCTACTCAGGCGGGAGGATTGACACTTGAGCCTGGGGTGTGAAGGTTGCAGTGAGCCGAGATTGCACCAGTGCACTCCAGTCTAGGTGATAGAGCGAGACCCTGTCTCAAAAAAAAAAAAAAAAAAAAAAAGGTGTATTAAGATGACTGTATGTTCTTTGTGAGATTACTGATTTTAAAAAAATCTTATAAAACTGATTTTTAATATAATAGCAGCCTTAGTATTGAACAGAATGCTCAATCTTAAACGTCTATTGGAGTCCAGTAATACAAGGAAATTTTAGGGAAATGTGAAACATTTAAAAATAGATCTTTGCATAGAACCTAAAGTTTAAATTTAAAATGTGTTTATTTATTGATATTGCTGTGTTTACCAGTATGTATGAGCTCATGTTTTATTGATAAAAGGGGCATGTGCAATTTTTAGGAATGCCGAGGTAACTTTTTCAAATTTTTCAAATAAGTATGTTTAGATTCATCAAATAGTAATTGAATTTGGGGAGTTTCAGGAATATTATAATAGGTGATCCTTGATCCTGAGCCTCCCACCTCCACACATGTCTTAAGGGCCAACAATTTCTGTTAAGTTGTACAGCTTATCTTATGGAAGAGTGGTTTTTTTAAGATCAAGGTCAAATGCTCGTTTAGCACTTTGTTTTTCAAAGATCTACTTGATCTTTCTATACAGAAGTAAAGAATTATGATTTTTTAAGGTTTTCAAAATTGTCTCTAAGTATATATAATTTTAACTTTGTACTTCTAAAAAGCTAATTATCTGATCTTAAAGTCTTACTGGTGTTCTGCTAGATCTGTTAACACCCTCGTTGGGAGTTCAAGGATTGTCTGCATTTGGCCTGTGGCAGTTCTAATAACAGGAGTCAATTAATCAACCAATATAAAAGTGTTTATCTGACACTGACCTTGTGCTAGGCACTTTGCTAGATATTATGGGATAAACAAAGCCCTTTGAGGTAGTTAATAAATTTTAAGTGATCATGACCCTAAGGCGTATCTTCTGTTTGAAAACTGAACACTGGCTGTTTGTTCACCAAAATAGATACTGAAAGATCAACCCAAGGGAGGCTTCCTTTTTATTTTCCCAACCAAGTGCCATGCCAGAGTAATCACTAATCCACTAAATCCTAATCAATTTTGGTGATCTGAGATTATTACTGCCTAAGGAGATAGGCTTCTAGAGTAAGTTCAGTGTCAATGGAAACCTTGAAGGATTCAGAAAACAGACTTGAAAACTTTCAAATAGTTTTTCTTCCAACATTTATTGAGTGCAACACAGCATACTAGGTGCTGGGGTTGTAAAGATGAACAAGACATGGGTCTTCTATGGGATCGTAGAGGGTAATGGGGAAACCAGATCTATAGTCACAGATGGGAGTCATCTGCTCTCTAAGTGGCATATGCAGAGTATTTGGGAATACATAGGATGCAACCTAATTCCGCCCAAGGGAAATGGGCAAACTGTGATTTCTCTCAGTCCCTGTAAGTGGAAAAACAAAACAAAACGAAACAAACAAACAAAAAAAGTCCCCCCAAAAACCAAACAGGCTTTAGTTTTATACGGAAGCTGTAGAGGAAAATAATGTGGATTAAAAGCCCAAAACACAGTTATTCAAAGGAACCCAGAAATAACATTGCATGCACATATGATTTAAGATTTGCCAAAGAAATAGAATTGCAGTTCAGTAGTTGAGAGGGAGGTTTTGCTGGGCTCTGATATTTTCAGAGGCAAATGCTTTTCTTTGTGCTTGTATCAGGTCATCAATGAAGGGAGATTAAAATGATCACATTTTTCTCTTAGTGTCAGATAGCAGTTATTTAGTAGACAAGGATTAGACTCCAAGTTGTATCACAGACCAGGTATTTGCTATTTTTCTTTTTAGTATTCTTTTAGGCATCTGATAAATTTTTTTATATGTAAGTTTGTCTTTCTTGGGCTGTTTCCCTTTCCTCCCCCTGTCTAGTAGCTGATATTTTTTCACGTTCACAGTTGCAGGCCTCCATTTAGTTCATCCATTCCGCTGCACATTATTCTCTTCCGGGGACCAGCTTCCTTGGTGACTTCTTCCCTTGAAGCCCTTATTCCTGTCAGTCTTACTTAGTCAAGTTTTTGTCTCTTTGTCTCATCACCACTGGGGTGCTTCATAGACCTAGCCGCCCCTCTAGCCTAACTGTAGACAAGGTTGGTGACGGCAGCGGAGATGACAATGATGGTGTTGGTGGTGGGAATAAATGCAGTGCTATAATTATATCATTTCCAGAGAGATCGCATTTCTGACTATGAGCCCTAGAGTCAGGCTGCTTAGCTTCAATGCCAGCTCTTTCATTTCTTATTTCTGTGACCCCAGGCAAATTGCCTTACCTCTCCTAGACAAGGTCTTTCCTCATCAATGAAACAGGAATGAAAATAATAGTATTTACCACATCATAGGATTGTTAGGAGATTTAAATGAATTAACACATGTCATATAATAATAGCTTAAAAACGTTATTTTTTATTTTTAAATTTTTGCACTGCCCCTTGCCTGAAGAAAAAAAAAATTTGATAAACTCAAGTTGATAACTGGCATGTGCTAAGGATACTGTCTTTTTTGATCCCTCAAAGATGCTGTTATTACCTTTAAAAGATGAGGCAATTGAGGCTTAGTAAAGTTAAATAATTTGCTCACAGTTATTATGTTGTCTGGATTCAAACTCACATCTGTGTGACTCCAGAATGTCTGCTCTTTAAAACACGATGTCCCACAGGAATCATAGAACAGAGCAAGAATGCTGCTGCCATTCCTTGCGGCAGAGTCTGTGTTTATCCTAACAGAGCTGTTTCAGTGGGGCAAGCATGTTTACTAGGGAACTAGGCTGGACCATCCATCTGGAGGCTTGAGTTCTAGTTTTGACTTTCATCTGCTGCCTTTGTGACCTTGAGCAAGTCACTTAAATACATACGAGGTTCAGATTCAAATCAGTAACCTGGGAATAATAGCAGAGTTGCACAGAGGATCAAGTGAGAATATAATAATAGTAACTTTATAATAGTTTGTGGAAGAGAATAAGGGGCCTAGCTTACCATATGTGCATTTTGAAAAACAGAATACCTCCCCTCTGATGTTATTTGAATTTTATTTGCTACTTCTTGAAAGTGAAAGGTTTATTTCATGCTTCTGGGAATGAACCTGAGGTTTCAGACAGGGTGAACCAAGAACTTGGAAACTGAAGCTTCGGACTATCAAACACATTAATAAGCAAAAACATTTAGTGCAGAAATAACTAATGAAAGTATAATAATACGGACTTGTGTGAGTGGTTGGGAAGGAGATGGATTTGACACCGAAATGAATGATGATCAGAGATTAAAATTGTATTAGGCCCCTCCTTTCTGTGACTCTTGTTATGTCAGAGCAGACTGAAGTTTTGTATGGAACACGTATAGTTAAATTGTTCTATACCTTACTCAGCAGTCACTATCAGTGATCCAGAATGCATATGATCTCTAAAAATAAATTTCACAAACTTGATGTAAAGCTTACTCTTGAACAACACGGGGTTTAACATGCTGACCCCTGCACAGTTAAAAGTCTGTGTGTAACTTTTGACTCCGCCAAAACTTAAATAGCCTACTATTGACTGGAAGCCTTACCAGCAACATAAATAGTTGGCTAACATATAATTAGACTAGTATCTACATATATTTTAGGCACTCATGACATACCTAATTTTGTCTTAATTTTTTTGATATTTCTGGGCTTTGCAGTTCATCTGTGAGTTTTCACAAATTGTCGCAAATCTCCAAATAGTTTTCCAATATATTTTTTTGAAAAGAATCTGTGTGTAAGTGGAATCACATAGTTTAAACCTATATTGTTTAAGGGTCAACTGTATTTTATAGACAGCACACTCATCTCTTACTTAACCTATTTTTATTAGAATTAAATACATCTAATTAATTTTTTGGCTGATTTCCATGCCTACTGCAGTTAGAATGCAGGGGTTGGGGGCAGGAATGGGGGTAGGGACTTCATGCAGTCATTCAGTGTTGAGAAGTGATAGGAGGAGCCTGACCAAAAAGGGGAAAAATCCAGAACATAGTAAGTTTTCTTGATATGGCATCTTTAAATAAAAAGTGTATTCACATCTGTGCACTCATGTCAGTTTTGTGAGATAGTTTAAGAAGGTAATGGTATTAACAATTTTTTATGGGGAAGAAAGTTGGGACCCAGAGAGTTTCAGTGCCTCTCTCAGGGGCTGGCAGCTTATGTGAGATAGGCTAAGCTAGGAATTGAACCCAGCTCATGAGATTCCACACCTTGCAATTTCCTGGCAGAGATGCAGAGAAGCAGACCAGAGCAGCCTCCTGGATCTTGGGGGCATTATGTTTGAGTGCTCAGTGGGATTAATGTTACTGGTGATTGCCTGGGAAACACTAATAAAGGTTAAATCATGTTGATGTGGTCCATTTAAGAAGATGGGAAAGAGTTCCCCATTTTGGCAACATTTTCATCTAGAATAATTTAAAATTAGAAAACAAAACTGTTTGGTACTCAACGAGTATAACCACAAATATCTGGAACACTTCGTTGATCAAAGTGGCTCATTTCCTGAGGGTCTAAATTGCTGTTTTCTTTGGTTTGTTTGTTAGTTTTTTCACTCTGTAATGGCACTTGAAAGGTGTTTTGTGTGTAGAATAGACGAAAAGTAAACCAGTACAGTGGCCTTTAAACTTTTTTACTCCTGTAAAAGAATTTTGAAAACTATGGATTACTTTATTGACATTTGAAATTTTTCATCGTAAGTCTAAATCATTTGCTAATGGTGTAATTGCCATTTTATTGTAAATTTTGGCATTTCTTAGTAAAATTGTTATATTCTTAAATATATTTGTCTTAAGCAAAGCCTATAACTTTATAATACTTTATGTTGTCCACTTATGAACTACTGTTTGTGTGAAATTTTTGTGTTAATTTGCCTCCTTAAAACTTTTTCCACATTTTATCTTTATATATTGTTATGTTTAAAAATCTATTGATTACCCTATCATATTTCTGGTAAAAAAGTTAATTTTCTGTGACCATACGGCTCCCAGTGATTGTTTTTAAAAAGTATCATTAGAGTGATGATTAGAACACAGTAGGTCAGAATACACATGTAAATTGCAAAGCTTTGAAAAATATTAGAGATAAAAATACAGTTTTACTAGAAATTTATCTCTTTATGCATCATTGGTGTTTTTCTTCTAATTAATTCATAATTAGTATATGAATATTATTGGGGAAAGAGTTCAGCATATTTTTCATTCTTTTTAAATATATACACTCTGGAATTTTGTTTACATAAGTTGAAAGAATGAGAGTACTTATATAGCAGTGTTGCTCATTTCTTTCAATGATTTATCATGTAAAATTATTTTTGATGATTTAATGATTTATCAGCTGACAACTCAATTAGGTCCTTCTCCAATTTTATTCTAAACAAAGAATTGGCAAAGCCACCTGAGTGGCAAAAGAAGAGTGATTGATTAGGGCCATTCACTTTTTCACCAACAGTATTTCCAATTGTCCCCTTGTGTCCTGCCCAGAGGTTTTGTTTTGTTTTGTTTTGTTTTGTTTTTGGTCCCCTACCCCAAGCAATGCCCCAGAGTGAGAAACTGATGATGGGTGAGCTGTGTGCCTGATTTTGTAAAATGGGAGAATGAGGGGTTTGGGAAAGGGAAGGTAAGATAGGGTAATCTACTCCCCTGGAGCACTCTCAGACAGGTCAGTTTTAGGAGAGGGTACTTGGAAAAGTTGACATGGAAATTGATTTACTACCTGTGTGCCTGCATATCCTTTGGAAAACCATGTGCTTCCAGAAGTTTGCTTATCCCAGTTTGAAGACTATTGTGATAGTCATTGGCGTATTTTGGCATCTTAATTTTTTAATAAGAATTTCTAGGGGGTGTGTGTGTATGTGTCCCTTAAACTTAGAACACTGCTGACCAAGGTAAATTGTTTATGCTGTCTAGGGTAATGTCTTAGGTCTTTGGTCTTGATTGCATCTATGCATCTGTTTATAAATTGTCTTTTCCTGCGCATGAGTCTTTGCAATCCTAATTCTCTGTAAGTTTTCCAGATCAGGAGTGACACTTGAACTACCTGTAGCTTATCCCCCTTTATATCTTGTGCTAGTCTTACTCACATTGACTAGTACTTTGGCAAAGCAGATCTAAAATAGCTTAATATAGGGAACTACTTGCAATTTTGAGTAAACAACAAACAATTGGCCACAGTAAGATTACTTTCTGCTTCCCGGCTTATTTATTTTGGGTGTCAGTTTATAAAATTACAATAGTACAAAAGACTGCAGATATAATTTATATTAATTCTTTAGTTTTACAGAAAATGAAACTAGAGAGGTTATGCCAATTGCCTGAAGTCACATAGGTGGTAGGAAAAAAGTAGAACCTATGTCCCTTAACTCCCAGTATTATAACCTTTGCTACATCACACCTTCTGCTGCCTTTTGGCAGATTGCATTCCTCACCTCAATCCTATTTAATACTATTTCTCTTGAGGACTGATTAGCTTTTAGTGATGCAGCATTATTTTTTAAATGGAAAGGCATTTACTCTCTCATTGAAGACTTTCTCAAAACAAAAATGCTTCTTACCCGCTGGCAGACACTTTCTGCCCCACAATAGGACCCAGCTAGGCAAGCCTGGGGCCCTCTGGCCCCAGGCAGTGACCCTGGGGGAGGAAGGGGATATTAACAGGTCAGAGTAGAGGTGGATTGGCAGAGCGGGGGCTGGTGGGAGGTGGGAAGCTTACATCATTTCCCTGCAACTGGGCTCTGGCGGGGCTGTAAGGCCTTACTTTCCCCTGTGTAATAGTTTACCAGATTGACAGAGATTCATACAAGGAAGGAAAGGTATGGCAGGATGGATGTTCACGCTGTTTATAAATCCTTGCTATTAGATGAAACTGTCAATAAGTAACTAGAAGCAGCCAGTACTGTCTGTGCTTCGCTCTCTCCCCCAGCTGAGTTCCTTTCTGCTCCGCCCCATCCCTGCTCTCTGCTGCTCAGATCAGCTTCCTGCTTCTCATGAAAGCTGTTCCCCTATAAAGCTGGTCTGCTTTCACTGAAAGAATTATATTCATAAGTCTGAGGCTGGTTTTGTGGAAGTATTGTTGGTTTGGTTTCCTTTGGGGGATGAAGGAGGAGGAAACAATTTTTTTTAAAAAAAAAGTGGGGGCAGGCTGAAAGAGCAAAATCATCTTGAATTTTGTTGTCACATCGTGCCGGTGTTATAACCAGCTCTGTAGACTGCCGCACTGAAAACATTTCTGTGAGAGGTATGTGCTTGAAAAATGGAAAGGTGTTGGCTGTGGAACAAACTGCCCGTCCAGCAGCTGCTTAGATGGCTGTAAGGTCGTAATTCTATCTAGTGTTTTGATATGGAAAGGGTAATCCTTACTTGAAACGTAGTACAGTTAACCAGCTTAATGGTAAAAAAGGTTAAATATGTGCTTCGTCCCCACATCAGGACTCCTGAAATGCTGGTTCAGGCTGAAAACGTCTAGTCAAATCCACAGTGTTATTCCAGGCTCTTTTGGTGGCGGTTGTCTGTAAACAAGATGATGATTTTTAATACGTCTCTCATTATTTATGAACCACATGACAAAGATTAATGAGAGACTCCAAGTAGCCTAGAAGCTTCAGATTCATGAGGAGCTTTTTGCACTGACAGATGGCAAAAGTAAAAGGAAATGGGTGATGATTTATTGTAAACTAAAGTGAAAGTTTTAAAGTTTTTAGAGGGTGTGTTACATTTAAGTGGAAAAATCTGGAGGAGCCACTAAAATTTAGAAGCATAGCCTAAAACCATTGATGCCTGACCTATATTAAGGCCAGAAGCCTTTTGAACACACATGCATGTATATTTTCAAAGGAAATTAAGAAATCTTTATACATGTTTTTATTCAGTAGTCAGAGAAAAGTATTAAGAACAAGACTATAACCAATACCTAAGGAAGCATGGAGAACTGTATATTGGTTACTAAGAAGCCACATTGTTCTGTTATAGAAAGTTTTAGAAATGTTTGAAGTAGGAAAATATATAACATTTTATCATGTGCGTTAGATGAGCTACTAGTGGTAGAGACCATTCAAGCTACAAAGTAGTTTCTGCTTGATTTGAATTATTTTATCATGGAAGATACTGGAGAACATTTGAATGTTAGTATGTTTTAAATTTATTTTACAAAACTTGGGAAATTAAATTGTTTAAGTTAATTTACATACAAAGGTGCTGGCACTGTTCTTTTCCACAAAGACAGTAGTGCTTAAATCTTTGAAACCTTTTATTCATGAATAGAATACACTGGCTGTTATAACCCAAGCTATTACAAATTCTTGAGAGTGCGCCATTTAAATTTCGTTTCTTCTCAAATATTTGTAAACAGGAGTTAATCTTCATGATCATAGAGGATAATGTTGGGCCTAACAAGTTAAAAATATTAAAAGTTCTAGAGAAGACGGAATCTGGGAAGTAAACCTAATACAGGCCTCTGAGGAGGACTCACCTCTACACCACAGAGAGACAGGTGGCCATCCTGACTGTCCATGTGTACCTTGCTTTACTGTGCTTCACTTTATTGCACATCACAGATACTGTATTTTTTACAAATTGAAGATCTGTGGCAACTCTGCCTCAAGCAAGTCTATCAGCACCACTTTGCCAGCAGTATGCCCTCACTTCCTGTTTCTGTGTTACAATTTGGTCATTCTTGTAACATTTCAAATATTTTCATTATTATCATATCTGCTATGGTGATCTGTGAGGAGTGCTCTTTGTTGTTACTATTGTAATTGTTTTGGGGCACCACGAACTGCACCCATACACAACTGCAAACTTAATTGGTAAAAGTTGTGTGTTCTGATTGCTCCACCCACTGGCCGTTCCCATCTTTCTCCCTCAGGCCTCCCGATTGTCTCCAACACAACAATATTGAAATTAGGCCAATTAATTACCCTGTAGTGGCTTTTAAGTGTTGAAGTGAAAGGGTCTCATGTTTCCCACTTTAAATGAAAAGCTAGAAATGATTAAGCTTATTGAGGAAGGCATGTCAAAAGGTGAGAGAGGTGAAATGGTAGGCCTCTTACACTAGCAGCTAACCAAGTTGTGAATGCAAAGGAAAAGTTCTTGAAGAAAATTAAAAGTACTACTTCAGTGAACACACAATGATAAGAAAGCAAAACAACTTTGTTGTTGATACGGAGAAAGTTTGGTCTGGATAGATCAAACCAGCCACAACACTCCCTTAAGCCAAAGACTAATCCAGAGCAAGGCCCTAACTCTCTTCAATCCTCTGAAGGCTGAGAGAGATGAAAAAGCTGCAGAAGAAAAGTTTGAAGCTAACAGAGGTTGGTTCATGAGGTTTAAGGAAAGAAGCTGTCTCTATAACATAAAAGTGCAAGAGGAAGCAGCAAGTGCTGATGGAGAAGCTACAGCAAGTTATCCAGAAGATCTAGATAAGACTATTGATGAAGGCAGCTACACTAAACAACATATTTTCAATGTGGACAAAATAGCCTTCAGTTGGAGGAAGGTGCTATCTAGGATTTTCACAGCTAGAGAGAAGTCAATGCCTAGCTTCAAAGAGCTTCAAAGGACAGGCTGACTCTTTTTAGGTGCTAATGCAGCTGGTGATTTTATAAGATAAAGCCATTGCTCATTTACCATTCCAAAAATATCAGGACTCTTAAGGATTCTGCTAAATCTGTTCTGACTGTGCTCTATCAATGCAACAACCAAGCATGGATGACAGTACATTTGTTTACAGCAGGGTTTATTGAATATTTCAAGCCCACTGTTGAGACCTGCTGCTCGGAAAAAATGTTTCCTTTCAAAATGTTTCTGCTCATTGACTATGTACCTAGTCACACAAGAGCTCTGATGGAGGTGTACAAGGAGATTAATGTTGTTTTCATGCTGCTAACACAGCATTCATTCTGTAGCCCATGGATCTGGAGTAATTTTGACTTCAAAGTCTTATTATTTAAGAAATACATTTCCTAAGGCTACAGCTGCTATAAATAGTGATTATAGTGATTGCTCTGATGGATCTGGGCATAGTCATTGAAAACCTTCTGGAAAGATTCACCATTCTAGATGCCATTAAGAATATTGGTGATTTGGCCAGACATGGTGGCTCACACCTATAATCTCAGCACTTGGGAGGCCAAGGCAGGAGGATCACTTGAGCCCAGGAGTTTGAGATCATCAGCCTGGGCAACATAGTGAGACCTTGTCTCAAAAAATATATATTGGTGATTCATTGGGAGGAGGTGAAAATATCAACATTAACAGGAGTTTGGAAGAAGTTGCTTCTACCCCTCATGGATGACATTGAGGGATTCAAGCCATCAGTGGAAAGGATAACTGTAGAAGTGGTAGAAATAGCAGGAAAACTGAAATTAGAAGTGGAGACTGAAGATATGACTGAATTGCTGTAGTCTTACAATGGATACTTGAACCGATGAGGAGGAGTTGCTTCTTGTGGATGAGCAAAGAAACTGGTTTTTCAAATGGAATCTACTTCTAATAAAGATGCTGTGAACATTGTTGAAATGACAACAAAAGATTTAGACCATTATATAAACTTAGTTGACAAAGCAGTGGTGGGGTTTAAGAGGATTGATTCCAGTGTTTTTTTGTTTTGTTTTGTTTTGTTTTGTTTTGTTTTGAGACGGAGTCTCGTTCTGTCATTCAGGCTGGAGTGCAGTGGCACAATCTCAGCTCACTGCAAGCTCCACCTCCCAGGTTCACGCCATTCTCCTGCCTCAGCCTCCCAAGTAGCTGGGACTATAGGCTCCCGCCACCATGCCTGGCTAATTTTTTTTTGTTTTTAGTAGAGACGGGGTTTCACCCTGTTGGCCAGGATGGTCTCGATCTCTTGACATTGTGATCCACCTGCCTCGGCCTCCCAAAGTGCTGGGATTACAGGCGTGAGCCACTGTGCCCAGCCTGATTCCAGTTTTGAAAAAAGTGTGTAAAATGCTATCAAACCACATCTCCTGGTACAGATCCATCTTTTGTGAAAGGAAGAGTCAATGCATTAAACTTTCTTGTCATCTTATTTTTTATTTATTTATTTTTTTGAGACGGAGTCTCGCTCTGTCGCCCAGGCTGGAGTGCAGTGGTGGGATCTCAGCTCACTGCAACCTCTGCATCCCAGGTTCAAGTGATTCTCCTGCCTCAGCCTCCTGAGTAGCTGGGATTACAGGTGCATGCCACCATGCCTGGCTAGTTTTTGTATTTTTAGTAGAGATGGGGGTTTCACCATGTTGACCAGGATGGTCTCGATCTCCTGACCATGTGATCCACCAGCCTCGGCCTTCCAAGGTGCTGGGATCACAGATGTGAGCCACCGTACCCGGCCTCCTTGTCATCTTATTTTAAGAAATTGCTACAGCCATCCTGACATTCAGCAACCACCACCTTGATCTGTCGGCAGCCATCAACATGGAGGCAAGACCCCTCAGCAGCAAAGGGTATGACTCACTGATGATCACTAGCGTTTTTAAAATATAAGATATTTTAAAATTTAGTGTGTACTTTTTTTTTTAGAAATAATGTTATTTGCTTGCTTAATATAGTACAGTATCGTGTAAACCTAATTTTTGTATGCACTGGGAAACCAAAAAGTTGGTGAGACTTGCCTTCTTGTGATACTGGCTTTATTGTGGTGGTCTGGAACTGAACCCATAGTATCTCCAAGGATTGCCTGTCTTTACCGTGGTCATTCTCAAGTGTAGCTGCGTATTGGAACCCCCAGGGAAGTTTTTAATTCCTCCCATTGCCCGGGCCTTTCCCGAGAGATTTTAATTTAATTGCTTGGGGATGGGGCCTGGGCATTGATAGTTTTAAAACTATTCCCAGGTGTTTCTGATGTGTAGTCAGACTTGACAGTTGCATTGCCTGAACATTCCTAGTGCTATAGCAGCCTGTTCCGTTTTGGGTACTGTTTGTATCTGCTTTGGTATGTGTCCTCTTAGGTCGGAACTCTTCTGTCACAGAGCAGCTCATGACATATTTAATATCATTTCTCCTCCAAGACTTAGCTTTTCCAGCCTAAATAGTCCTAGTTCCTGCAGTCTTCAGGACTTATTTTCTAGGTTCTTCGGTATTCTGGTCACTCCCCTTCCTGGAATTGCTCTTGTTTGTCACTATTACTCTTAAATAGGGTACTTTTGGGACTGAGCCTATCATTCTAGATGTCTGGGGCCCAGCAGAGGATGCAGAGAATACAGTAAAGCTGTAACTCCATGGTTCTGTACATGACACTTCTGTTATTGGTGGCCAAGATTACATTAGTTTTTTTGGCAGTCATGTCACACTGTTGACTCATGTGGAGCTCAAAGTCAGCTCAAGCCCTTAGTTCTTTTTCAAGTACATAAACTACTTAAATCAGGCCTCTCCTTCCCCATGCTTACATGGCTTTCCCACCCCCGCCCCAACTTTATTGCCAGAATTTACATTTTTCCTTTTGAAACATAAGAGGAAAACCCAGTGGATAAGTTATTCCACACAGGGAGATAATACATCCAAACTGAATGCCAGAAATTTATTACATGTATACAGCAGCAATTTTAAAGAATGATCTAGGCCCTTCGTTTGGAGCCACAGTTAAATATATTCTTATTTCAGTTCATCTTTACAGTGTGCCTTTTGATTCATTACTCAAAACTCACTGTTCAGAGTTAAGAATTTACTTGACTGCGTAGCTTATTTTAATGTTTGTATTCAGTACTCGGTGAGATGCCTTTTCACAATCAAAATACATGATAACCATTGCATTCTCCTGACCTATTGGCATAACACCTTTATTTTAAAAGGAAATGTGTTGTATCTATCATAACATTCTTGATTAACAACAGAAGGAAATATTTTGCAAATGAGCAGGTGATTTGTGTACAGTTCACTACTGTCAAGCCTAGAACCCCAATCTAACTCTGCTGGTCCCCACTTCATTACTCTTTGTATCAAACCACAGTAGCTGATGCAATTTGTCATTTAGGATAAGACTTCAAAGAAAACTAAAAGGAAACAAAAGCTTCCATGGATTCTTCACTTTCTATTTTTTTTTTTGGGGGGGGGATTTAATATTAAACCCCACAGCATTTTAACATATAGCCCAGTCATGGATTTGTTATTCACTCAGTGTTCTGCCCAAAGCAATAAAAAGAGGAGTAAAATAACTAAAGTCAACATTCCTAAGGTTACTGCAGAGAATAGTTTTCTTAGGAATTTGGGCATCCAAATTTTTACTTTCCTTGGAGAGTTAGATATCCCTTCCTTCTCCTACCACCCTCTCACCACCCAAACACACACACAGTTGATGGTAGAGTAATATCGTTTTGTTCTTAATAAATCACAGTATGAGAACTTTTGCATATAAAGGGACAGGCATGTATGTCCCATCTCCTCATTTTGCAGATGAAGAAATGGAAGCACAGGAAGTGAAGGCTTGCTGTAGACATAGTGCTTAGCCAGGGTACTTAGTACATAAGACATACTAGTATGTAAGACATGCTTAATAATTACCTGGATGCTGAGCAGCTTTCTTCAGTACTATTTTCTTGTCCCCAAGCTTTTTGGATTTTACCTTTCTTGTCCCCAAGCTTTGCTGTTGGATACTCATTGCCTTAACTGTTGAAAATGGAACAGATTTTTCAAGAATACCTATTACTTTCGAAAAGCTCCAATGATATAGTAAAAGTTCAGATAACCAGGTTTATTTTTCCTGCTCTTGACTTTTAGGAAAATAAGCTCTTTTTCTCCCCTTTAAAAATTGATTTTAAATAGTTGTAGTTAAAAAAAGAGGAGTTTCCAAAGAATGAATAGCCTAGGGTCAGTTTGTATATGTATCTAACCCAAATGTTCACATCTTTGTTTGGGTCCAGTGAGAAATAATGTTCACAACAATGCTTATCCTAATATATGGTAAGACCCACGGTCAGCAGTGGGAGATTTAATTATGTTCACTATATTGTAGTTACTAAAGCAAGGAAGTATACTCTAATATATTTTAAAATGGTTTGCAATAGCAGATGTTTGAAACAAAAAGGCTTCAGAAGTACATTTAGTCAATCAGACTGGGCTATTCCTTCAGCCGTTTGGTTAATACAGGTTGATTGTGTTCCTTCATAGTTTGGAAGCCCCTGGTTTTATTAACCTGAGGCTGGCATCATATCATAATAATACCATGTGATGCGACACTTTTGAAACATCCTTGGTTTCTCTACCCCAGTATTTCCAAATGTCTGTTTCCTATTTTGTAGAATATTTTATATTACTCAATTAATATTGGTTATATTTTTACATGGCTATTTCTCTCTTTTTAAAAAGTTTTTATTTTGAATTTTTGTGGGTACCTTGTAGATATATATATTTATGGAGTATGTGGGATATTTTGATACAGGCACACAATGTATAATAATCACATCAGGGTAAATGGGGTATCCATCACCTCAAGTCTTTATCCTTTGTGTTACAAACAATCCGATTATACTCTTTTAGTTATTTTTAAATGTATGATTAAATTATTGACTATAGTCACCATTCTGTGCTATCAACTACTAGATCTTATTCCTTATAACGACTTTTTTATACCCATTAACCATCCCCACTTCCCCCCACTCTCTGGTAACCATCATTCTACTCTCTATCTCCAATGGTTCAGTTGTCTTAATTTTTAGCTTCCCAAGATTAGTGAAAACATATGATGTTTGTCTTTCTCTGCCTGGCTTATTAACTTAATGACCTCCAGTTTCATCCATTTTGTTGCAAATAACAAGATCTTATTCTTTTTTTTTTGAGATGGAGTCTCACTCTGTCACGCAGGCTGGAGTGCAACAGCACTGTGTCGGCTCACTGCAACCTCCATCTCCTGGGTTCAGGCAATTCTCCTGCCTCAGCCTCCCGAGTAGCTGGGATTACAGGTGCCCACCTCCATGCCTAGCTAATATTTATATTTTTGGTAGAGACAGGGTTTCACCGTGTTGGCTCCTGACCTCAGGTGATCCACCCGCCTCGGCCTCCCAAAGTGCTGGGATTACAGGTGTGAGCCACTGTGCCTGGTCAAGATCTTATTCTTTTTTAAGACTGAATAGTATTCCATTGTGTGTGTGTACCACATTTTCTTTGTTCATTCATCTGTTGATGGACACTTAGGTTGCTTCCAAATCTTGGCTATTGTGAGTAGTGCTGCAGTAAACATGGGAGTGCATGTGTCTATTTGACATATTGATTTGCTTTCTTTTAGGTAGTATATATCTAGCAGTGGGATTGCTAGATTATGTGGTAGCTCTATTTTTAGTTTTCTGAGGAACCTCCCAACCGTTCTCCATAGTGGTTGTACTGATTTACATTCCCACCTGCAGCGTGCAAGGGTTTCCTTTTCTCCGTATCCTTGCCAGCATTTGCTGTTGCCTGTCTTGGATAAAAGCCATTTTAACTGGGGTGAGATAATACCTCACTGTAATTTTATTTCCATTTCTCTGATAATGAGTGATATTGTGTACCTTTTTATATACCTGTTGCTGTTTGTATGTCTTCTTTTGAGAGATGTCTAGTCAGATCTTTTGGCCATTTTAAAATTAGATTATTTGATTATTTTTTCCTTAAGAGTTGTTTGAGCTCCTTATATATTCTGTTTATAAATCCCTTGTCAGATGGATAGTTTGCAAATATTTTCTCTCATTCTGTGGGTTGTCTCTTCACTTTGCTGATTGTTTCCTTTGTTTTGCAAGAAACTTTTTGACTTGATATGATCCCATCTGTCCGTTTTCTCTTTGGTTGCCTGCGCTTGTGGGGTATTACTCAGGAAATCTTTGCCCACTCCAAAGTCCTGGCAAGTTTCTCCAATTTTTTTCTTTTAGTAGTTTCATAGTTTGAGGTCTTCGATTTAAGTCTTTAATCCATTTATCCATTTTGATTTTATTTTTGTATATGGTGAGATATAGGAGTCTAGTCTCATTCTTCTGCATATGGATATCGGTTTCCCAGGATCATTTATTGAAGAGACTGTCCTTTCCCCAGTGTATGTTCTTGGTACCTTTGTCAAAAATGAGTTCACCATAGATGTATGGATTTGTTTCTGGGTTCTCTATTCTGTTCTATGTCTATGTGTTTGTTATGCCAGCTCCATGCTGTTTGGTTGCTATAGCCCAGTAGTATACTTTGAAGTCAGTTAAGGTGATTCCTCCAGTTTTGTTCTTTTTTGCTTAGGATGAGTTTGGCTAGTCTGGGTCTTTTGTGGTTGTGTATAAATTTTAGGAATTTTTTTTCTATTTCTGTGAAGAATGTCATTGCTATTTTGAGAGGGATTATATTCAATCCGTAGATTGCTTGGGTAGTATGGACATTTTAATAATACCGATTCTTACAATCTTTGAACATGGAGTATCTTTTCATTTTCTTGTGTCCTTTTTGATTTCTTTTACCAATGTTAAATAGTTTTCATTGTAGAGATCTTTCACTTCTTTGGTTAAATTAATTCCTGTGTGTTTAATTTTATTCATAGCTATTATAAATTGGATTACTTTTTTGACTTCTTTTTCAGATTGTTCGCATATAGAAATGCTACTGATTTTAGTACACTGATCTTGTATCCTGCAAATTTACTGAATCTGTTTATAAGTTCTAATAGTTTTTGGGGGAATCTTTAGGTTTTTCAAAATATATGATCATATCATCTGCAAACAAGGATGACTTGACTTCTTCCTTTCCAATTTGGATGCCCTTTATTGCCTAAGAAACTTGTCTGATTGCTCTAGCTAGGACTTCCAGTACTCTTAACGGTGGTGAAAGTAGGTGTCCTTGTCTTGTTCCAGATCTTAGAGGAAAGGCTTTTAGTTTTTTCATCCTGTTGCTATGATGTATCACACTGATTGATTTGCATATGTTGAGCCATCCTTGCATCCCTGGGGTAAATCACACTTGATTATGATGAATGATTTTCTTAATGTGTTATTGAATTAAGTTTGTTAGTATTTTGTTGAGGAGTTTTGCATCTGGGTTCCTTAGGGATACTGGCCTATACTTTTCTTTTTTTGATGTGTCTTTATTTGGTTTTGGTATCAGGGTAATACTGGCCTTGAAGAATGAGTTTAGAAGTATTCCCCATCTCCTCTATTTTCTGGAATAGTCTGAGTAGGATTAGTATTAGTATATTTGGTAGAATTCAGCAGTGAAACCATCAGGTCCCAGGCTTTTCTTTGCTAGAAGACTTTATTATGGCTTTGATCTCATTACTTGTTATTGGTCTCTTCAGGTTTGGAATTTCTTTATCATTCAATATTGGTAAGTTGTATGTGTCTGTGTGTCTAGGAAATTATCCATTTTTTCTACTTTTCCAATTTATTGTTTTGTAGTTGGTCACAGTTGCCTCTAGTGATTCTTTGAATTTCTGCGGTGTTGGTTGTAATGTCCTTTTCATCTCTTATTTTATTTATTTGATTATTCTCTTTTTTTCTTAGCCTGGCTAAGGTTTGTCAATTTATTTATCTTTTCAAAAAAACCAGCTTTTCATTTGTTGATATTTTGTATTGTTTTCTTTATTTCAATTTCATTTATTTCTACTCTGATCTTTATTTCTTTCCTTCTACTTTAGGTTTGGTTTGCCCTTACTTTTCTGATCCTTTAAGATGCATCAACATATAGTTTATTTGAAGTTGTTCTTCTTTTGATTGTAGGCACTTATAGCTATAAAATTCCCTCTTAGTACTGCTTTTGCTTGCATCCCATAGGTTTTGGTATGTTTGTTTGTATATGTTTCCATTATCATTTGTTTCAAGAAATTTTTCAATTTCCTTCTTAATTTCTTCCTTGACCCACTTGTCATTCAAGAAGATATTGTTTAATTTCCATGTGTTTAAGTTTCTTTTATTATTGATTTCTAGTTTTATTCTATTTTGTGGTCAGAGAAAATGCTTACTATTATTTTGAAAGTTTTAAGATTTGTTTTTTGGCCTAAGATATGGTTTATTTTTTAGAATGATCCATGTGCTAAGGAGAAGAATGTGTATTTTGCAGCTATTGGATGAAGTGTTCTGTGTATATCCATTAGGTTCATTTGATCTGTAGCATAGATTAAATCCAATGTTTCTTTGTTAATTTTCTGTCCAGTGCTGAAAGTGGGGTGTTGAAGTCTGCAGCTCTTATTGGGGTCTCTCTCTCTTTCTCTTTAGCTCTAATAATATTTTATTTATGTATCTGGGTGTTCCAGTGTTGGGTGCATATGTATTTACAATTATTAGATTCTCCTGTTGAATTAACTCTTTTATCATTATATAGTGATCTTCTTTGTCTCTTCTTCTAGTTTTGGTCTTGAATACTATTTTGTCTGATATAGGTATAGCCACTCCTGCTCCTTTTCTTTGGTTTCTACTTGCATGGATTGTCTTTCCCCACCCCCCTGGCTTTATTTTCACCCTTCATGTGTCTTTATATGTGAAGTATATTTCTTATAGGCAACAGATCATTGGGTGTTTTTTTTTTTTAAGCATTTAATCACTATGTCTTTTGATGGGAGAGTTTAGTCCATTTACATCACATGTTATTATTGATAAGTTAGGACTTACTCCTGCCATTTTGTTATTTGTTTTCTGGTTTTGTGGTCCTCTTTTCTTTTTTCCCTTACTTTTCGTCTTCCTTTTAGTGAAGGTGATTTTCACTGGTGGTATGTTTGAATTTATTGTTTTTTATTTTTTGTTCATCTGTTGTATGTTTTTAGATTTGAGGTTACCATGAGTTAGAACCTATTATTTTAAACTGATAACTTAACACTGCTTGCCTAAACAAATAAGCAAAATGAGAACTATTAAAAACTGTATGCTTTAATTTCATATCCCCACTTTTTAACATTTTGCTTTTTGTATTTATATCTTATTGTACGATGCATGTCTTGAAAAGTTGTTGTATTTTTCATCACTTTATCGTTTTGTCTTTCTACTTAAGATCAGTGTCTTTATGCACCACAATTACGGTATTATAATAGTCTGTGTTTTTCTGTGTACTATCAACCATGAGTTTTATTCCTTCAAATGATTTCTTCTTGCTCATAATGTCTTTTTCTTTCAGATTGAAGAACTTCCTGTAGCTTTCCTTGTAGGACAGATCTGGTGTTGAAATTCCTCAGCTTTTGTTTGTCTGGGGAAGTCTTTATTTCTCCTTTATGATTGAAGGATTATTTTCACCAGATATACTATTCTAGTGTAAAAGTTTTTTGTCTTAAGCCCTTTAAATATGTCATGCCACTCTCTCCTGGCTTGTGAGGTTTCCACTGAAAAGACTGCTCCCAGACATATTGGAGCTCCATTGCAGGTTATTTGTTTCTTTCCTCTTGATGTTTTTAGGATCCTTTCTTTACCCTTGACCTTTGAGAGTTTGAATATTAAATGCCTTGAGGTAGTCTTTTTTGGTTAAATCTGCTTGGTGTTATGTAACTTTCTTGTACTTGGATTTTGATATCTTTCTCTAGGTTAGGAAGTTCTCTGTTATAAATCCCTGGAATAAACTTTCTACCCCTCTCTTTCTACCTCCTCTTTAAGTGCAGTAACTCCTAGATTTTCCCCTTTGAGGTTTTCCAGATCTTGCCAGCATGCTTTATTCTTTTTTTCTTTTTGTCTCCTCTGATTGTGTATTTTCAGAGAGCTTGTCTTCATTCTCACTAATTCTTCTGCTTGATCAGTTCTACTATTTAGAGACTCTGATGCATTCTTTAGTTGGTGAGTTGCATTTTTCAATTCCAGATTTTTGTTTGATTCTTTTTAATTATTTCAATCTCTTTATTAAATTTATCTGATAGGATTCTGAATTTCTTCTCTGTTATTTTGAATTTCTTTGAGTTTCCTCAAAACAGATATTTTGAATTCTGTCTGAAAGGTCACATAGCTCTGTGGTCACATGGTTCTGTCTCTCCGTGCTTGGCCCCTGGTGCCTTAGTTTGTTTGATGATGTCATGTTTTCCTGGATGGTCTTGATGTTTGTGGATGTTCATTGGTGTTTGGGCATTGAAAAGTTGGGTATTTACTGTTGTCTTTGCAGTCCAGGTTTGTTTGTACCTGTCCTCATTAAGAAGGCTTTCCAGGTATTAGAAGGGTCATGGGTGTTGTGATCCATTTTTTTGTCACTGTAGTTGTATCTGTATTAGGGGGCACCTCAAGCTTAGCAATGCTGTGGTTCTTGCAGATTTGTAGAGGTACTACCTTGGTGATCTCGGATAAGATCCGAAAGAATTCTCTGGGTTAGCAGGCAGAGACTGTTGTTCTCTTTCCTTACTTTCCCCCAAACAAGTGGAATCTCTTTGTCTATGCTGAGCTGTCTAGAGCTGGGGGATGGCTGACACAAGCACCCCTGTGGCCAACACCACCGGAACTGTTCTAGGTCAGACCTGAAGCCAGCACAGCACTGGGTCTTGCCGAGGCCTGCTGTAACCACTACTTGTCTACTGCCTATGTTTGCTCAAGGCCCTAGGGCTCCACAGTCAGCAGATAGTCAAGGCAGGCAGTCTTGTGTCCTTCTGTTCAGGGTGGCAAATTCCCCCAGGCCCTGGGTGGGTCCAGAGATGCTGTCTGGGAACCAGAGCCTGGAGTCAGAAACCTGAGAGGTATACATGGTGCTCTATTTTACTGCAGCTAAGCTGGCACTGAAACCACAAGACAAAGTCCTTCTCACTCTTCCCTCCCCTTTCCCCAGGCAGAGGAGTCTCTCAGTGTCCACAACCACCACCACAGACCCATGGAGAGTACTGCCAGGGTACTGCTGATGTTCACTTAAAGCCTCAAGCGCTCTTTAGTCAGCTTGTGGTGAATGTTGCCAAGCCTGGGTCTTAGTCTGTAGGGCACTGGGCTCCCCTCTGGCCCAGGGTAGGTCAGAAATGGAAGGCTATTTTTTTTTTTTTTTTGAGATGGAGTCTCGCTCTGTCGCCCAGGCTGGAGTGCAGTGGCGCATCTCGGCTCACTACAAGCTCTGCCTCCCGGGTTCACGCCATTCTCCTGCCTCAGCCTCCTGAGTAGCTGGGACTACAGGCGCCCGCCACCACGACCGGTTAATTTTGGCTATTTCTTTTATCTCGTATCCTAAAATACATTCCTGTTATCCTTTTATTATTTTGATTTCTCATAATGATGCTTTTAATCAGATGTTTTTAATAGGAAATAAAATTTGAATATATACACAACCATGATGAACCATGTATGTATGTGTGAACTATACAGAATTGTACAGTTGAAAACTGTAACGTATGACAAATAGATAAAGTATAATTACTAGTAGAATTAGTTAATTCTTGAGTGGTACTTACAAAGTATTCATATTAATTTGAAAACAGAGATAGGATATCAGGGGAAAAAACCCATCCATCACATTGGGGAATAGATTCAATACATATGCTTTTTGTTGTAGAATTTTAAAATGTAAAGATTTAAAACCCTAACCTCTCAAAATTATTATTCAGAGATTGCTTATAGACCTATCTTCTAAAGCTTCCAACAAATTATTTTGTACACGGCACATTGCAACAGTCATTTTCCTATTTTTTCCCTTGTTGTTTTTATTATTACTGTTAAGAGACTGAGTGGAGCTCAATAAACTTTAGAAAGAATGCTGTATAGCTGAAATTCAGGGTCAACATACCATGGTTTTTTTTTTTTTTTTTTTTTTTTTTTTTGAGATGGAGTCTCTCTCTGTCACCAGGCTGGAGTGCAGTGGCGCAATCTCGGCTCACTGGAACCTCCGCCTCCTGGGTTCAAGCGATTCTCTTGCCTCAGCTTCCTGACTAGCTGGGACTACAGGCACACACCACCACGACCAGCTAATTTTTGTATTTTTAGTTGAGACGGGGTTTCCCCCTTTTGGCCAGGATGGTCTTGATCTCTTGACATCATGGTCCGCCTGCCTCGGCCTCCCAAAGTGCTGGGATTATAGGCGTGAGCCACCGTGCCCTGCCCATGTGTTAATTTTTAAACAGTGAACTTAAAAACCTCTAAAAATTTTGTATATATATGAATACTTTAGCAACCAGTATTCATAAGAAGTAACAGTTATAGTTTAACTGTGAATGACAAAGGCTGTTACTAGAATTATTATTATTGTACTTCATATTTAGAAAGCTTCACCCCCACCCCCCCAAAAAAAATGGATGTCAAGTGACTATCCAGTTAGGCCCAAGTTAACCTAAATATACATGTGACTTATGTATATAAATAGAATATAGTTCTTCCTTCTTCTCTGTGAAGATTCTAGGACCCCTGTGGATAGGAAAATCTGAAGATCCTCAGGCCCCTGATATTAAATGGTGTAGTATTTTCATATAACATACTCATGTCCTCCTATATTCTTGAAATCATTCTAGATTACTTCTGATACTTAATACAATGTAAATGCCATGTAAATCATTGTTATACTGTATTTTTTATTGTTATCTTTTATTTTTAATATATTCAGGCTATGGTTGGTTAAATCTGTGGATGTGAAACCCCCAGATCTGGCAGACTGACTGTATATTAGGTAGATTGGTCTGGGAGTGGTAGGAGGAAAGTGCAAAGGCCCTGCAGGGAGAATATCAGAATACCTTGGAGAAACTAGAAAAATCTTATTATGGCTGGAGTTTAGAAATGAATGTGAAGAGTGGCATGATGTGGGTGGAAACCGGACTTTGTGGGATTTTGTGTGCTTTGATAAGGATTTCTATAAGCACAGTAGTAGCAGTGAAAAGTTTTAAGCTAAGGAGTGAGGTGTTTGGATTTGCATTTTGTAAAGATCAGTCTGTTTGCCAGGAGGAATGCTTTTGAGGAGGGGACAAGTAGAGCTACAGAAATCAGCTAGGAGACTGGTATATTGGTGTTTCAACAAGCTGGCTGTGTTGAGGATGGGAAGAAGTGGACTCATTGACCATGTATTTAAGAACTTGAGTTAATGGTGTTTTATAATTTACTAGTATATATGAGAATAAGAATGAGTAAACCAGACACCAGCTTGAGCATCTGGGTGCATTGGATGGTAATACTGACGTCCTAAGTCCGTTCAGGCTGTTAGAACAAAATACCATACACTGGGTAGCTTATAAACAACAGAAATTAATTTCTCATACTTCTGGAGGCTCAGAAGTCCAGGATCCGGGCATATAAGGTGTCTGGTTCATAGATGGGATTTTTTTTGATGAGTCCTTACATTGTAGAAAGAGCAAGGCTGCTCTCTGGGGCCTCTTTTATAAGGGCACTTAATCCCATTCATGAGTACTCTACCATCACGATCTAATCACTACCTCAAAGGTTCAACTCCAAAAACCATAACCTTGGGGCCTAGGTTTTCAACCTGGCAATTTTGAAGGAACACATTCAGACCATAGCAAGTGACAACTACTGAAACAGGGAAAGATCCAAGGGAAGCAGATTTGGGAGCTGTAGGGGAAAATACTATGTTTCAATGATCGAGCTTGAAATGCCTCTCAGATACCTAGATTGAGATATTCATTTAAAAGTAAAATATGCCTGGACTTCAGAAGAGTGGTACGGGCTTAAAATACAAATTTGGCAATCATTGGCATATATTAACTGAAGCCTTTCAGAATGAATAAGACCAGATTAGGAGGAATGTAGAGCTAGTAAAAGCTCTATTTGGTAACCTTGGCCTGAGGCCCTTCAAAGGAGGCAGTCCCCACCCATGGAATGAGAACCTAGGAGAAGCACACGCTACTCACCTGCTTTTTTTTTTTTTTTTTTTTTTTTTTTTTTTTTTTTTGCTGTTGTTGTTGTTGTTTAAAATTTTTTTTAACTAAACTTTTTATTTTGAGATAATTTTGGATTCACATGTCGTTATCAGAAATACAGGTTGAGCATCCCAGATCTGAAAATTTGAAGTACAAAATGCTCTGAGATTCAAAATTTTTTTAGTGCCAACATGATTCTCAAAGGAAATGCTCACTGGAGCGTTTCAGATTCTGGATTTTTGAATTCGGTATGCTCAAATGGTATAATGCAAATATTTCAAAATGAAAAAATTCAAAATCTGAAACACTTCTGATCTAAAGCATTTTGGACATTTTGGAAAAGGGTTACTCAGCCTGTAATACAGAGAGATCCCACGTGCCCTTTACCCAGATTCTTATAATAGGTGCATATTCAGTTTTTGTTTTTGTTTTTGTTTTAAAGAAACTTCCAAATGGTTTTCCAGAATGGCTGTGTTTTCATTCCCACCAGCAGTATATGAATGATCCAGTTTCTCTGTATCCTCAACAGCATTTTTGGTGCTATCGTTTTTTGTGTGTGTGTGTTTTTTTAAACAACTTAAGCTGTTTCAGTAGGTATATGGCAATCTCATTGTGGTTTGAATTTGCATTTTTGTGATGCCTAATAATATTGAACATCTTTTCATGCATTTATTTGCCATCTATATCTCTTTTGGTAAATTGTTCATGTATTTTCTCCCTTTTCTAACTGGAGTTTTTCTTACTGTTGAATTTTGAGTGTTCTTTATATATCATCGATAACTAGCACCTTGTTATATATGTGGTTTGCATGTATTTTCTTCATCTGTAGCTTGTCTTTTCATCATCTTCTTAGGGTATTTAGAAAAGCAAATGTTTCAAATTTCAAAGTCCAGATTACTAATTTTACCTTTTATGGATCATGCTTCTGGTGTCAAGTCCAATAACTCAAATTTAACTAGCTCTAGATTCTAAGATTTTATCTTATTTATTTTTCTTAAAATTTTATAGTTTTGCATTTTACATTTAAGTCCATGACCCATTTCAAGTTAATTTTTGTATGAGTTGATCTCAGGTCAAAGTTCCTTTTTTTGCCTGTGTAAGTCTACTCGCTGTAGCACAGTTTGTGTGAAAAGGCTATCCTTCCTCCATTGAATTGCTTTTGGACCTGGGTTAAAAAGAAGGCAGGCATATTTGGTGGGTTTCTTTATGGGTTCTCTATGCTGTTCCGTTAGTCTGTGTGTCTGATCGTCCACTGATACTACACATTCTTGATTACCATAGCTATGTAAGTATTGAAAGCAGGTAGACTGACTCCTCACACTTTATTCATTTTTTTTTCAAATTGTTTTAGCTATTCTAGTTCCTTTGCATTTCCATGTAGAATTTAGAATCTTGTCTGTGTTGCTGTGTCTACAAGATTATAGGATGTGTCAAATCTGTATATCAATTTGGAGAGAATTGCCATCTTCGCTATGTTTAGTTTTCTAATTCATGAACACTGTATGTCTCTTCAGTTACTGAGATCTCCCTTGATTTTTTTTCCATCAGCATTTTACAGTTTTCAGCATATGTATCCTGGACATGTTTTGTTGGATTCATGTTTAACTATTTTTTATTTCAGCTATTGTAATCTTCATTTTAGTGTCTACATGTTAAAATATTTTAATTTTGATGTCCACATGTTCATTGCTCATATGTTAAAGTACAATTGATTAAATATAATATTTAACTGGTGTCTTTTGACTTTGCTAAAGTCATTCATTTTAGAAGATGTTTTTGTAGATTCCTTGGGATTTTCTGTATAGATTATCATGTCATCTGTAAATAGGGATCGTTTTGTTTCTTCTTTCAGGTCTGTATGCCTTTTTTTTTCCTTGACTTATTGCACTGGCTTGCACTTCCAGCACTATGTGAATAAGAGTAATGAGACTGGCCCTTCTTGTTCCTGATTTTAGGAAAAATATATTCAGTATTTTTCTCTTGTAGTGTTAGCTGTAGGTTATTTTTAGATGCTCTTTTACCAAGTTAAAGTTTCCTTTGATTCCTAACTTCATTTAAGTTTTCTTTTTATCATGAATGGGTGTTGAATTATATCTAATATTTCTATACATCAATATGATTATATCATTTTTCTTCTTTATCCTGTTAATATGGTGGAGTACATTCCTTGATTTTTGAATATGGACTCATCCTTGTATTCCTGAAATAAATCCCTATTTACGTTGTATAATTTCTTTTAGATATTTCTGAATTCCTTTTGCTTATGTTTTGTTAGGGATTTTTGTATCTGTATTCATGAGGAATATTAGTGTGTGTCTTCTTTTTTGGCATCATCTTTGTCTGGTGTTAGTTCGAAAGTAATACCAAAATTGTTTTTCTGTTTTCAATTTTACTGATTTCTGCTGTTTCTTCTTTTCTTAATTTCTGCTTATGTTAGGTTTATTTTGACTTTTCTTCAGGTACCTGAGGTGAGAATTTAAATTATTGATGTGCATGATGTCCTGTTTCAAAAAAAGTATTTAGTGCTACAGGTTCCCGTTTGAGCATTGCGTTTCCTGTTCTACTCATGTTGATATGCTATATTTTCATGTTCACTTGTTTCAATGTTATTTTCTCCCCCTTGAAACTTTTGACCCATGGATTATCTATAAGTACGTTGTTTAGTTTCCATGTGTTGGGGTATTTTCCTGTTTTCTTTCTGTTACTATTAATAATTTCTAATTTTATGCCCTTGTGACTAGGGGAGCCACTCTGTATGACTTCAGTTCTTTTAAAATTTGTTGAAGAATGTGTTTTATAGCATAACATGTAGTCTGTTTTGGTTTGTGTTCCCTGGGCACCTGAAAAAGAATGTGTATTCTGCTGTTGGGTCAGATGTTGTGTAAATGTTAATTAGATCCTGTAGGTTGATGATGTTGAGTTCTTATATATCCTTTCTGATTTTCTAATTGTTCTGTCAATTGCTGAGAGAAAGGTGTCAGTGTTTCTTACTATATTGTGGATTTGTCTGTTTCTCCTTTCGGTTCTATAAGTTTTTACTCTATATATTTTGTAGCTCCATCTATGCATACACATTTAGGATTGGTATATTTTCTTGGCGATATGGCACTTTTATCATGATACAGTGTTTCTGTCTGTGATCATTGTTTTTTGCTCTGAAGTCTACTTTTTCCTATTAATATAGCACTCCTACTTTATTTTGATTAATATTTGCATGATATACCGTTTTTCTTCTTTTACTTTCAGCCTACCTATGTCATTATATTTGAAGTAAGTTTCTTGTAGATAGCATATAGTTAGATCATTTTTTTAACCACTGCCAGTCTGACTTTTAATTGGTGCATAACCCCATAACCCCTTTATGTCTCTTTACTTCCTCCATTGGTAATATAATCGTCTTAAAAGCTTTCTTTAACACATTTAGATCCACAGCAGATAGTATTCTAATTTGTTTCAGTCATCAAACATAACTGTAAAATTCAAGAGAAGGAAAACTTATTATATTTACCCATATTTTTGTTTACCATTTTTTTTTTGTCCTTTCTGATGAATATCAGGTTTTTTCTTTCACTTTTTCTTCTCCGTTTATTGAATGTTTTTAGCTGCTCTTTTAGGGTAGTCTTTTGGGGAAAAATATCCATGTTTTTCTTCATTGGAGAGTGTCTTTATTCCCTTTCCATTGCTGAAGGGTATTTTCACTGGGTATAGGATCCTGGATCGACAGTCCTTTTCTTTTAGCACTGCAGAATGTGTCATTCCTTCTGACCTCTGTGGTTTCTAATGAGGAATCTGTCATTTGAATGTTATTCCCATATAAGTAAGGTGTCTTTTTTCTCTTATTGTTTTCAAGATTTGAGAGGGAGGGGAGATGATTAATTTCCAGAAGTTTGACTATGTTGTGTCTTGGTATATATGTTTCTTTGCCACAGTTGGGAAGTTTTCAGCCATTATTTGAGTACTTTTTCAGCCCTGCTCTCTTTCTTCTCTCCTTTCTGGATTACAGTGACATGGATTTTAGTTCTTTTGTTACTGTTTCATAGGTCCCTGAGGCTCTGTTTATTTTTTTCAATATATTTTCTTTCTTTGGCTCAGATTGGGTAATTTCTTTTGTTTTATTTTCTCCTTTACTGATCTTTTTGCCTCTGTCCCCTCCATTCTACTGTTGAGCCCATTTGTTAAATTTTTTATTTTGGTTATTGAGGCTTTTAGTTCCAAAATTTCCATTTGGTTCTACTAATATATCTTCTGTTTCTTTGGGGAGACATTTTATGTTTTCATTTGTTTCAGGCACGGTTGCTTATTAAAACATTTTTATGATGGCTGCTATAAAATCTTTGTCAGATAATCTAACAACACTTTCATCTTTGTTTTGTTGTCTGTTGATTGTATTTCCTCATTCAAGTTGAGATGTTCTTGGCTTTGGTATGAGAAGTGACTTTCCATTGAAACCTAGATATTTTGGGTATTATGTTGTGAGACTGTGGATTTTACTTAAACCTCTTGTTTTAGTGGTGCCTTCTGAGACTGCTTTAGCAGCATGAAGAGGATGGCGCTGTCTTATTATTGCAAGATGAGAAGTCTAGGTTCTCACCTGTCCTCCATTGACACCTGAGTGGAAAAAGGAGTTTTTCATTCCTGCTGGGCAGGGGCACAGTCTACCTTTCACCAGTAGGCTTCTGCTGATATCACTCTAACTGGAAGGGATAGGAATGACTCATTACTGTTTTATACATGGCCTTTACTGATACTATGGATGTAGAGGTGGGAAAGGGGGAGGTGGCCTCTTTACTACTGGGCAGTGGTCAAAATCCTGCTACTTCACTAGGCCCCTTCTGATGCCACCCAAACAGGGAGAGGAGAGAGACATTATTGCTGCATAGGGGGTTGGAAATTCTGTGTCGCCACATGATTGATTTCTGCGGAGTGTGTGTGTGGGGGGGTGGGGGGAGAAAATCGGAGGTCACTACTTTTGCTTCTCTACCACCCCCTCAGTATTGGGGTTGTGGCTCATCTTTATAACCTGGCCAGGGTAGAAGTCTAGGTTTAGTCCTCAACCATAGCCAGCATTGGTTGGTGAAGGGCCACAGTTTTTTTTCTGTGATGATTGGCTTGTATAGAGCAGTTACTGTCTAAAAGTTTTCTGTCTTGCTATACTGCTCCTTTCCTGCTCCTTTGGCTAGAGAAAGCTGACTTTTGGGGGGAGCTGGCTTTTTTGTCTGTGCCCTGTTGGCATTTTTGGATTGCCAGCTTCTTCAGTTCGAAGTTGCAGATATGTGAAGTGAAAGGAAAATCCAGGAAACGTACCACTGTGTTGTTTCTTGGGTCCCCAAAGTCCCGAGCTTCTCTGCCCTTTTTCTGCCTTTCACAGTCTTCTTAATGATTGTTTTATATATAATGTCCAGTATTTAAAATTCTACCTCATGGATATGCACATGTTTCATTTTTCTGGAAGTGGAATTTATTCACCTGCTTTTTAATGTAGCAGAGAAAATAAAAATGCTGCATAGATTACATTATAAAGAATATAGCTTAGAACTCTAGGTAGAATTATTAACATTGGAATGGGTCTTTCAAAGACAGTTTGTCATCTCAGGTAATTTAGATATCGTTCAGCTTGAAGACCTGAGTTGCTGCCTGGTGACAGGCAGTGACATAGTGTTCTTTGATTTTCTTTCCATGTGCTATTTTGGTCTTGGTTTTGTATATACAGTTAAAGCAGGAAGCATATTGGGTAGGATTATACCTTTGTAAGTCATTTTCAGCACTGATGCAGTTCGGTTGATCCTACTGGCCTTCAGTGCCACGGGCCAAATTTATTTCAATCAATGAACTGATACAGCTCATCCCCTTTAAATACTCTTATTCATAGATACACCAGTAATTTGTTTTTCTAGGTTTGCTTTTTTTAAACATGGGGCCTAAAAAAACTTTAATTTTTCGATTACCAGCAGTAATACTGGCTTTTTGTGTGTATCATTCTGTGAAGTTTAAAACATGTATAGATTTCGTGTACAGTTCTTTGTTAAAATTTAGAAAAGTTTCATCACCTGAAAAAATTCTCTTATGTTTTTCATTTGTAGTCATACTTTCCTCCCAACCCTAACCCCTGGCAACCCCTGTTCTCTTCTTTATTACTGTAGTTTTGTCTTTTGGGGGCATGCCATATAAACGGTGTCACGTGGTATACAACCTTTTGAGATCGCCTTCTTTCACTCAACATAATGCTTGAGGTTCATCCACATTGTTGCTTTATATCAACAGTTCATTTCCTTTCTGTGCTTATCAGTAGTTCGTTATATGTAACTATATATATGCAGTTTATTTACCCCTTGGGTTGTTTCTACTTTATAGTAATTGTGAATAAATACAGTGTAAACATTCATGTACAGATTTTTATGTTAGCGTAACTTTTGATTTATCCAGGGTTAATACCTAGGAGTGGGATTGCATACATATCCTGTACATGCGTGTTTATATAAGAAATATCCAGATTTTTTCAGAGCAGCTATGCCATTTTGTACCCCACCTGTAAGCCCTTTATCTTTCTATCCTTTTCAACAGCATTTACCTTTACTTGTTAGAGAATTTTTATAAAGCCTCTTTAATGTCTTTATCAGGTAGTTTCAACATCTGTGTCATTTTAGAGTTGATATCTGTTGCTTGAGTGTCTTTTTTCTGTGCAAATTGAGATTTTTAAATTTATTCATGTGTTGATTGATTTTGAATTTTATTCTGGACATTTTAATTGTTATGAGACTCTGGGTCTTTTTTTACACATCCTGTGGAAAACATTGAGATTGTCGTTTTAGTAGTCAGTCAACTCAGTTAATTTCAGGATTCAAGTTTGATCCAGCCCTCTGTGACTTGTGGTTCCTATGTCAGTTCAGTTTTCAAAGTCTTTTCAGTGTTATTTGAATTTGTCCCACTTATTTGCCACCCAATGGCCAGTTTGGGAATTTGGCAGTGCTCTGATCAGTAGTTCAGCACTCAGTGTCTGCCTATGCTGTTTAGGATCAGATCCATGCTTGTGTAGCTTGGGTGAGATGAAGAGTTCATAAATAACTTGAAGGAATCACTTCCCTGAGCTCCTCCCTCTCTGCCATCGACGCAGTGCTTTGTTTTTGGTTCTCTGGTTAGGAAGCTGGAGTCTTTAATTACTGTGATCTGCTGTACAGTTTCCATGATTGTGCCCCTACCTGGGGACAAGCAGTGGGATGATAAAGAGGATAAAAACAACAGGGGTTAGCCTTACCCTCCTGGGATCAGTATTCCGTCAGTCAGAGATGAAGGTTTCCCACTTTCAGAATTTTTGCTCTCTTTCTGTGGACCCTGGTTTTTTGTGCCTTCTTTCTACCTCCACAGAAATATTTGAGGCCCAGCATGTGAAAGAATAGAGAAAATGGTACTTCAAATTTTGTTGTTCTTCCTCTATTCCCTTCTACTTTTAGCTGCCACATGCATCTTGTCCAGGTTTTATAGCTACTTTTCATGGGACAGACAAAGTGAAGTGTGCTTATTCCTTCTTACTCAGAACCTGGGATCCAGTGGGGTTGCTTTAGTATGGAAATCATTAACAGGAAGAGCAGGAGTAGATCCAGGTTTCATGGGGTCTGAAGGTTGTATAATTTGGAGACCCTCTTTAAGAAAAGGAATAGAAAGTTATGAATATGAAATTAAGTACACTATTTAGAAGGGGTCATGAAAGTGAAGACCCCTGAAACTTAAAGTTTCATTGGTTTTAATATAAACCTGCCTTTGGGAAAAAGATAAAACATAAATACTGATTATGGGTTGGGCACTGTACAGGGTGATTTTAAATTCATGTTTTCACTTAGTATTCATAAATATAAGAATGTAACCTATTTTACTCCCTATTTTACAGACTCTCGTCTGTAAAGCAGATGTAGAGTAGTAATACTGTATAGATAGAAGTGTTAGAATTGACTTTTAAAACTCAAATGTGGCAGAATTCCAAAGCACCTTATCTTTTGACCACCCATCGCACTTTATGAAAGAGATTACAGATTATAAGCATCAATCTAGGCTCATGGTTGAGTCTGCTCAGAAGCCAGGCTGCCAGGGTTCAATCATGTCTCTGCTATCAGTGTAACTCCGAGAAAGCTTCTCAACCCTTCCTTACCTCTGCACCTCTGTAAAATGGGTATAATAGAGCCTACCTAAGGGGTGGTTATGAGGACTAAGTGGTTAATGTAAAGCATTTAGAATACCTCTGGCATATAGTAAGTGCTTTTTATCCATTACATAAAACAAGGCATTTAGATAAATTATATCACACTTTCTTTGCTGTGCTCATCAGCCTTGTTTTTTTTGTGTGTGTGTTTAAAAATTTTTATTTTTTTATTTTTTTGGAATCCTTTTTGCTTTGGATTCTATAGGCTAATAAACATCATATTTACAAGCTTAAAAG
This sequence comes from Homo sapiens, assembly GCF_000001405.40. Taxonomy (NCBI): domain Eukaryota; kingdom Metazoa; phylum Chordata; class Mammalia; order Primates; family Hominidae; genus Homo; species Homo sapiens. Next base: position 107,624,439 of record NC_000003.12, read on the forward strand.
CAAAAAATATACAGTGTATGAAAAGTTATTTAAAAATGCTGAAGGGCGTAATAAAAGTATTAGAACAGTTTTTATCACTAAAAATGTATAACATATTAATAGAATTATCATGCAATGCGGGACTGATTTCTTTTAGTTAAAAGTAGTTGGTCGGGCACAGTGGCTTATGCCTGTAATCCCAGCACTTTGGGAGGCTGAGGCGGGCAGATCACCTGAGGTCAGGAGTTTGAGACTAGCCTGGTCAACATGATGAAACACCGTCTCTACTAAAAATACAAAAATAAGCTGGGCATGATGGTGGGTGCCTGTAATCCCAGCTACTTGGGAGGCTGAGGCACAAGAATCGCTTGAACCCGGGAGGCGGAGGTTGCAGTGAGCTGAGATCGTGCCATTGCACTCCAGCCTGAGCAACAGAGCAAGACTCCATATCAAAAAAAGAAAAAATAAAAAGTAGTTTACTTAGGAGAATAACATTCATAGTTTGCTCCTGAATTTAGGCAAATGGTAATTAGGCTGGTTATAAAATTCTTAGGCCATGACTGATAATTCTATTATTTTATTTTCTTCTAGCATTGATTTTTGGAGAAGGTACTGCTAAAGCTAGCTGATTTTAAATAATTTCAAAGAGAGTTGCTGGACAACTTTGGAATTTCTTCTTTCTGCCTCATTAGCTTTTTGTTCTCTTTCTGAGACTTAAGAGTTAGACTTTACTGTATCTCCTGTATCTCTTACCCTCTATTCTGTAATTTTATACTTTTATCTCTACATGATTCATTTTGATTGTTTTATTCCAGTTTTGCTTCTGGTTCACTAATTTTCTCCTCAGCTGTGTATAATCTAATTTTATTATTTTTTTTGGGACAGAGTCTCACTCTGTCTCCCAGTCTGGAGTGCAGTGGCACAATCTCAGCTCACTGCAACCTCCACCACACACACAGTAGCGATTCTCTTGCCTCAGCCACCTGAGTAGCTGGCATTACAGGCATGCGCCACTACACCCAGCTAATTTTTGTATTTTTATTAATAGTAGAGACGGAGTTTTGCCATGTTGTCCAGGCTAGTCTCGAACTCCTGGCCTCAAGTGATCCACCTGCCTTGGCCTCCCAAAGTGCTGTGATTACAGATGGGAGCCACCATGCCTGGTAATCTAATTCTAGATTCATCCATTGAGTTTTTTAACATCAGTTATTTTTTTGTATGTCCAGAAACTCTGGTTTTGTTTTGTAGTTTCTTTTTCTTTGTTAAAATTCTTAAATTTGTTCTGGCCTTTTGGACATAAATGCTTATAGTCTGTATATAAAAACTTCACCATATAGGTGCCTTCATCTAGGTCCCCTGTAGCTCTAGAACTGTTGTCTTTTATTTCTCTTTGTTTTTATTTTATATGTAATTTCAACTTTTATTTTAGATTCAAAGGGTATGTGTGCAGGTTTGTTACATGTAAGATTATTTAAATTGACAAATAATAATCGTATTTTTTCATGGGGTACATAGTGATGTTTTCATACATATAATATATATACCTTACATCTTGAGTTACAAAGACAAGTTATGAAAAAAGGGGATTTTCACTTACTTACACATAAGTTCTGGACATATTACATGCTTGGCACACAAGCTGAGACATGATCATTGGTAAAATAGGCTCCAAATTATACAATCGATAATATATTTTCTGTCAACAATTTTAAAGTTTTTCTAAAAGTTTAGGAACATTAATCTATTTAACAAGCAAAGCTAGAAGAAACATGTTCTATATGGGTGACTGGAAAATCTGAGATATTATAGGTTAAATGTTTTGGTGAAATGACCAAATAATGACAAAAAGAGAAAAAACAGTTCAACAAAAAGATATTCCTGTTCCTAGCATATCTGATACCTTCCTGGGCTTTTCTGTAAAATAAAAATAGTTGTAGTATCAATCTGTATTAGTTATCTGTTGAAGTGTAACAAATTATGTGAAACTTAAAACAATGAACATTCATTCTCTCACAGTTTCTATGGTCAGGAATTTAGGAGTCACTTAGCTGTGTGATTCTGGCTCAGGGTATCTCATGAAGTACAGTCAAGATGGTGGCTTAGGCTCTATTCATGGGAAGCCTTGACTAGGACTGGGAGGATCACTTCAAGGTGGTTCACTCACATGCCTGGCAAGGTTGTGCCTGGCTTGCAGGAGAGCTTATGAGTTTCCTCACCATGTGGACCTTTCCATAGGATTTTTTTTTTTTTTTTTTGAGATGGAGTCTTATGCTGTCACCCAGGCTGTAGTGCAGTAGCATGTTCTCAGCTCACTGCAACCTCTACCTCCTGGGTTCAAGTGATTTTCCTGCCTCAGCCTCCCGAGTAACTGGGATTACAGGCACCCACCACCACGGCTGACTAATTTTTGTATTTTTAGTAGAGATGGGGTTTCATCAAATTTGCCAGGCTGGTCTCAAACTCCTGACCTCAAGTGATCCGCCCGTCTTGGCCTCTAGTGCTAAGATTAAAGGTGTGAGCCACCGCACCTGGCCTTCCATAGGACTTCTAAATGTTCTCATGACATTGCAGCTGGTATTTCCCAGAGCAAGTAGTCCAAGAGAGTAGAAGCCACAATGTCTTGAATGATCTGGCCTCAGAATTCTTACTATCATTTCTTCAGTATTTTACTGCTTACACGGGTCAGCCCTATTCATTGTGGAAGGAAGTACTACTAGGAAGTGAAAATTATTGGTTGGGCTTACTGGCTACCACCTTATCTTACCGGATTACTGTAGCAATTAAATGAGATTATTCCAGTGAAGGCTTCTAGAACCTAGTAGGTGCTCATTGCAATACCTGTTTGATTAGTGTGTTTCCTATTGATGGTACTGGGCAGAAGAAATCAATTTCTGGCTGTTTCCCAAATGCAGAGGCTTATGTATCTCTATGAAGAAGAGATGAACACTGATCTGTGGCCAAAGAGATTAAATGTTGAGATTGTTATTGTAATTGGTAGTTTGTTTAGAAGCTTGATTGGTTGTTATTTAGGTTATTTAGGTTGTTATTTAGGTAGTAGCAATTAGTTTTGAGGCAAGAATATTGATAAGTGCTGGAAGCTACAATTTTGACCCACAGTGAACTCTTTAATTTGATTACCACCTAGCATGTAATCATTGAAGAAGAATAATGCATTTCAAGTGTTATACATGCATTTTTTATGATTGAATATCATTTAAACTTTTACTTTCTCTAAGTTTAACTAGGTTCAATTTTTTTTTTCTTTTCTAAATTGACCATATCTCACTATTGATAGTGATATAGGTATGGTTTCCTTATAGAGGACACTAATTATTTAAAAATAATATGTAACAAGAATGTAAAATAGTTATTTTTATATGTTGTAAGAAAGAAAGCATGAACTTTCTTATTTAATGTTTTTCTCTAAATGAATTTTTCTTTAGTATCTGAAAGAGTTGCTTCTTTTTTCTTAGAATGCCTGTTTTGATTATGTTTTCAATGAGTTTTTTTCTCACTATAGCAATGAATAATAAGGGAACTATAATACTGGAAAATGTCCATCATTTTATAAAATCTAGAGTCTGATTACATCTGGTTATTTGTGAATGAAATTAACTGAAGCAATTATCTTCTTTAAACATAGGAATAAAACAAGTTCATAAAGAGGTGGTACCCATGGCAATCAGTAGACTATCTTGATTTATCATGGTATTTATAAGTATTTGGCCACTGGAGGGCTCCATATTTTAAAAAATTATACCAAAGATATAAATGCTTACTGTACCAACTTTAAAGATAGAAATTCTATACAATTTTAAAGTATAGAAAGGTATAAAGGATTCCATATTTTGGAGTAGAATTGCTAATAAGTAAAGATATTGAATTAAAAAGCAGCTGATTATAAATGAAAATTGTGTGCATGTGCAAATAAAGTGTATTTATCAAGAGTTTGCTTTTTTTATTGAAATGAAAAAAAAACATATTACCCAATTTTTAAAATAAAATATCTCTCAACTCAGATGTCAAAATACAAAACTAATCATTTGAAGCCTCTCAGTAAAGAAAGAAGTTGAAATAGATTAAATAATTTTTTTCTCATATCTTTTTTATATGTACCATTTTTTATATGAGGAAACCTTTTTTTAAGGATTCATTGAGATTATTATTTCCATTTAATTTAAGAAACCCTCCAGTTATCTTAGTGACATAATATTAAAATTCACAGAACATTAGGACACGTGAAATTGAACCAAACATAAAATAGGTGTGTCATCAAATAGTTGGTTATCACTGATTTTTAGGGTTTTTTAATACTTAAAATTAGTATTTCTTTGGTCAAGATGTGCAATTTACACTGTCTTGCTCTGAAAATTGTCCTTCACAGCTTGTTTTTCTTTATTAAAATAAAATGGGAACTTATAGGGGTGAGAGATTAGAAACTCCATGTATTAGTACCCGAGAGAAGCATCTTTTTGCCTAGAGAAATTCTAGATAGTAAACTACATCATGTTTATCACAAACAGCATTTTTTATTTCCTTGATCTTTTTCCACTTGAAAGAAGTGTTTTGATTTCTTTGTAATTGTGAAGTGTTTACTTTTTAAATGTTTGAGCTGAGCTCTGGGAAGCTTGCAATTTCTAAGGTAGTTAGTTAAGCTTCCCCTCCCCACCCATAAAATTTGGGTCTCTTTGTACTCAGCTTGCAGAGCTGAGAATGTGTGTTTTGGGTGATTTGAGTAGCTAAGTTCTCAGGTTGTTCAGTAGCTTTTTCCGTTAGAACCTCCTCTTCACAAAAGGAAGATGAGATGCAAATTAATTGCTACTGAGGAGGAAACAAAACAAAATAATATGAAAAGCAAACAACTTCCTTACAATTTCACTTGAAACCTATCCAGGGTCCATGAATATATAAATCCCAACTTATTTCTACATAGAAGGGCCAACTATTTATATAGGGACAAAGATACCGATGAATTATGAGAGAAAGCTGTCCCTAAATTAGTACCCATTATGCACATGATGTTGAGCACCATTGTGGAATGATGTTTGAAGCTACTGTGAAATAACTGGGCAGCCTCACAGAGGATATATTCCCCCTCATCTCCCCTGCTCATTGGTATGTTAAAGATGATAACCAATGTCATTAACTTTTGGCCATGGGATATGTTTTTTTTTTCCTTCTACAAACACATCATTCAGTGCCAAACGTGTTCCATCTATTTAATAGTAATCATGGCATACTTCTGGTTGGAGCTTAGTGGTCACACAGAAATTTTGCCCTCCTCTTGCAGCCACAGAATGCATTCTTAATATAGTCAGCTGAGTTGCAAAACATGTTTATCAAATGTGGTGGAGAACATAGGAAAGGGCATGATGAACCAACCACATCTCTTCCTTATTGCTTTGTGAACGTAAGGACAGTTTCACATTGCGTATTTTGAGACTTTCCTCCAACACCATTTTTTTTAATACACAGATCCATTCAAATATGTGGCATAAACTGGTGAGATGCGTGTCTGTAGAGGTACAGTCTTGCTATAAAAGAGAATAAGCCTAACTGGTCTGATTCAATATTACCTGTGACCGTTTTAAACCCTCCACTTTAGTCCTCTGAGCTCATCAGTCACAAATACTATCAATTTTTAACACTTAGTTGTTATCACTTCAGTCCTTCTATATCCATAGCGGTTCTCAAGTCTGACGGCACCTTAGAATCCCCTGGGGAGCTTTTCCAGCTCTGGATGCCTGAGACCAATGTTCAGGATTATTCTGATTTAATTGGTTTAGGGGAGAGAATGTGTGGTTATCTGCATATTTTAAAGTGTCTCCTGTGATTGTGTTTTGTAGTCTAGCTTGAGAGTGATTGATTCAAAAATAATTGTGGAAACTTTTTGAGGTTCCTACAGATTGTGAGTAGTTAAATGTCTCAGAGTAAATATAAGGACTCTTTATATTTGAATATGTTCTCCCTCCTCCTCCCCACTCCTTTGCACGATGCGAGGGGGGAACTCTGGTATTATTTGGTTGCTGTCATTGCCTAAACTATTTTGGACTTACATTTCTGGGGTGGAAGTGGGGAAAATGACGTTCAGTTTTCAGATAGAATTTGCCCCGACCCAGTGAGTTTGCCATTTCTGTTGCCTGCCAAAGCAATGAGCTTATCTTTCATCTTTAAACCAATTCTGACAGAAAATAGGATGTGATCTGGCCAAGGAAACATAATTCAGTGCGTAAAACATGTTTTGAGTATAGAGATCTTTTGAGAGATCTTCTGAAATGTGTGGGATTATAAGGAAAAGTTGTGGAGGAACAGTGTACACAGTAGACAGGCATGTGCTGTCGGGATGGGGTACTTGAGGATTAGCTTGCCCAGAGAGCAGGTTTAGACCAACTCCTAGAAATACTCAACAGTGTCAGTCATGGGCAAGGGTGATGATGTTCATGTTTCTTTCCTAACTCTTCTCACAATGAAAAAGGAACTGTCAAAAGCCATGCTGTGAAGGTTCCCTGAGATTTCAGCCCATGGGCCCCTGATTTCCCTATTCTCTTTTGAGGAGGACCCTGGGTGACATCTCTTCACCATAGGTTTAGTGGTGTGCATTTAGATGACTCACAGATCTTCCTGTCTGCTCAAACTTTTTCTGATTCATTAATTATAACACCCCATGTCAAAGTGATCCCAAACTGGATCTCTGCCTGACTAGAACAAACTGTTTAGCTTGCTGCTCATCCTAATCACCTGGACAGGAGTCTTTTCCATTACAATAGAGAAATTACCACCTTGTCACTCTGCCCAGCCTTCTAAGCCTTTGGGCTCATTTTTAGGCTCATCCTAGGCACATCTGACTATAGCCTAATCAAACATACCTCATAAAGTGCCCGGGCAGGCACTTGGATAAAAAATAGTGAAGATGTTTAGATTAAAACAAGGAAGAAGAAAATCACTGTAGAAGATACGTGCGGTGGGAGAAAGTGAAGTGTTAGGATAAAATTCAAAGTGTCAAGTAAGTCTCCCAGTGTAGGTCATCTAGAAGACTTTAACCAAACATTTTTGTGTTTGATACATAGTGTAAGTTTTATTCTGGCATGTTTGGGTTAAAAACCATTCTCCTTGCTTAGAATTAGTTAAAAAAAAAAACACTAAAAATAAAAATCTAATTAACTTCAGACAGGTTTTGGGGTTCTATTTTGTTTTTAAAGTCATCATCATTTTTGTGGGATCTCTTACCTAGAAATATATTACCAGTGCATGCATTCTTTTTGCTGTTTGTGGATTATTTATGACAACCTGATGACATTTCAGTTCCAGGTCAATTTTCCTTAGCTACGGAAGACTCTTTAACTTCTCTGCAGTTGATACTTTTCTGCCTTGTGTCGTCTAAGAAATGTAAAATTGATTTTACTTTTAACCATAAGAAATGTAAATAGTAGTTACATTAAATGTGTTATATTTGAAAACTTAAATTATTTTTGCATATATTTATATCATTTTAAGAAAATGTATTTATGGGAGAAGAAGATATTTCAAAGTGATTTGAAAATGGTTTTCAGAATTCTTAATTCAGTTGCCTTTCTTTAGCACTGGCAATCAAGAGCTGGCTCACAGGTTTCAATTTCAGATCCTAGTGGGAACCTCTGGTGGAATCTTAGAAATGCTTTTTTTGTTGTTGTTGTTGTTGAGATGGCGTCTCCCTCTGCCACTCAGGCTGGAGTGCAGTGGCATGACCTTGGCTCACTGCAACCTCCGCCTCCTGGGTTCAAGTGATTCTCCTACCTCAGCCTACCCGAGTAGCTGGGACTACAGGCATGCACCACCATGCCCAGCTAATTTTTTTTTTTTGTATTTTTAGTAGAGACAAGGCTTTACCAGGTTGGCCAGGCTGGTCTCAAACTCTTGACCTCAGATAATCTGCCAGCCTTGGCCTCCCAAAGTGCTGGGATTACAGGCGTGAGCTACCACGCCTGGCCTTAGAAATGCTTTTACATATTTATTAGTACTTTTAGTTTTTGAAAGTGTCTAGGTGTGTCTACTTGTAATCTATTTGAAGTTAATTTTTATAAAGGAAATATGATTTTTTAATTTAGGGTTGTTGGAATTTTCTTTTATTGCTTTTATGTCAGATGTTTGGAATAACCTTAAGAGAAGGGTTCACACAATAAAAATATGTGATTACAAAAAGAGCTCACCTGTTATCAAAGTAGTTATCTGTATAGTGGAATTTTAACTGAAAGGGAATGTCCCCTGGCAGGAGAAAAATGGTAAAATCCCTTAGCAAGTCAATTATAAGGCATGTTAATTCTACAAAGATATTAACCTTATGATCTTCAATTCTGGGGTGCATTCTCTACCCTGCAAGGTCAGCTAAAAATATGCTGAAAAGCAAATTTTATAAGATAATGAAATAAAAATGTGAAGCTAAGTCTGTAAGATACAAATTAGAAGATAAAATCCCTTGTTAAATGATTCTGACAAATCCTTTTGCTCTTTTACAATTAGTAGTCTGTTCTTTCGGGATGTTCATAAAATACTGATTAAAAAACAACGACAACCAAAAGTAAAACAAAACTGATGTACATAGAGAAGCCTTGTAGTTGAATGACTTACCCATCTGATAATTTGTACTGTGGAGATTATTTTTCATATTTGTACAGTTAATGAGTATAACTGTAGCTATTGTTAGCTCTGTTCTTAATATATAACATGGGAAAACTTTATTATATAAGTTACTATAATAATTTTTAATAGATTTGAATGTTTCTAAGTGCTTTGAATTTCAAAAAACAGTTATATGAAAATAGATAATAATGCTATTTATTTTGAATTTCATATGTTAACAGTTTCAATTTAGTGCAATAAAATGAGCATAAGCTAAATATATAATAGTTGAATTATATTATTATTAAATCTTTTGATTTTATGAAAAGTTCTGTACTATCTTTAAATTAGAAACTAGCATATGATCAATTCTTAGTTTCTTAAACAGTTTGATATTAATACTGATATTAATCATGATTTAAAATGCATATAACCTGAACTTTTGAAAATTTATTACTGCACTAGCATATTTGGCGCAGATCAAAGGGATAGAGCTGTCATCTCTGGGCATCATGCCTGCGGACATGATTGATTTCAGGCATCATGGTTTCCAGCTCTCATTTCTTTTGTTTTTTGAAAGATAAAGAATCTTGAAATGTTAGAATCTTAGACTCTAAGGCCTCAGTGCCCTGCACAAACATCCAAGAGGAACTCACTTCATTTTTAGACAGATCTGATGGTTAGAAAGAATTTCCTCATACGGAACCCCCAAAACTGCCTGTTAGAAACATCTGCTTATTGATTTCAGTTTTAACCTCTGAAACCACCATACAAAATTATGTCTGATGTCTCTTCCTTAAGACCATAAAAGGATGTGAAAAGAGCACTTCTTCTTTTCCAGAGTAACATTTTCATTTCCTTCAACTATTGTGCCCCCAACAGGGTTTCTTAGCCCCTCTTCATAACCTCTCCATAGTCCTTATGTTCTTACCAGATGTAGACAGATAGCACCAGATAGAGTGGGCTTTCATCTCTTCTTGCTAGCCAGCTACTTCACAGTGTTGGCTCATATTACAATATGTCACTTCACATGCTTTTCAGTTAAGGTAGGCATCCCCTCTCTATTCTCTACTTTTGGACTTCTATTCATTCCACTTGATGCTACTAAGTTTAGACTATAGGTGATACCTTTCAGTTATATAAACAGATAAAGATGACAATGCTTACTTATGTCTGTGGGTATGCTTACATGCCACCTCGTCTTATTACTCTACCATTGGATTTTTAACTTAGACAGATGTCTGTTAGTATGCATTGAGTTCTCATGCTAGAACTTCAAAAGAGAAACCTAGAGTTTCCCTCTTAGTCCTCTCCTCTACCTCTGTTATCTGTTGTACCATTCTCAGCTCTATGTAGAATTAGTACCATACAAAATATTCAGTAAGTATATTAAAATAGCTTTGGAGAGAGGACTGGAGTATGGAGACAAAGCGCGACCTAATTAATTAAAATTATTTTCTAGCAACAGTGTTGAACTGTGTTGTAGATTTTACTGTAAACAAATAATGTTAAATTTCAAGCCTATCAAGTCTATATCATAGACAATCTCTTGAAGATTCCCCAAAATTTATTATATGAAACTTGTTGCTGATGAGATTCATTGAAGGCTATAAACCATGATTCAGAATTGGAATCCAAAGTGTGTTACTATTCCTGTTACTGTTCACCCTGAAAATAGAATAATTGAAGTTTGCTTTTACTCTTGTTATCAAAGCAGGCTCTGGCATTTCCAGAAACCTGTAAAAGCCTTGTTGATATAGCTAACGTTTGGAAATAAATCTTAGGTCTGAATTTACATTTAATGATTCCTTTCTTTCTATCCACCTTACCTCCAGAGAATAAACAAATACTTTTGTTGTTGCTTTTAAGTTATAGCAAGTACTCTCTTTGTCTGGAATCTGAGTAATGGTAGAGCTCAGTAGTTTGAAGTTTATGTTTTTGATTATGTGATGTTCATGTGTGACCATATCACATATATTAAATTCAACTTTTATGAAAGAGACCTGGGTCAAGTAAGTTGATATGAGGGATCTAGTCTAGTGAAGAAAATAATTATCATATATATTGTATGATACCCAACTCTTGGGTTCCTTGTGACTATTACCATCTATAAAAATAACTCAAACACTGTGCCTCTTCAAGCTATGAAGATTTTATTTGAAAATTATATTTAGAATAGTTTGGGTATTGATATAGTTTACTTTAACTCCTCAGAAATTGATTATGTTTTTCTGGAGGCATGTATGGTAACTCTCACTGAAGCGAAACACTGTATTCCAAATGAGTCCATGTTTTTATTTTGTTTAATTTTTTCTGCTAAATCTAAGAAAACATATCAAGCCATAACCTTGCATGGAAAATGAATTGTGTGCCACTGTCCACTTAAGTATACTGCCATCCATAAGCAAATTTCAAGATATTGGAAATACCATAGAATTAGTTTTAGAAGTCAAATTAACATTTGCCAGTTTTTAGTATTTGTGTTGAAACCTGAAACTTATCTTTATAGGAAATACAATTGAAGGAGAAACTGATATGTGTAGTAAAAATTTCAAATCTAAACATCTTGACTTACTGAATATCATCATGTGCCAAAAATTTTGAATAAAGTCACTGAAATTAGGATTTGAAATAGAGTAAAATAAATCAGTATTCTCTTTCCTTTCTTTTCAGGAAGTATATATGTGGTTCAGTATTTTCATCTTTTTTTTTTTTTTTGGGATGGATTCTCACCCTGTTGCCCAGGCTGGGGTGCAGTGGCACCATCTCGGCTCACTGCAAGCTCCGCCTCCTGGTTCAAGCGATTCTCCTGCCTCAGCCTCCCGAGTAGCTGGGATTACAGGCGCCTGCCACTACGCCTGACTAATTTTTGTATTTTTAGTAGAGATGGCATTTCACCATGTTGGCCAGGATGGTCTCAGACTCCTGACCTGGTGATCCTCCCGCCTCGGCCTCCCAAAGTGTTGAGACTACAGGCGTTAGCCACCGTGCCCGGAGTACTTTTATTTCAACAAAACTGTTAATTGTTCTACTCTCTGTCTCCTCTCCCTTTGGGCACTGGGAATAATATAGCATAAACTTGGTATTATTTATTTTGCATGCTTTGCCATGATTCAGGTTTCGTACCCATTCATCACCCAGCTGCAGTGTTCACGAAGATGGAATAAGCTGAGTGGCCAAGCCTGGGTGATATTTCTATACCTGAAACTCAGGTAGAATTAGGTCAGTCCCACTCAAGGAGCCATGGACTATTTTCCCAAAATATATATACATTCAAGGTACATGGAATATTTTCCTAAAAATCTAAGCGCCTTTACCAAGGAATGGAGGTGGGGGAGACTGTACGATGAGCAGGCAAAAGCATACATGTCTATAATTTGCTGCTTAAGAAAAGCTAATATGGAAAATACACTTTTGTAGCTGATTATTCTGCTATTTAAATAAAGTTTCTACATGAGACTTGAAAGTTGACAATCTGATTTTGATAATTATATAAGAAGTTAACATTTCAAAATACTTATTAGCAGTATTAAGAACCATGGCTATTACAGGTATCTCTCAGGCTGCTTCAGGATAAGTCTTTTGCCATTTGCCTTGTAGTACTTATAATTGGTGCCCCCGGAGTTGTATAGCACTGATTTCTGTGGGTTGCTACACTGGAATTAGTGACAAAGGATAACCCTTATGTCTACCAATGGAAATAGTTGGAGAATATTTCCTTTGCTATTTTGAATTGGCTTAATCTAAACTAAATGTTTTGTATTATTTTAAATATTGACTGCTGTGGGAGCAGTAGAACTAATGCAGAGGGCATTTATTGAGGATTAATTATTGGTAGAGCATTTATATCGTAAAGAGGTTGTTACTGTAGAGAATGTGCTTAGTTTTAATGGAAAACATAATTTTAATTGGTACTAGGTGTTTCTAGTGTGGTGAGCATTTAAAGGAGAATTACTCTTCATATATTCTCAACTGGCATTGGCTTGCTATTTATTCTTCAGTCAATATATAATTTTAATATAGTTAGAATGTAATAAACTGGCATTAACTTTTTAAAAAATAATAGACCTTTTTTTAGAAGTTTTAAGCTTACAGCAAAATTGAGTGGAAACTACAGAGAATTCCTCTATACTGTCTACACTGACATTAACTTTTTATTCTAAGGTATTTATAGGAATATTTAAGAACACAAAGAAATATTTTACATGCTCACTTCTACAGCTAACAGGCTGTAGAAGGCATCTTTCTTTGCCTTCAGACTAGAAAGGAGAAAATGTTTTAGAGCCAAGAAACATTCTCTGACTGAGCATTGACAGTAAAAACTTAGGCCCTGGTTTTACCATACTTTTCCAACTGAACGCTTCTGTAGAGGAACACAGGAAGAGTAGGGATGCATTGTAATCTGGTCTGGAGCTTCCTGCTAGTCTGTGGATGACAAACTGCAGATCAAACGGATTGATCATATTCCAGAAGGGCAGTGTGATACAGGGCAAGTGTACTGACCATGGCAGTAGCCCTGGGTTCTGGCCTACCTCTGCCTCTGTCTTGGTTGTGTGGTCGATGGGTTGAACTGAGTGGCTTCAAACTCTTATCTGCCTCCAACATTCTGTAATCCTGTGATTTCACAGGATGTGTGATAGGGAGAAACATCAACTCCTACAAGGGCAGCAGTGTGAAGTCATGAGAAAAGCAATGTGAAGACCTGGGATGTTGTCACAGCTCTATCATAAACCAGCTGATGGCCTTTTGTGTAGTCACTTAAACTTTCTGGGTCCTACTTGGCGTCAGCTATGGAAATGTGATTGGACTTCCCTGATGGACTCTAAGGAAAGTTTCTTGGATTCCTTCTTTCCCTCCCTTCTTTCCTCCTTCCCTTTACTTTCTTCTTTCCTTTCCTTTATTTCCTTCCTTTTCTTTCTTGAGACAGGGTCTTGCTCTGTTACCCAAGTGGAATGCAGTGGTGCAATCATGGCTCCCGGCAGCCTTGAACTCCCAGGCTCAAGCCATCCTCCCACCTCAGCCTTCCAAGTAACTGGTACTAACTACAGGCACAAACTACCAAGCCTGACTAATTAAAAAAAAATCTGTACAGGCAGGTCTCACTGTATTGCCTAGGCTGGTCTCGAACTGCTGGAATCAAGCAATCCTTCCACCTCAGCCTCCCAAGTAGCTGAGACTATAGGTGTACATCACTATGCCCAGCAAATTTTTAAATATTTTGTACAGGCAGGGTCTTCTCAGTATGTTGCCCAGGCTGATCTCAAACTCCTGAGTTCAAGTGATCCTCCTGCCTTGGCCTCCCAAAGTGCTAGAATTATAGGCGTGAGCCATGGAGCCCAGCCTAGTTTTCTGATTTAAAACAACTAATTGCTATGTGATGTTATTTGTCCCAAGGATAACTGCTTTGTAATAAGTTACTTCAAAAAGGAGCATATTGACAGTTGCCATTGGTCACTTTTGAGCAGACTCCTGTGTGTCTTCCTTATCAGGAATATCCTTGGAATTAATATACCTGGAACAATTCTTTCTGCAGGTAAGCGATTTGCTGGAAACATGTTAGACACACTTGAAACAGGTACTTTTTCTGGACAGTACAGTTTTTTGTTTTTTTAACAAGTAACATATGACCAGGCACACTGGCTAATGCCTGTAATTCCACATTTTGGGAGGCCGAGGTGGGAGGACTGGTTGAGCTCAGGAGTTCAAGATGCCAGCCTGGGTAACGTGGAGAAACCACTCCTCTACCAAAAAAAAAAAAAAAAAAGTATACACACACACACACACACACACACACACACACACACACACACACACACACACAGACAAATTAGCCAGGTCTGGTGGCATGTGCCTACAGTCCCAGCTACTCAGGAGGCCAAGGTGGGAGGATCACCTGAGCCCAGGAGGCAGAGGTTTTAGTAAGCCAAGATTGCACCACTGCACTCCAGCCTGGGCAACAGAGTGAGACCCTGTCTCAAAAAAGCAAAGGAATATGTTATAATTTTTGATCATAATATGCTGTTAAGTGATATTTAATGTATTAATAAGGGAAAATAAGAGATCACTGTCCTTTGCTTCTTGGAACTGAAGATTTTCCATTTAAAATTATGTAAATTGATAATTAATGACTTCCCTTTTTATCAAATGACTTTGGACTAAATTTTTTTATTAAGAATGTGATTTTGTAATATATTGCAAATTATTGCCAAATTATTGCTGACGTGAAAGGAGCCCAGGGAACACTCTTGCCTCAACAGGGGACAAGGTGGTCTTAAGGTTTCTCCAGTGGGTTTCATTTGCAGAACCCCTTCCTGAAGGTGCAGGCTGATGCCTAAACAGTGTAGGTCAGGGTTTACTTCAGCTAACCCAATCTCTGAGGGGTATCCCATGGGGCTGGGATTATCTTCACTGTTTATTTTCCAGCTTAGTTCTCAGTGGCTTGATAGAGCTTATGAATCTTCCCAAAGATCCTGGGGCTTCCCTGTCGTTATTCCTGATGTAGCTGCTGGCAAACATGTTTTTATACCCTTCCTGGAAGTGAAACTCTTTTTGCCTTAAATGTGCGATATCCCATACCTGAGAAGGTCTCATTGATACAATTCATAGGAGTTTAAAAGAGGCATCTGACTGGACTAATGCCTACTCCTTTTACTTCTCCACTTATGGAAACTGTAGACATTCATGGTTCCACCATGGTCCCTGCAGCAAAAATCTTATGGCAATGTACATAATGTACATAATGTACAAAGATCTTATGGCAATGTACATTAAATCAGCTAATGTATATTGAAATTGGTAGGGTTAAAAGTGAGACTGTCAGAATTAAACATATATGAAAGCCATCTAAATTAAAATAAAATCTATGGTGAAATAACACTTGAGAAGTAGCAATTCATTCAGCACCCAAATGCTGAGAATAGTCAAGGCAAACTTAAGTGTGTTCACAATGTAACTTTATTAAATGCTTTTCTACCCCTTAGTTTTTATCTCTAATGAGATTACTGACATTTATTGAGCACTTATTGTATAGCAAATGCTTTGAATTTATAATATCTTCTAATAATTCTGAAGGCAACAATTAGAGATGTAGGGATTGTTATCCCAATTTTGCTGATGAGGAATAGAGGCTCAGAGAGGCTTAGGAATTGGCCCACAATTGCAGGGTAGTAAACCTAAGGCCAGTATGCTTAGTATACCACCATGCTGCTAACATTACTCTGCTATTTAGGAAACTATGGAGAGAAAAAAGAGCAAATCACATTGCTTTCTCATTTGCCCACATTTCATGTCCTACTTTCTCACGTGAACCCTGTACTTCAACCAGATCTGCTGCATATGCCTCCTATCCCTTCCAGCAAGTCATGCTTGCTTTAGTATTGAACCTTTGCTCATCCTATGCCTTTAACACTCTCCTCCATCCTGTCTGTCTGTATTCCCAACTGCCATTGGTTCTTCAGGTTCCAGTTTTATTCGTCTCCTGTGTAGAGATCCCCTGGTATATTCTAACTTTAAAAAATTCCTTTCCTTACCATTTTGACATTTATTACATATTATGCTACTATTATTTAGCTTTGTGTGTTTGTGTATGTGATCACCCAACTAGATCTCATCAGCTTTAAGAAAGCAGTAACTATTATAATAACTGTTTTGTTGTTGTTGTTGTTTCATAAGATGGAGTCTTGCTCTGTTGCCCAGGCTGGTGTGCAGTAGTACAATCTTGGTTACTGCAACCTCCGTCTCCCGGGTTCAAGTGATTCTCCTGCCTCAGCCTCCCAAGTAGCTGGGATTACAGGCATCCAACACCATGCCCAACTAATTTTTGTATTTTTAGTAGAGACAAGGTTTCTCCATGTTGGCCAGGCTGGTCTTGAACTCCTGACCTCAGGTGATCCACCTGCCTCAACCTCCCAAAGTGGTGGGATTAACAGGCATGAGCCAGCGCACCCGGTCTGTTAATAGTTTTTGCAGTGTTAATGCATAGGAGGTTAGTAATTTCCCAAACAGTAAAAGGCTACATCATTTGCCTTGCTATTCTGTTGGCATATAGGTAGGTGGTAGGTAATTTCTTTTCTTTCTTTTTTTTTTTTTTTGAGACTGAATCTCACTCTGTCGCCCAGGCTAGAGTGCAATGGCATTACCTAAGCTCACTGCAACCTCCACCTCCCGGGTTTAAGCAAGTCTCCTGCCTCAGCCTCCTGAGTAGCTGGAACTATAGGCCCACACCATCATACCCAGCTACTTTTTGTATTTTTAGTAGAGATGGAGTTTCACCATGATGCCTGGGCTGGTTTTGAACTATTGAGCTCAAGTGATCCACCTGCCTGGGCCTTCCAAAGTGCTGGGATTATAGGCGTCAGCCACCAAGCCTTGCCGGTCATTTTTAAAAATAACTTTATTCTTGGTTCAATATTAAGTACTGAAGGGGAGAGGATTTGCAAATCTTTCATCTGCTGTTATAAAGGGCCCATCTGAACCAATGAATGCTGGAGTTTTCTGTCCCTCCTACCTAGTGTTTTCTTATACTTTTTTTTGGAGAATCCAAACAAATGGACAAATCTGTAATTACTTAGTAGTTACTATGGTTTACTGCCAAATTATCTAGGGAACTCTTAAGACATGTTTGCCTTTATTACTATATTTAATGTTTTTCAACTGAAAGGCTCTGGGAGTAATGAGGAAATGCCAAGGTAGGGGTGGGAAAGTGACAAAGAGGTAATTCAGATTTGCATTTCTTTTGAGAGATTTCCATTCTCAGTATAGCTGTCATTGTAATTTCAGTTAAAGATTGGTGCCTGGCCAGAAATGCCTGTGAAACAGCTGTGGTTTAAGCTTCAACTGTAAAAGACAGACGGGTAATTTTAACAAAAGTTTTCTCTTTATTCATAGTTTATGTTGCCACTTTCTTTATTTTATATGTGTGTGTATGTGAGTGTATATATGTTCCTGCAGTTATCTTTCTCTATATGAAGATATTTTATTTCAGCAGATGATTTAACTAGAGATCAGACTGTCAGTTTATCATTTCTAGGCCTTTAGCCTGTAGTGGACAACAGTGACCTGAGGCATGGAATTAATTGGCCAAAATTGCATAACAGTTGGTATAACAACATCATTTTCAGTACTACAAATTGCGTAATGTGTATGAGGCCACTGTTGGGAATAACAGAATATATAGAATGGGAAAGGGTTATGCACACCCAGGACAGGGAAGGCTTTAATTAAATCAACAAGAATTTTTTGACTACAAACACAACTCCATTATATTACATGGAGGTAAAAGCTTGGTGATTAAGTTCATTTTATCAACATGTAGTATATAAAATAATGAGTCAAGAAGAAGATAAGAATTGTATCCATGTAAAGATGGAGAAGTAGTTTTAAAGTAGGAAAAGTCTCTTAAGAAAACTTGCATTATAAAATGGAAATTGGAATACAGTACCTACTGACGAAATGGAGGAAGCCAGCGGAAGGTTTTGTGGAAGAGTGGGTATTAGAACTCCTAGTTCGTGACCTATACTTGCTTGGGGTCTCAGAAATCATGCTGGCTCTTAAATTAGAAATACAGTCTCTTTGAAAGCATACATGTAGTTGAAAGCAGTCATTTAAAAATTTGCTTTTTCATTCCCTACCTCCCCCCTTTTTAAGGTATGAAAGCATGAGTATTCTGTTCTCCAGAGGATGAGGAAAAAATCCTTATTTCCTTTTTCTAGCAGTATGGCTATTTTTGTTGTTGTTTTTACTCTATAAATGGAGAGGCATGTGTACCATGCATGGTATCATGCCCAGCAGTTTTTTTTTCAGTTGAATGTAATTGTTCCTTAGCAAATAATTGCAGTCCAGAATGACTTTTATTGAGCTTGATTGAATTAGGGGTATGTATGAAAATGAGTTAGTTAAAGCTTAATCTATTACCCAGAGAATTGATGAAAACATCAGAAAAGCAGTCATTCATGGGGATTAAATATTCTTCTGTGTAAGTGGGCAGCATCGTTACCTCGGAGTCCCTTCTGCACTGACTAGGTAGTAGTGACATCAGGGTGCAAAACACAGTTTTGGCATACTAGGGGATTTTGCAATGACGTGCCTTTGAATGTTATGCTGGACATTAACACTAATTGGGAATCTGCCTCATTGTAGGAGGTGGCACCTCACCTTTTTTAGTATAAAAAGCTTTTTAAAACAGCACCTCAAGGGGGAGTGTGAGAGCTGTGTCAAAAAGCCAGTTGCTTCAGCGTGTGTCAGTGGTGGTTTAGGCCACATCTGTAAGATAGGTTTTTCAGATGCCCTGTTTGTAAGGGACAAATAATATTTAATAGATGGCTGTCCCACCTGCCATTATGAAGTTTCTTAGAGGGAATCCTAAGCTGTGCCAGATCAGTGCTGGCTAGGACTGGGAGGGGGGTGTGCAGTGTCATGGGTGGGAAGCAGAGGCCTTGAAAAGGGAAAGACAAGTTCCTAGCGAGGCAGTGGAGCTAATCACCAGGAGTCAGGAAGCCAAGGCTCTGTGGGGGTGATTGGGGGTTGAAAGTAAGCCAAAGTGGGACCCAGAGAACACAGACAGGTACCAGGTGGCTCAGATGAAAATCTGCCCAGGCGTTGGTCTCAGGGCTCATTCAAGTCACCGTTCTATAGGGTTGTGCTCATACTTAGGGCATTTCCCCCTGCTGGCCCACCTGCCTTTCTGATACCTCACATCACCACTCATTTCCGTCAAATCAGTACACTCTCTGAAATACTAGTGATTTAAATGCAGACCAGGCTATGCTGCAACTGCTTTTCTGAGGCTACTCATGTGGCCATTTGTAATAGCCAGATAAAATTTGGAGTGTTTCTGTTTGGCTGTCAGAGAACTCAAAGGCCTGTGATAGACTTATCACAGGCAGGACCCTCAGCCTTGAAACTGATGTCTGCTCTGTGGCTGATTTCCTGGCTTCTTAAGTCTACCATGATTCCTTCGTTATTTTAAGAGATTTAAAAAACCCATATTGGGCAAAGCATAGCCAATCTCCTCTCTCACCCCTCTGCTACTTTATCTATAGATAGTTGCATCATGGGTAATAAATTATTGAACAGTTATCAAGACAAAGTGCAATTATGGTCAACTTTTTGGAGTATATTCAATTATATTAATAGAAACAAATCTCCAAGGGTACCTGAAGATTAATGAGTTTATCTTTGAGCTCCTGAAAGAACTTACTTACGTATATAGGGATGTATAGGGTATTTTATTTCTCAGATAGCATATATTCACTTCTTAAAGAGAAAATCCTTAAATCAAAATAAGAATGAAACTCACACTGTCAAAATTAATGGTAGACTTTCTTATCCCAATTTTGGCAGTACAAATTATATATATTTTTAGATTATACCAGTTTATTTACTTGACGTTTATTTACAGTTATTTACTTCATGATATTTACTCATCTGTTTCATAATATTTAATGCTTCTTCTGTATACTTTCATAGATGTATATGAAAAGTATGTGAATGTGATAGTATTATGAGATTTTCTTTAAAAATGTTTTTGATATTTATATGTTGCCTATTTTATAATAATAGACTTTGATATTATTTATTTCATCAGTGTTTGGAATTGGCATGCTGCTTTCCTAAACTGTAGTAAAAGCGTAGACGTTTGACTTGAAAGTATTCATATGTGTCCTTTATAGTTTGCTTCAAAGATCTGGATTTATTCTTTTATCTATGCCCTTGTTTTAAAAAATATGGATGAATGAGTAGTATCTTGCCTGAAGCCACATGAGACCAATTAATACTTTATTCATTCTTTCCAGCTTTTGTTTTTGTTAATAGCACGGGGTGGCAACTGAGTCATCTAATTCTAGATAGGATTACTCAGATGAATCATTACATATTTTTGATATTTAATGTGAAGAGCCAGTTCTTCCATATCATAGTGGCTTATTAGAAAAAAAAACTTAAGCTAAGCCATAAAAT